>NC_000004.12:3587030-3893527 GCF_000001405.40 Homo sapiens
GGCAGAAAGGTCTCAGCAGTGGGCAGTAAAGATGTCACATCCACCTGGCCAGGCCACTGTGGTCTTTGGAGATGGCCGTGGACTCGCTCTCATGGAGCTGGGAGCTGCTGGGTGGGCCCCACCTCATGGCTGCATGTAGCAGAAGCAGGCAGAGAATTTGAGACGTGGCAGAGGGCTGAATCCAAGGAAGTTCCTCAGAAAGTGCAGGGCCCCTCGGAAACAAAGGGCCCTCAGAAACAAGGGGCCCTTGGATCCTCCCGGCTGGGCAGAAAGCCTGGCTCAGCCCCCCATGCTCTTGGAGCAGGCAACTTCTGAGGCTTCCATACTCCACTCCCAGGCCTGGCACTCCTGTCCTCCCTGGAGGGCATAGTGTCAGGAGGGTGCCCAGGCATCACTGGCTGCCTGCCTGCCTCCTCACAAGAGGAGGAGGCCTGGGCCCAAGGTGGCCATGACCGGCCAGCCCTGGACTCCTATGTGCAGCACTTGCTCCGCCACCCTTCCCTGTCACAGGGGCAAAGAGGCACAGGCCAGGCCAGAAGCGTGGAGTGTGAGGGGGTCATGGCTTTAGAGCTGAGAGACACTGGGGTGGTGGATTAATGTCGGCAGGGCTGGAAACAGAATCAGAAAGCAGGCCCAGGAGTCACCTCATGTGGAACATGTAGATTTCCAGGTGCGCCTGCACTCCCAGATGAGACTTCCTGGTGCGCCTGCACTCCCAGGTGAGACTTCCTGGTGCACCTGCACTTCCAGATGAGACTTCCTGGTGCACATGTACTCCCAGGTGAGACTTCCAGGTGCACCTACACTCCCAGATGCAGACTTCCTGGTGCACCTGTACTTCCAGATGAGACTTTCTGGTGCACCTGCACTTCCACATGAGACTTCCGGGTGCACCTGCACTCCCAGATGCAGACTTCCTGGTGCACCTGCACTTCCTGGTGCAGACTTCTTGGTTCATCTGCAACTTCCTGGTGAGAATCCCTTGGGCATCTGCACTTCCTGATGCACCTGCACTTCTAGGTAAGATGTTCTGCTGCATCTGCATTTACGGGTGAACTTCCTGATGCACCCATACTTCCTGGTGAGAATCCCTTGAGCACCTGCACTTCTAGGTGGAACTTCCTGGTGCACCTGCGCCTCCAGGCACAGACTCTCAGGTGAATTTCCAGGGAGAAGAGACCTAGGCTGCATTCCACAGGTGTCTGGCTTTTTTTGACCTTTGACCTTGAGTGCTGTCTTGGGAGGTAGGCTTTTCCAGGGTCAGTGAGGATCGAATAGGGTGGATAGACATGGCGGTGGCAGGTGCAGAGGAGCGACATGCAGACATTTGACATGGAGGGGGAGGACAAAGCCACCTGACCAAAGGTATCCCAGTCTCAACACAGCCAGGAAGCCTAGAATATGTGCAGGTGAACATATCCCCAGCAGCACTGTGGAGGGTCTCCTCTCCCCAACTCCAACTGCCCCACTGCCCCTGTTTGGAGGTGAGCACCTGGCTGAAGCTGCCCCCTCTCCTGGCCTGGCTCCGGCTCCTAAGCTGTCCTGTGGTTCTGCCTTCCCACTGGACTTGTCCCCAGGGAGGAGAGCCCTGGCTCAGTGACAGGAAGGTCTGGCTGCCAGATGGCCCATCCCTCAGGTCACTTAATACAAGGCGTCTGGCTGGCTGGCACCTGGGTCTCTGGGGTGTGTGTTAGTGCAGTTCAGCGAACCTCTCTCCCTGAGGCAGATCCAGGGTGATGTGTGGTGGGGTTTCTCAGTGAGCCAGGCTAGGAGACCCTCGCTGGGGAGGGCGCCAAGCAGTGCCACCTGGGGTTGGGGCGTCAGCCAAGCATCAGCCCCTAAGTCCATGGCGTGACAGCTAGAGACATCCCCCATGTGTGAATGTGTTGTTTTGTTTTCTTAGTTATTTTAGAGAAAACGTTCCCTGAACATGCCACATGCAGAGGATGCTGGGTATCAGGCTACCTTTGCTGGACAGCTCCAGGTAACTGCATTTGCTCTGCCAATGTTGGCTTTTTAAAAATAGAAAACACATATAGACAAATCCATCACACACACATGCACAGACACACACACACACACACACAGACAAATCCATCACACACACATGCACAGACACACACACACAGAGTCAACGACATAGGCTCACAAGTAGAGCTCTTCGTCTGTTTATACTTAATGCAATTACTGATACATCTAAGTTTGGAGCTGCTGTTTTCTTTTACGTATACTGTTTGTTTGCAGATTCTGTGTATAAATTCTTTCCTTTCTTGCCGCCTTTTAGATGATTTCCCCCAGCTTACCTTGAGGACTTTCGAGCAAACAGACACGTTGAAAGAATAGACAAGGACCACTTGCATGCCCCTCAGTTAGATTCACCAACTGTCAATATTTTGCACTGTATGTATACACGTACATGTCTGTGTATACACATATACACATACAGTCACACATCGCCCGATGGCAGGGATGGTTCTGAGGAAGGCGCTGTTAGGCGATTTCGTCGCTGTGCGAGCATCATAGTGTGAACTTACTCAAACCTAGATGGCACAGACTCATCGCCTCCCACACGCCTGGGCTGTATGGCAGGACCTCCTGCTACCGGGCTACAAACCCAGGCAGGGTGGTACTGTACTGAATGGTGCAGGTGATTGTAACACAATGGTAAGTATTTGTGCATGTAAACATACCTAAACATAGAAACAGTGTAGTAAAAATATGGTATAAAAGATCAAATACAGTACACCTGTACAAGGTCTGCTCTGTTCTAATCTTATGGGGCCACCACTGTATATGCCGTCTATTCTTGACAGAAGTGCTTTATGTGGCACATGACTGTACATGGAAATACACACACACTCACACACATCCACACACAAGCATATGCATACACACATATATACATGTATATACACGTGCATATAACATATGTAGATATCTGCCAATTGCTATCCAACGTGAATTCCATAAATTTACACTCCTACCAGCAGCATTTGGGTATCTGAGGTGTCACACATCCTTGCCAGCACTGGATATTATCCCGGCTTGGAGATTTTGCCAGCCTGGTGGGTGTGAAGTGGATCTTGTTGTGGTTTTAATTTCCATTTCTCTAATTATGCAGAGGCTGAGTGCCAGGCTTCCTCTCCTGGGAAGAGCCTGCCGGCTTGCGGGCTGTCAGCGCTCACTGTGGGTGCGGGTGGCGTGCCTGCCTGCACGGCCCTTGCCTCTCTTAGTCTACAGGGTCTCCACTCCTGAGTTCCCGGAAACAAGATACAGATTTCAGAATGGCACCTGAACATTGTTTACTGATTTCCGGCTGGAAGTGAGGGTCCGAGGGATTCTTCTATGGAATTGTATGACTCAGCATCTTTCTGATTGCAAGCAGCAGCATCGCAGCCTAAATGAATCTATTGGCTTCTTCAACAGACCAATCCGGTGGACGTGGTGGCTTCGGGTGAGGGATGCTCCAGGGGCTCTCCATGATGTCCCCAAGGTCCTTTAACCTCTGGGCACTGCTTCTGCAGGATTGGCTTTGCTTAGGGTTGGTTCCCCTTCATTCTTGAGCTGGTTGTGGGCAACTCCTGCCCCCTGTGGGGGGACTGGACTGCCTTAGATCACATGTGTGTCCCTGACTCTCTGTGGTCAGGGGATAGAATATTCAGATTGGAGGGGAGCCAGCTTCTCCTAAACCACGTGGATCTCCAAACGGAAGTCAGAGCAGATGGGAAGGGGGAGCAGACGTTGAGCTCAATCAATAAACACCCACCTTGGGAGCTGCAGCCTGGAGGGCTTGGTGACTGCCACGCTGGCTGCTCAGAGCTCCTCGCTTACTTTTGGGCATATGCCTGTGAACCAGATGGTGGCACCTCCTGAAAATCGGGTCTGTGGATAATGGGAGGATTTTTTAAATTATGAAAATGTTCATTATGGAAGAATAAATGAAGAATAGCATATGAAAACCTGTATCTCTCCCACTTAGGTTCAACAATTATTAGCATATTGCCATGTATGTTTCTCTCTTTCCTTCCTCTAAAGTTTTGCTGAGCATTTCACAATGAGTTTGAGGCACTGTGACACTTTGCTCCCAATCCTTTCACTTGCATGTGTTGAAAACAAGGACATTTTCTACAGAACCACAATACCTTGATCACATGTAAGGAAATTAGGAATCAGTTCTCAAATACTATCTAATATCCTGTCCAGGTTAAAAGTGCCCAGTGCTCCCTACATCTCTCATAGCTGTGACTTTGAACCAAGACTTAACCAAGTTTCACGCACTGCCTCACCTGTCTCTAAAACTAGAAAAGTTCCTGTTCCTTCCAGATTGAAAGTTTTAGGTTAAAAATATAGTTTCTCGACATTATTTTCTTGACTTTTCCTCTTGAAGGGCTATGTCTTGAAGAGCGCCCACAGTTTGAGTTCTTCTGTTTCTTCATGACAGGCTCAGCTTGTTCCTCTGTCCCCCTGTCTTTTCTGTATATTGAAATTTAGGTATAAATCCTTCATAGGGATTCACTTTATGCTCCATAAGTGAAGCTATGTTCTTTGTACTGCTACGCTTTATGCTGCTGTGCTTCAGGACCATGTGACAGGTTATTACATTTGCTTTTTTGTCTCATTTCCCATCTTTTCCTCCATCTTCTGATCATAATTGAGCATTTTATTATCCCATTATATCTCCTCTATTGACTTATTGATGCCTCTTTAAAAAACCTTTTAGAGGTATTCTTCTGGTTCACTATATATATATATATATGTATATATATATGTGTATATATATATATGTGTATATATATATATATATATATATATATATATATATATACATACACACAATTTTTTTTTTGAGATGGAGTCTCGCTCTGTCACTCAGGCTGGAGTGCAGTGGCGCGATCTCGGTTCACTGCAAGCTCCACCTCCCAGGTTCATGCCATTCTCCTGCCTCAGCCTCCCAAGTAGCTGGGACTACAGGTGCCCCCCACCATTCCTGGCTAATTTTTTGTGTTTTTAGTAGAGACGAGGTTTCACCATGTTACCCAAGATGGTCTCGATCTCCTGACCTTGTGATCCACCTGCCTCGGCCTCCCAAAATGCTGGGATTACAGGCGTGAATCACCGTGCCCGGCCCACAATTTATATTTTTAAACAATCTGAGCATACCTTAAAATAATATTGTACTTCTTCAAGTGCAGTGTAAGGACCAGTATACATGGAATTCCTCCCTGCTCTTCCTGTGTCGTTTTTATTACACACTTCACTTTGACATATGTCACAAACATACAATAAATTATTATAATCTTCCCTTTAAACAATGATGTTTTAGAGAAATTAAATTTAAAAATGATTTTCTTTTGTCTTCAGTCAATTTCCAGTATCTTCATTTCTTTTTCTAGATTCAAGTTTCTGTCTATATAATATTCCTTCCACTTGAAGGACTTTAATATTTTTTGTGTAGAGTGGGTTTTCTGGTAATGAATTCTTTCAGGTTTTTTTTTTTTTGGAGGTCTTCATTTTTCATTCAGTTCTTAAAAAAAAAAAGAAATCTCTCCTTTGTCTTTTTGCTTGCATGGTTTCTGATGAGAAGTCTGTGGAAATTCTTATCTATGTTTCTCTGCAGATAATGTATCTTTTTCCCCATCCGGTTTCAAGAAGATTGTCTTTGTCTTTCCTTTGTGGTGGTTTGAAGATGTATCCAGGTGTGGATTTTCCTGGTGTTTACCCTTCTTGATGTTCTCTGGGCTTCCTGAATCTGTGATCTGGTGTCTGTCACTCATATTGGAGAATTTTTAGCCGTTAGGTCTTCAAATACTTCTTCCAGCCTCTTCTCTGTGTCTTCTCCTTCTGGAACTGCACTACATGTATGTTAGGCCATCCAATGTTGTTCCAGGCTCTTCCCACATGTGCCTGCCCTCTTCCGGGGTGGTGCCATGGTTAGCATGTGTGTCTGACCCTCTCCTAAGGTAGAGTTTTTTCTTTTTTCTGTTTTCCTCTCCCAGCTTCCATGGACTCCTACCAGTGACAGAGGCTCGGATTTTTGTGTTGTTGTTGTTTTTCTTTGCAGACTTTGTTCCATTGCGCAGAGAGTGGGGATGGGTCTGGGCAGAATTTTGGGGGTAAATGTGTTTCCTTCCACCACTACCCCAGGTAAAGTCTCCCTAGGATTTTCCTTGTGTCTTCCCTGGGAGCGGTTGGTGGGATCCTTGGAAGAAAAGCTTCAAGAGGGTGAGAACCTCCCATATGTCTGTGGCACCAGGGGTGTCACACTCCCATGCTTATCCATGCTTGGCCTTTAGTAAATTCTTACACATTTCTACACAATATAGATCTATATCTAACAGCCTGTAATAGACTCAGTGGCATCTGCCCCAGGTGAGAACATGCTCAGGTCCTGTTTCTCCCCGGAAGCCTGTTTTTCTCCAGATTTTGGCTTGCTTGTTTTCCCTGTGACTCCATTTCTCTGAAGGCCTGATGAAAAAATCGTTAACTTGCAGTTTCTCAGCTTTTTTTCTTATTGTAAGGGCTGAACCAAGGCTCTTTCTGCTGTCTTCAAGCTGAAACTGGAAATCTGCTTTCGCTCTTGAAAGGTATTTTTGTGAGATGTAGGATTCTAGGCTGACGATTTTTTCAGTCTGCAAGGATGTCATCCACTGTCTCCTGCCGGCATTGTTTCTAATGAGAAGCTGGAGGTATTTCTTTTCTTCCCCTCCTACATGTCATGTTTAATTTTTCTCTAGCTGCTTTTCAGAGTGTATTTTTATTTTTGGTTTTCAGTATTTGTTATAAAGTACCTTGGTGTGTTTGTGTATGTGTATGGTGTGTGTGTGTCTCTCTGTGTGTGGGGTGTGTGCATGCACATATTTGTGTGTGGGGTGTGTGTGGTGTGTGTGTCTGTGTGTGGTGTGTGTCTCTGTGTGTGTGTCTCTGTGTGTGTGTATGTGTGTGTGTGTTCATGTGTTTGTCTATGTGTGGTGTGTGTTTGTGTGTGTGTTTGTGTGTGTGTCTATGTGTGTGGTGTGCATGTGTCTGTCTGTGTGTGTGGTGTGTGTGTTTCTGTGTATGTGTCTCTGTATGTTTGTGTGTGTGTCTGTGTGTTTGTGTGTGTGTCTGTGTGTGTGCATGCATGCACGTTATGCTTAGGACTTGTTATTTCTTCTGTAGGTTGATGTTTTTCATGATTTTTTTTTTTTTGAGATGGAGTCTCGCTCTGTCACCCAGGCTGGAGTGCAGTGGCATGATCTTGGTTCACTGCAACCTCTGCTTCCTGGGTTCAAACAATTCTCCTGCTTCAGCCTCCTAAGTAGCTGGGACTACAGGCACACGTCACCACACTCAGCTAATTTTTGTATTTTTAGTAGAGACGGGGTTTCACCAGTTTGGCCAGGCTGGTCTCGAACTCCTGACCTCAGGAGATCCACCCACCTCGGCTTCCCAAAGTGCTGGGATGACAGGCGTGAGCCCCTGTGCCTGGCACTTTTCATGATATTTTGAAAAATTTTGTCCATTATTTCTTCAAATCCGTTTTTTATCCCAGCTGCAGTCTTTTTCTCCTCTCCTTCTGGGGCTCCAGGAATGGATTCAATGGATATTGACACTTATGTTAGACGACTTGACATTGTCTCACTGAATCTCTCTATTTTCTCAATGCTTTCTCTCTCTTTTTCCTTCACATTGAATAACTTCTGTTGCTCTGTCTTTCAGTTCACTGATTCTTTCTTCTGCTGTCTCCAATCTGTTTGTGAAGCTCGCCCAGGGTTGTTTTTGTTCCAGAGAGTGTAGTTTTCAGTGTCAGAATTTCCATTTTGTTTCAGGGCGTTTCATTTCTGCCGAGAGTCTCCATCTGTTTGCTTATCGTCACCGTCTGTTCTTCTAAGCTCTTGAACATATTTGTAATAGGCATTTCTAAGTGCTCGTCTGTGAACTCCAGTGTCTCTGGGTGTATTTCTATTTACCGTTAGTCCTTTTCCCTGGCTGTGTGTCAGATTTTCCCAAATCTCCATGTGTAGGGTTTTTTTAAAATTTTTATTTATTTATTTATTTATTTATTTATTTATTTATTTAACATACGCTGGACATTAAAGATGCTCCACTGTTGCACCTGGACTTGCAGCAGTGCATCCTCGCTGGTGGGCATTTTCCTGGGTCAGATGGTCCTGCCGAGCTGCTTTTCAGCTTTGGTAGGGTGGGTCTGGTGCAGCCTTTACTCTAGGGCCAGGAAGCCAACTCCCAATGCCTGGCATTCTTGCTGGGCACCCAGGCCTCCAGCTCTGGCTGGTTGGGATGTGAATGACTCTCAGCAGCGTGTCGCCTCCGGGCTGTCCTTAGCTCCAGTCCCTTCATTCAGAGATGTCCTCCGTCAGGCCTCATCTTGCCTTTCACGTGGGCAGCTCAGTATCCAGAAGCCCTTAGAAGACCTTCCATGCGTTTCTGAATCTCTTCTCTGTGCAGCTCCCTCCTCTCTGATCCTCTGCCCTGCAAATCCCAGCTGCCTCAGTCTCCCCAGACTGACCGAGCTCAGTGAGACCCCTGTGCTCTGCCTAGGCTCCACCTGCCCATCCTGGGTCCAGAAAGTGCCTCCAGGCAGAAGTTAGGGAGAGCACAGGGCACAGTGTCACAGCCTGTGGCCCAGTGTCTGCAAACAGCCGCTTTGTCGATTTTGCCCAGCTTGATAGTCGTGTATGGTAGGAATGCTTGTCCTGTGCATGTTCATTTGTCATGGCAGAAGCAGAAGGTCAAGTGCATGTTTTCCGCTGCACAGAAGGGGGCATTCTGCACTCCTTGTTCCTCTCTGTTGTCCCTGAAGGCCGCGTCCTGGAGAGCAGGCGCGGGAGAGCGCGTAGAGAGGACTGCTTCCTCCTCACGGCTGCCTGGTGCCCATCGCATGGCCGCACCCTGGTTCATCTGACCAGGCCCTTGCTGAAGGACAGCTGGGATGTCTCCGTTGTTTTGATACTGCTTATAATGCCATAACAAACGCCCTTGGGCGTATGTGATTTCCTACATTGGAGGCGGCTGCTTCAGGCGATACACCTGTACTTTGCTCATAGGTGGCTGGATCTTCCCTGCGCACTGCGGCACTTTGTGCCCCGCAGGAATGGTACTGTCGTGTATGCTCCAAGCGGTGGGAGACAGGGCCCACTTCTCCGCACAGCTGCCTGCAGAGCACGTGGTCAAGCCCCAGGGCAGCGCCCACTGATGGGGAAGAAGCGGTGTCTCCAGGCAGCTCCCAGGCACCCTTGTTAAGTGAGGTCCCTCTGATGGCTTCTGTTTGAGGGTGGTCTGCATGTCTGCGTGTCTCTCCGACCTGCCTGTTGACATCTTTTATGTCCCTTTTGTTCTGATCAGGTTTTGGTCTTTTCCCCTCCCTGTTTTTATCAGAGCTCTTTCTGCGTTAGGGAGATCAGCCCTTTGACCGTGACATAAATTGTGGATTTTTCCCCTCTGTGTTGATCATGTGTGTTTTAACTTTGTTTATATTTTGCTTTTTGGCATGGTCTCAATTTTTTGTATGTAATTATAACATTCACACATCAATATCATCAGTATCTTCCATGATTGCTTCTGACTTTGGAGCCACAGTTATTCCCGCTCTTAGATTATAAAAAATTCACACGCTGCAAATTCCTTGGGATCATTTGTAGTTTCATTTCTTCTTTTCTTTCTTTCTTTCTTTCTTTTTTTTTAAAAATAGAGACGAGGACTCCCTAAGTTGCCTAGGCAGGTCTTGGACTCCTGGGCTCAAGCGATCCTCCCGCCTCAGCCTCACGAAGTGCTGGGAGGCGTGAGCCACTGCGCCAGGCCCTGTGGTTTCATTTTTTACATTTCAATCTCTGATCCATTTGGAGTTGACTCTGGGATATGCCATAAAGTCAGATCCCATTCTATCTTTTCTAAATGTTTATCCAGTTGTTCTTATAATGCTGAGTTTCACTTGGGCTCAGCACAGGCTTGCTTGTAGCCCCTACTGTGTGTTCTGGAAAAAGGCTTCCTGAAAGGAGCCCCTTCCTCGAGGGACTCAGGCAAGACTCACGATGCCCCCTGGTTTACCAGGGGCAAGGCCAGCCCCAGACCCCCCAGCCCCTCTGCCTGGTGAATGATCCATGGGACTGCTCCTCCCACTGAGGTGATGGCCCCACCGCCCCCAGGAGCTCTGCCTCTGAGGACCCTCCAGCCCCTCGAAGACTGTGCAGGAAGGACAAAGCCCCTGCCTCAGTGCCATCCGGACAAGAGGAAGGTGGCAGGTCCAGGAGGAGCCTGTGGGGTGGAGGAGGCTGGCGGGGGGGTCACCTTGCGAGGGGCAGGCCGCAGACACCTCAAGAGCCAAGCTGAGGGTCAAGCTGTGGACGCTGGAGCAGAAGGGAGGGGCGGGAAGGCTCCGCTAGACTCGGGGGCCCGGTGCAGGTGTCCAACAGGGTCGGGAAGGCCTGGGCTATGGGGTGAGGCTGGGGAAGCAGAGTCCAGGGTGGGGTCAGGGAAGCTGAGTCAGGCAGGGGAGGGGCACCCGGGCCTGGCAGGACAGGATACGGGCTGAGGGGGCAGGCCCCAGGGATCCGGTCTCAGGACGAGCTTTTCCAAAGGTGTCTTCCATGTGCAGCTGGCCCTACACCCAAGGTCACTTTCTATCCTGCAGCCGGAAGGTGTCCAATCCATCGGAAGGCAGGGTCAGTTCTGACGGATCCAACTGGCTGGTCCCTCGCGGCTCAGTTCAGCTGCTCTCAAAACTTCCTGACTGACCCCTGGGTTAGTTGACACAGGCCGGGGGACCTGAGGCTCCTGCAACAGAGCTGGTGTGCGGGGCAGGTGGAGGTGGGGCTGATGGCTGCCCCTCTGCTTTAGGACAGAGTGCAAGGTGGCCAGGAAAACATGCCACAGACCAGGGGCTTTCACCACGGAAATGAATCGTCTCCCAGTTCTGGAGGTCAGAAATCCGAGGTCAAGGTGTCAGCAGGGATGGTTCCCTCCTGGGTCTGCAAGGGAGAGCGTTTCCCAGGTGCAGCTCCTGGGATGACTGGCTGCCCTTCCCAGCTACGTGTGCTGGACGCAGCCTGTGAGGCAGCAGCACTGCTCCCATGGCCTCAGCCCCAGAGCTGGGGTTCAGAAAGGCCGAGTCTTCCAGAAGGTTGCACAGCGTTTTGGGGTCCAAGCAGGTTTCCATCACGAGGCCAGCACCTGAAACGCAGAGCTCCATGATTGGGTGCTGTGCCAAGATGTGTTTGTCAAACCTGACACATCTTTTTAAGAGGTTACAGAACTCTGCTCCCAATGGCTCTGATGCTCTCACGGAGACGCTGGGACCCAAACTGAGAGAGTAGGAGAGAGAGGTTGCCAAGGAAACCTGCCCAGAGATGCAGCTGGCAACATTAGTGCCCATCACTTTCACAAGCCTGTGGTGTGGAAGTCAGGCAACCACAGGGCACATGCACCTGCTGGGGGTGTGCACACATGAACATATATGTATGCGTGTGAGCAGGTGTACACGTCTGTGTGTGAGCAGGTGTGGACATGTATATGTGTGTGTGAGCAGGTATGCACGTGCCTGTGTGTGTGAGCAGGTATGCATATATGTGAGCAAATGTGCACATGAGTATGTGTGCATGGCAACAGGTGTGCACATGTGTATGCATGTGGGCAGGTTGCACTTGTGTCTGAGTGTGAGCAAGTGTGCACATGTGTATGTGTGCATGTGAACAGATGTGCACGTGTGTGAGAGCAGGTGTGCATATGTGTGTGAGAGCAGGTGTGCATGTGTCTGTGTGTGAGCAGTTGTGCGTGTGTGTGAGCAGTTGTGCACATGTGTATGTATGTGTGGGCAGGTGTGCACATGTGTCTGTGTGTGAGCAGGTGTGCACATGTCTGTGTGCATGTGAGCAGATGTGCATGAGTGTGGGGGCAGGCGTGCACATGTGTATGTGTGTAAGCAGATGCGCATGTGTGTTTGTGTGAGCAGGTGTGCACGTGTGTGGGGGCAGGTGTACACATGTGTACGTATGTGAAGGCAGGTGTGCACGTGTGTCTGAGTGTGAGCAGGTGTGCATGTGAATGTGGGCAGGTGTGCATATGTGTGGGCAGGTGTGCACATGTGCATGTATGTGTGGGCAGGTGTGCACATGTGTATGTGAAGGCAGGTGTGCACGTGTGTCTGAGTGTAAGCAGGTGTACATGTGTGTGGGCAGGTGTGCACATGTGTATGTATGTGTGGGCAGGTGTGCACATATGTATGTATGTGAAGGCAGGTGTGGACGTGTGTCAGTGTGAGCAGGTGTGCACGTCTGTGTGCATGTGAGTAGGTGTGCACATGTTTAGGCAGGTGTGCACATGTGTATGTGTGTAAGCAGGTGTGCATATCTGTGAGCAGGTGTACACATGTGTATGTATGTGAAGGCAGGTGTTCACGTGTGTCTGAGTGTGAGCAGTTGTGCATGTGTGTGGGCAGGTGTGCCTGTGTCTGTGTGAGCAGGTGTGCACATATGTGTGTATGTGAAGGCAGGTGTGGACGTGTGTTTGAGTGTGAGCAGGTGTGCACGTCTGTGTGCATGTGAGTAGGTGTGCACGTTTAGGCAGGTGTGCACATGTGTATGTGTGTAAGCAGGTGTGCATATGTCTGTGAGCAGGTGTGCATGTGTGTGGGGGCAGGTGTGCACATGTGTATGTGTGTGCAGGTGTGCACATGTGTATGTGTGTGGGCAGGTGTGCACATGTGTATGTATGCATGTGGGCAGGTGTGCACATATTTGTGTGGGCAGGTGTGCACATGTGTATGTGTGTAAGCAGGTGTGCACATGTGTCTGTGTGAGCAGGTGTGCACTGTGTGTGGGCAGGTGTGCACATTTGTCTGTGTGTGTGGGTCAGGTGTGCACATGTGTCTGTGTGTGTGGGCCAGGTGTGCATATGTGTCTGTATGCATCTGTGTGTGGGGGGGGCATTGCTCTCCCAGATACAGTGTTAGTGGGAGTCCCAGGCAGTCCCAGGCCCACAGAGCTTCCTCCCCTCTCCACAGGCTGGGGAGGCAGGAAGATTAATTTGAGCTATGCGGCTGGAAGGGCCCAGCCTGAGGACAGGGACCTTTTCAGAGGCGGGAGGCCGCCGGCGGTGGTGACTCCAAGCCCCGCCCCTTCCCTAGTTTGTGTCCACTCAGCGTCCTGCCCTGGTCACCAGCACCAGCAAGGCTTCCCAGACACGGCAGTTGACATTCCTTACTTTTTTTTAGCCCAGGGCTAGGTATGCTGCAGGTGGTCCATAAATGCTGCCCTGGATGCTTTTTGCAGGAGAAATCACAGGAAGGGGAGGGACACCCCACCCAGCCTCATGCCCGCAGGTGAAGGATCGGGCAGAACAAGAACAGGAGGTGGGCCTGGAGCTAAGGGGGTCCTTTTTATGTCAAGCGTCCCTTTATATGTCTCTGAGTGCCATGACACACTGCTTGGCAATGAATGGCTCGTTTAAATTCGCATTTGCCAGCCTAGTTCCCCTCCTGCACCTCTGCCCATGCATTGCTTTGCACTTGCTTTTTGTGGGGGCTTTGCTCCCTGGGCCAGGCAGGGAGTGAGGGTGGGGACCGGGCTGTCTCTCACAGCCTCCCAGGGCTGAGGCTATGGGACTTCTACGTTTTGTTTTTGAGATGGAGTCTCCCTCTGTCGCCCAGGCTGGAGTGCAGTGGTGCGATCTCAGCTCACTGCAAACTGTGCCTCCCGGGTTCAAGCAATTCTCATACCTCAGCTTCTTGAGTAGCTGGGATTACAGGCATGCACCACCATGCCCAGCTAATTTTTGTATTTTTGGTAGAGACGGAGTTTCACAATGTTGGCCAGGCTGGTCTCAAACTCCTGACCTCAAGTGATTTGCCTGCCTCGGCCTCCCATAGTGCTGGGATTCCAGGCGTGAGCCACCGCTTCTACTTTCTAGTTTGTCTCCCTCTGAGTGACTCTCCATGAATCAGGGACCTGGCGTGAAGGAGCCACAGAATCTCCAGTGGGCAATTGTGGGGCTGATGAAGGATGTTTTGGGGTGAGAGGGGTGGTTAGGGAAACCAGCAGGGGCTGGGAAAGCCCGTTTACCTGGAGCTTACCTGGGAGCACCTGGAGGAGCAGCCTCACCTGGACATTGTCCAGAAAATTACCCTTCCCTGCCTTGGGCCTGGAGGGGCAAGGGCAGAGGCGCTTCCCGCACCTGGTGGGCACTGATTTCCAGGAGCTGCTGGACCTCTGGGGTGACCCAGGTGGCCCTCCCACAGCCCAGCGGTCAGGGAGCAGGGGCCTCATGTGCCCAGACCCACCTCATTGAGGGCAGGAAGCCTGAGGGATTCTGTGCGCAGGGGAAGCCTGGGTCCAGGGCTGAGGCTTGTGCATTCGTCCACTCTGTCCTTGAGGGCTGTGCGTGCCTGACAGCAAGGAGCTTGGTCCATATATACTCTTTCTTTGTTTTTCTGACGCCGTGGACCCTCCTCTGTGTGCAAGGGAGGCCCTGGGCCCGGCTGCTGGAGCACTGACCACCCGCATGGCTGGTGCTCTGAGAGGCCGGATTTAGGCCCAGGCCTGAAACTCCCAGCCAGGCTGCCTCCCAGGCCAAGGACTGTGAAATGTGTTCTGAAGACAGCAGGCTCCCAGGGTTTTGAGCCTGGGGGTGACTCTGGCGTTTGAAAGACCCCTCTGGC
Source organism: Homo sapiens (assembly GCF_000001405.40). Lineage (NCBI taxonomy): Eukaryota > Metazoa > Chordata > Mammalia > Primates > Hominidae > Homo > Homo sapiens. Next base: position 3,601,678 of record NC_000004.12, read on the forward strand.
TGCTGTTGGGGGAATGGTCTGCAGGGCAGGAAGGAGGCCGCTCCCAGCCCAGAGAACCACACCTAGGCAATGGTCAGAAAGTCTTTACGTGTAGGGCAGATGGTGCGCTGTGGGATCCCCTGCATCCAGCGCTGGCCCAGGCGCCTTGGCAGGGGACCGGCTGCACCTGCTTCTCTCTTCTCTCTCCCCCTCCCACTTCCCCATCAGGAACTGGGTCCTGCTGGCTCAGGGTAGACTGCCATGGCGACAACCACCTCTGCAGCGCTGAGTTCCTGGAAGCCTCACTTTGTCTTTGCTTTATCACGGGGGAGATGAGGAGAGAACTGAGACCCAGACAGGAGCTGCTCCTGCCCTTGGCCTCATGTCCATATGCCACAGCTGTCTCTGATTGGTTGCCCTGGGGAGTGGGCCCTACCCCAGGCCTCAGCAAGTCCCTGTGGGGGTCACTGGGCAATTGTGGGCCAGAGCAGTGTGGGCAGAGCTGTGGGTGGCTGCACTTGGTCCCACTGCCTTTTCAGTGCAGCCATTGCTGTCTCTGTGGCATATTCGAGCTAGGGTGGGTCTCTGAGCTCCCGCCTCAGCTTTCTGCCTTGGGGGCCCTGCCTGGGGACTTTTCGTCATTCAGTACATCTCCCTGTTGGCCTTCCAGAGCCACCCACCTCCTCTTCATCCTTGATCTGTAGCAAAGTGGATGTGAATGTCCCTGAAAGACTCAGACCCTCCCCGTCTGGAGACCCTGCCTGAATGCAGACTGTCATCATCTCTTCTCATCCATCTTCCTTTCTGGCCTGGGAGTAGCCAGAACCTTCCAGGGGCTTATCTGATCCTTGTTGGCCTCTCCAGGCCCTGGCGTGGGATGGTGTCAAGGAAGACAGGTGACGATTGATCATGAAAGCAATGAACAAATGGGTAGTGAGACTGCTGCTGGGTCCTTGTGAGAACCCTGCCTGGCCAGACCCACTAGGACTGTCCCATTCAACAGCGTAGGAGACTGAGTCTCCAGGTGGGGGATAAGGTTACCGTCTCAGGGGGGCGGCTCCTTGCAGTGTCCTGTCTGGTCCTCGTTCGTCTGCATAACTCTTATCATCCTTCAGGGCTCGGTTTAGGAGCTGCCTCTCCCGAGAGGCCTTCCTGGGCTCTTCTTTGTGTCCCTATTCCCCTTTCCTTACTTGGCCTCAGCCCTCCACTCCCCTTGCCTCCCCCTCTGTCCTGTGAGCTTCCCAAGGGCAGAGCTGGCTTTAGGGAGGCGCTGCCCAGAGGGACTTGCAGAGAGGATTGCTGTTCGTCTTCCAGATGGCCCAGGCAGCTCTCACGCTCTTGGTTCCACCCACAGAGGCCCTTGTTCCAGGGGTAGAGGGTCCTCCTGGGCCCTCCCCTGCACCTTTGGTTTGTCCCCAAGAGGACAGGCCATGCCTCCTTTACCTCTGGTGGCAGCGCCCCCAATCCTGAGCCCCTCCACTCTCTCCGGGAACCCGGGTGCCTGGGGGTCCTTTACAGAGCTTCCGGGTGTCTGATAAGGGCTGCCACAGACATACTGGCCAAGAGGAGAAACCAGCCTGGTTTTTTATTTTTGCACCTTCTTAAAAAGAAAACAACAGCATCAATATGTTAAAAATAAACTATTTTTACTTTAAAAGGGCAAAAACAGCCCAAACAAAGAGCCAATGAAAAGATCTTGGCTGGAGGTCCCGGCATTTACTCATAGCTGCCCAAGGGTGGAAATGATTCAGACAGGGACCCATGGAGCAGGGCGCCAGCAAAGTACCAGCCCTACTGTGTGCCAGGGAATGGAGAGAACACCCCTGAGAAGCACATGGTGCCTGCACAGAGTGTGCTGAATGAACCAACAACAGGGCACGTGTCTTTAGAGTAGCTTCTGCCAGAGAGGAGGCATGTACACCAGTAGCTTGTGGGGCTGGGAAGTCAGGGAAGGCTTCCAGGAGGAGGTGGCGGGTCTGTGCTGAACTTTGAAAGGCATTCCAAGCAGAGGGAATGCTGTGGAGGAGCCAGTGTGGTGTGTATGGGGTACCTGTGCTGGCAGAAGGGTTCAGAGCAGCGCTCACAGGCCAGGGAGCCCCAAGTTCAAATCCTGCCCCACACCTGGAGGAGCTGGGACCTCTGGCAACCTGCTCACCTCTCTGGGCCTATGTGCGTGTGTGCAAAGCCCCAGGCAGGGAGACCCAGCGGCTTCAGGGCTGTGTGTGTGGAGCATAGAGTGAGGGTGCTGCTGCCGCCGTACCAGCCCTGTCCGGTCAGCACCTTCCAGTGGGTTGTGCTTCCCCATTTGGCCAGACTATCTGTTATCTCACTGGGCCCCAAACACCCCTGGGAAGTAAGTGGGACTTTCAGAAGTGGGAAACAGCTGCTCAGAGAGGTTGAGTTACTGGCCCTGGGGCACACAGCCCAAAGAACAAGGAAATTAACCCTGAGTCGTTCTGTCTCGGCCACTTTGGTCTCTGATGTCTCTAGTCAGGGGAGCGGGGACCCCAGGGTGGGAGGGGGCATGAGGAGGCCCTGTGCATTGAGGGGCCGAGGGTCTTGGGCCAGGGTCAACATTCTTCTAAGTTGTTGTGGATTAGCAGGCCTCTTGGGGGCAGTTGCACTGGCTGAACTGGAAGGGAGTTTGAATTCATTCATTCATTCATTCATTTACCCATTCATTCATTCATTCATTCACTCATCCTCCTGGCTCCTTACTCTGCCCACACTGTGCTGGGCACCAAGGGCATGGGGGGCAGTGGCCTTTGGGCTCTGCTTCAGGAGCTGCTGCTCTGCGGGTGGGGGCTCACGAGCTGGGGTTCGCCAGGCCTCTGGGACCAGCATTCTCAGCTCACCAGCCTCCCGCTAAGAAGGCCCTGGCACCTGTAAAATCCAGTTTCCAGGTTCCACTTGGAGACCTGGACTCAGGAAGTCAGAATGAGGTGAGGGACCTGCATTTATCACCTCCCTGCTGGTTCTGAGGCAGAGCCCATTGGCCACACCGGGCTGGCCTTTGTGGGACCTGGACTGGTCTGAGCCCAGGACCAGGCTACTCCTGTTAGAAGCCTCTCGTGGGACCGCCCACTGCCCCACCTCCCTTCCAGGTCCCTAGGACTCCTGCAGAGGGAGGGGCTCGGGAGGGGCTTGCCAGGATGTCTGAGGACCAGAGGTGGGGCAGCGGGGGGCCTCCAGTGGGACTGTGGGAGCTGTGTGGGGACGAGGACCGGGGCCTATAGGTGGTCAGAGAGCCAGTGGGTTAAGGGTGAGCTGAGCTGCCCGAGGCCATGGACCAGGGAGAGGCAGGCAGGGCATGCCTGGAGCCCTCGTCACTCCCTAGGCTGGCCTCCTTGGGCACGTGGGTCGGGGCACTTCAAGCTTCGCAGGGAAGGCTCCTGGGGCTGGCCTGATCATCCCACAGGGTCTCGGGCCCAGGACCTCACTAGTGAAGTGGCAGGTTCTGGGCCTCCTTAGGGAATGTCCATAGGGAATGTGTATGTGTCCCGTTTCCTCGGTAAGGGATTGGAGGGGCAGGGAGCAGGGGCTCTTGGCTTCCCACCTGTGGTGGGCTCATAGCCCCCTTTGTAGGAGACCGTTGGCCTCTCTGAGCTTTAGTTAACTGTGTGGGAACCATGGAGACCTCACCGGTTGTTACGAGGCTCGAGTGAGTCAAAGATGGTGAGGCCAGGTGTGGCCTTGGCGCTCAGTAACTGCTCCAGATGGGCTGGCTGTCACCATTACCCCAAGCCTGTGCAGCCAGGAGTGATGAGCCCGGCAGGACCCCAGCTCCGATGTCTGCAGTCTCCCTGGGCTGTCCTTTGGGGCGCGGGGCTCCCTCTGCTTTAGGCTTCCGGCTTGTCTGGTGTCTGGGACCCCTCAGTGACCACATCTCCAGCCCCTTTCAGCCACCCCCTCCCCCGTGGGCTGAGGCAAGGACAGCTAACCCTCTCTCTTTCCCAGTCCGTCTTGGCTCGAGACCTTGGCTCCACGTCCCCCTGCCTGAGGTCTGGCCTGACCAGCCCCTGCCCGCCTCCGTATGTCCGAGGGCCTGCCAGGCACAGCCAGCTCCTGCCGTAGTCTGTCTGCCGGCCCCTTGAGCTCAGCGGTCTCTGATGCTGGCCGGAATGGCAGGAGGCTGCGTGCCATCGCTGTAACCACTGTCAGGTGACTCCTCTTTTCTCAGGCAGGGACACAGAGCAGGATGTGGGGCCAGGCAGGAAACCACAGGGTCTCTGTGTCCCTCAGACACCTGGGACTGGAATGGACACTGTGGCCCTACAGGGTAGAGAGGGTTGCCATCCCACCGAGCAGGGGAGTGCCCTTGGACTCTGCCCAGCAGAGAGGTCTCCTCAGAGCTCAGACATCCTTGGGCCTCCCTCCTTGTCCCTGTCTGTGTCCATGAGCACCAGCCTGAGATGTCCCCATGGTGGGACAACAATGATGCATTTCAGCACTTTTAGCTTGGCCCCAGGGAGTAGGTAGGGCTAGGCTAGATTTGTCAAATGGATGAGTGAGTGAATGAGTGAGTGAAAGAGTGAATGAGTGAGTGAGTGAATGACTGAATGAGTGAGTGAGTGAATGGGTGAATGAAAAAATGAGCAGGTGAGTGAGTGAGTGAGCAAGTGAATAAGTGAACAAGTGAATGAGTGAGTGAGTGAATGAGTGATTGAGCGAATGAATGAGTGAGTGAGCAAATGAATGAATGAGTGAATGAGTGAGTGAGCAAATGAATGAGTGAATGAGTGAGTGAGTGAATGAGTGAGTGAATGAATGAATGAGTGAATGGATGAGTGAGTGAATGAGTGAGTGAGTGAATGGGTGAATGAACAAATGAGCGGGTGAGTGAGTGAGCAAGTGAATAAGTGAACAAGTGAATGAGTGAGCGAGTGAATGAATGAGTGAATGAGTGAGTGAGTGAATGAGTGAGTGAATGAATGAATGAGCAAATGAATGAGTGAATGAGTGAATGAGTGAGTGAATGAGTGAATGAGTGAATGAGTGAGCAAATGAATGAGTGAGTGAATGAGTGAGTGAGTGAGTGAATGAGTGAGTAAATGAGTGAGTGAGTGAGTGAATGAATGAATGAGTGAGTGAGTGAATGAGTGAGTGAGTGAATGAGTTAGTAGGTGAGTGAATGAGTGAGGGAATGAAGAAATGAATTAGTGAGTTCAGAGCCCATAGACCCTGGAGGACGAAGGTGCATTAGGCCCCTCCAGTTCAGCGAGTTCCTGGGAGGTCTCTGGATGCTGTGGGGTGCTAAGTTGTCACCTCATGATCCACGCAGATGGGGCCTCACTGGCCTGGGGCCAGGCTCAGGGAGGAGGAGGATGCATCCCTGTTCCTGGGGACCAAGCCACAGTGGGGTGGGGCACGTGGGTGAATGCAGAGTCGCCTGCCTGGGTTTGCTTTCCATCTCTGCCCTTGCCTGCTGCTTGGCCCTGGGCCTTCTACTTCACCTCTCTGCTTCTGCTTATTTATCTGCAAAATGGGCCTAGTGGGGGAGCTGTGAGGATTGCATAACTGTGGTGCATGAATGTGTATGTAGGGTGGGGCCTGCACATGGGAAGCCCGATTAGGTATCAGTATCACTGGGCCAGGCACTCTGTGGGCTGCTCCCAGAAGCCCATCCTACGGAATTCACACACCCGGCATGCCCACCCTGCAGCCTGGCAGCCCTGTCTTCTCCCAAGCACATCTTCCACGGCCCTCACCCCACGCAGCTGCCCTGCCCCTCAGGCTCTTCCTCAGCCTGCTGGAAGCTGGTGCCTCAGGGCCTTTGCACTTGCTGCCTGGAACAGGATTCCCTGTGTCCACGTGGCTCCCTCCCCGGCCCCCGTGTCTCTCCCTAAGCAACCCCAGCGAGGTCTCCCCTGCAGGTGACCCCCCTGTTTTATGGGTTTTGTCTCTCGTGCACTCTTGCTCCCTGTGGCTTTCCTGGCATGGATCGGGCACTCAGAGTGCATGTGGAAAGAAGGAATGGTCTACAAGGAGCAGTGCAAAATGCGCTACGCACAGGCGTGTGCAGCCATGAACCCAGGACAGGGCTGAGGCCTCACATTGAGTGTCCAGGGGAGAGGAAGGATGTGTCCAGAGCCTGGGCGGAGGGCAGGGCCAGGCCCGGCCCGGGACAGAGGAGACGGTCTATGCTAGCTGCGTAGGGGTCCCGGCTTTGTCCCGAGGGCAATGGGAAACCACAGAGGCTACAGGCAGAGCCATGCTGTACAAACCCTCCCTGGAGAAGGTTAATGACAGGTGGGGGAAGAGGAGGGCCAGGCTGGGGGCAGGCCCAGGGCAGAGCTGGCGGCCAAGGTTGTGCACAGATGGTGAGACACTCACAAGCAGGGAGACTGTGCCAGGGGCCATCTGACCTTGCTGGACACAGAAGAGTGAAGAGGCCTCCTCCCTCTGAGCAGAGCCCAGGGCCCGCCCTCGCCCCGGACACTGTCTGCCGAGGGCACGCACCCTTCCTCCCTCTCCACTGAGGTGGGGGCACTGCTTTCTGACCTGGCAGGCAGCCCTGGGCAGAGGGAGCTGAGCTCTGTCCTGCCTCCGACTGTGTGTGCGTGAGAGATGGGGGCCTGGGGGGTGAGCAGGGCTGTCCTTCGTCTAGGCAGCCTGCAGGGGTGGTACGCCCACCGGCCAGGTGGTGCTGCTCAGTGTGCACTGTGGCCATGGCAGGGGAGGGCTTATTAACATGCAGCTGTCAGGTCTGGATATAGCTTGGCCAGGGGCCAGGCTGAGCTTGAAGGAGTGATAGTTTGCAGTGGTGGGGCTCATTTTAGGGGGCTCCATGACAGCGGGGATAGAACTTATTTGTCTCTGTACTCTCAGCATCTAGCACGATGCTTGGAACAGAGTGGAGGAGAGTAGACTTTCTGTAGAATGGATCAGCAGTGGTGTCCCACAGCCCCACCCAGGGTTCGAGTCAGCGTGGCACGCATTCAAGGAGAGTCTCGAGGGTTCCATGATGAATGCACTGCTGTCTGCAAGATGAGAGGTGGCTGGTAGGGCAGGGAGGGCTTCCTGGAGGCACTGGGGCAGGGAGGGATCATGGGGTGGTCACTCTCTCAGGGCAGAGTTAGCTCCAGGGCTGTGGCCTGTAGGCGCCAACCCTGGGGAGCTGCTGGTCCTCTCCTCTGCAGAGCGCTGCCCTGTCCTGCCCCTGGAACCCCTGGGTAGAGTTCTGTGACCCAGCACACCTGGACGGTTCAGGCTGGCCCCTGACTGTGCAGAGAGAGCAGAGGCCCCAGGCCACCGTGGAGGTGCTTGAGCCTATGGTCCAAGGTAGAACCACGTGAGGAGGGCTTTGATGCATGAGGAGTCAGAGCCAGGCCGAAGCATCTGGGGTCAGTGACACAGGCTCCGGAGAGCTGGCTGTGCTTCTGTGTCTCCTCCCAATGCTGCTTTCAGTGCCTTGGGGGCTCCAAGTCAGCCACGGTTGGGTTTACACCATGGATATCAGCAAATGCTAAAGTCAGGGCTCTCCCAAGCCCCGATGCAGAGCCAGTTGTTAAATCTTTACCAGCACGGCACTGACAGGGAAGAGGGAGAGCTCAAAACAGAGAAAGGTCCCAGGCCGAAGGTGTGGACAGGACGCCCAGCACATGCAGGCACATATAGACACGCTTACATGCAGACACAGATACATCCAACACGCGAAAACACAGAGACTTCAGACAGGCAGACAGACACATGCACTCACCCACACGCCACAGGCACAGCTATGCCCCAACACACAGACACATGCACACATACATTCACCCATGAGAGCACACTCAAACAGGTTTGCATACAGTTAGAAACACACACTGGAACTCTCAGACACACAACTCCATGTGTACACACAGCCACACACAGATGCACACACACAGGGAGGTGAGGCTCAAGGCTGTGCAGCCTTGTCTTGCTGCCGTCTTTCCCCTGGCTTGGGCTTGTAGAGGGTGTGTTTCTGACAGCTGCCCAGCCCTACCCTGGGGGCTGCTTGATCTGGCCTCTGTTCATTGGCCACACTCTGCTAGGATATGGCCCCAGTTTGGGCCATTGATTGACTCATTGTCCCTTCACTTATCACACACTTTTCATTTATGACCCAAATATTTGCTCACTCATTCATCCACCCACCTGAACATCCATCCACCCATCCATCCACCTATGTACCATTGATCCACCCATCATCCATGATATAATCATCCATCCATCCATCCACCCATCCATCATCCATCCATGCATACATGCATCCATCCATCCTCCATCCACTCATCCATCATCCACCCACCCATCCACCCATCCACTCATCCATTATACACCCACCCATTCACCCATCCACTCATCCATCATCCACCCACCCATCCACCCATCCACTCATCCATTATACACCCACCCATCCACCCATCCACTCATCCATCATCCACCCACCCATCCACCTATCCACTCATCCATTATCCATCATCCGTGATATATCCACCATCCACCCATCCATCCACTCACTTGAACATCCATCCACCCATCCATCATCCATCCATCTATTATCCATCCACCCATTCAACCACCCATCCATCCATCATCCACCCACCTTAATGTCCACCCATGCGTCCATCCATCTACCCATCCACCCACCCATCCATCATCCATTCACCCATTCATCATCTATCCGCCCATCCACTCATCCATCCATCTATCCATCATCCACTCATCCATCCATCATCCATCATCCACTCATCCATCCATCTATCCATCATCCACTCATCCATCATCCATCATCCACTCATCCATCCATCTATCCATCATCCACTCATCCATCCATCATCCATCATCCACTCATCCATCCATCTATCCATCATCCACTCATCCATCCATCATCCATCATCCACTCATCCATCCATCTATCCATCATCCACTCATCCATCCATCATCCATCATCCACTCATCCATCCATCTATCCATCATCCACTCATCCATCCATCATCCATCATCCACTCACCCATCCATCTATCCATCATCCACTCATCCATCCATCTATCCATCATCCACTCATCCATCCATCTATCCATCATCCACTCATCCATCCATCATCCATCATCCACTCATCCATCCATCTATCCATCATCCACTCATCCATCCATCATCCATCATCCACTCATCCATCCATCTATCCATCATCCACTCATCCATCCATCATCCATCATCCACTCATCCATCCATCTATCCATCATCCACTCATCCATCCATCTATCCATCATCCACTCATCCATCCATCTATCCATCATCCACTCATCCATCCATCATCCATGTTACACCCATGCAACCACCTATCATCCACCCATACATCCACCCACCTTAACCTCCATCGACACATGCATCCATCCATCTACCCATCCACCCACCCATCCATCATCCATCCACCCATCCATTATCCATTCACCCATCCATTATCTACCCATCGTCTGTCACCCATCCATTCATCTGTCTAAACAGGTATTTCCTCCCCCCTCACTTGCCCTTGTCAAACCATCAATCTTTCTGGGGCCATGCTGCGTGTCTCGGGAAGACTGTGCTCACCTCAGGCTTTGTGTTGTGTGGTTTGTGTGAGTGGTTTGTAAGTGTGTTGTGTGTGTGTGGTGTGTTGTGTATGCATGTTCATGGGCAGAGGCCTCCAGGAGCACCCACACACGGGCAGGGATGTTTGCCCTCCCTTCACACTGTCCGCCACTCCCCTCTCTCACTCAGCCCCTGCTCTCTGTAGGAGCGGGATTTCTCCTCCGTCCAGGTGGGGGTGGTTTCTGACACCTTGGCCTGGCCTCCTGCTCTCACCATCTGTGCCCAGGGGCAGGTCCTTGTCCTGGAGCCCCCACACAATGAGGGCCCCTGAATGAGGGTGGGGGGTCAGCAGGGTGCCCCGTTTCCTGACCCTGCTGCCTGGGGAGGCTCCCAGCTGAGCAGGAGCTGAGAGAGGCCCTTCGCACTTGCTGGCCTGGCTGTTAGCTCAGAGCCCAGCCTGGAGCTGCACATGGGCTCTGCTGTGTACCGGGGGTGGTGGGGCAGGGTGGTTGGCACCCTTGCCTCCAGCAGCACCCAGGCTGCAAGTTCCCCAGGTTGTGAAGACCAAAGAGAGAAGAAAAGCAGGGACTTCCTTTATTTTTTGGGGGAGGTTTCTCATGGGAGCGGCCTTGGGCACCAGCCTAAGGGGCTGAGAGACAGGCTAGCGTGTGGAGCGCGGAGAGCAAGGCTGGGCAGAGAGGCATCTTCTCAGGGTGCCTCGCCCTGGGGGCCCAGCGGCAGGTTACAGAAGGGAAGGGTCCTCGTCACTCCTCGCGGAGTCGAGGGTTGCGTGGTCTGGGAAGGCCGGGGGCGAGGACTGTGTCTTCCTGACCTCCTGGAGTGTGGAGACAGAGCTGAGGATGCCTGTGGGTTCTGCTCAGGGACTGGGGCCCACATGTGGGAGACAGCCTCACAGACCCAAGACCTTGAGAGCAGACCCTGCTCCCCAAGCCCACTCTGCATGTGGGGTGTCCCCAGGGTCCCACGGAGCTCTGGAGTCATGGAGTCACCTTGCCTTAATTAGCTCTTGGTGCTGTTTGAGTTTACTTAAAGGGTGTAGGGCAGGAGGAGGCAGTGACTGTGGGGGTTTGAGAGGATTTTGGAGGACAGATCTAGGGGTGGGGGTCCCTGAGGGGTTCAGGGCGGGCATCCCTGTGTGTATGATGGACCGAGGGCAGGGAGTGCAATGCCACTGTCCCAGGCCACTGGGCAGGAGGACTCTGCCTCCCCTCTGGGATTGTTCATTTCAGAGACCCTGGCCTCCTGGCAGTGAAGCTGCAGGTCTCAGTGCATCAGAGATTTCGGGTTTCTCTCCCTGCCCACCTGGGAGAGGTGTGGGCAGACCCCGGAGGCTTAGCCAGTGGGGAGGAGGGGTGGGCCTATCTGCAGGTTGCCACAGCAACAGCTACTTCTTTCCCACAAGGCTCCAGGCTGGGAGACAGCAGAGGGCCTCTGTGGTGACCCTCCAGGCCCCAAGACCTGATCCCAGGCAGGGGAACAGGCTCTAGGTTCTGGGGAGGGGCTGGTCCAGTGGAGGGTGGGGAGGGAACTTCAGGCAGGCTCCCCATAGCTCAGTCCAGAGGTCCGAGAGATCTGGGGGAGAAGGATGGGATGGAGGGTCTATTCTAGGGGTGTAAATGCCCCAATCCCTGAGGAAAGGGGTGCTCTGATGGAGAACAACACACATGCCACACACTCATGCAGACATCATACAGCACATGCAGCATACATGCAAACACACCACACACACTATGCACACCACACATGGCACATGCATCAGACATGCAACACACCACACACATGACAGGACACACACAGCACACACACCATACAAGCAACACACCACACACATCACATACACCACACACAGCACATGTTTCATACATGCACCACAACACACACAGAACACACACCACACACGGCATATGCCACACACCCAGCACATACATCATACATTCAACACACCACACACATCATATGCCACACACAGCACATGCATCATGCATGCAAACACACCACACACAGCACACATGGCACATACATCAGACATGCAAACACAACACACAGCACACATGGAACATGCATCAGACATGCAAACACAACACACACAGCACACATGGAACATGCATCAGACATGCAAACACACCACACATACCACACATGGCATATGCATCAGACATGCAAACACACCACACACAGCACACATGGCACATGCATCAGACATGCAAACACACCACACACAGCACACATGGCACATGCATCAGACATGCAAACACACCACACACAGCACACATGGCACATGCATCAGACATGCAAACACACCACACACAGCACACATGGCACATGCATCAGACATGCAAACACACCACACACAGCACACATGGCACATGCATCAGACATGCAAACACACCACACACAGCACACACGGCACATGCATCAGACATGCAAACACACCACACACAGCACACACGGCACATGCATCAGACATGCAAACACACCACACACAGCACACACGGCACATGCATCAGACATGCAAACACACCACACACAGCACACACGGCACATGCATCAGACATGCAAACACACCACACACAGCACACACGGCACATGCATCAGACATGCAAACACACCACACACAGCACACACGGCACATACATCAGACATGCAAACACACCACACACAGCACACACGGCACACACGCATACTGCTGTAAACACACACACACACACACACACACACACACACACACACACACTACACAACACAGAACGGAGTCTCAGCCACACGGGCCAGAGTCTGGGTTGGAGGAGGGCTCCCCTACCCAGTGACTCTGCCCCTGGGCTCTGCCCCTCCCATCCTCAGCTTCTCCAGCCAGTCACCAGGAACTTATCCTGAACCACCGGCTGGCAGACAGCCAGGGTCCAGGCCTAAGGTTCTGCCTCCTAAACTCTTCTTTCTGTGGCCTTTTGCCCTCTCTCCCGCCCCCGGATCGAGGCCTCTGCCATCTCTCTCCTGGACGATGAACTACAGTGGCCTCCGACAGGTTTCTCGGCCTCCCACCTCCCTGCAGCCCAGCTCCCTGTCACTTGCTGATGGCCCCTGCTGCCCTGGGATGCAGTCCAACTTCTCAGGCCGGTGTGGCAGATGGCATAATTGGCCACAATTTTTCACTCTGCCCTGCATCCAGGCCCTCTGCCAGGAGACCGTTCCTCCCTCAGAAGGAGGAATGCGTGTCCTGGCCCTGAACTGGGCTCACCCCGGGGCACGTGGGCGGAGGAGAGAGTGTGCAGGCCCGGGGCCTGGGCCTACAGAGGTGGAGGGTTTTCTACTCTCCCCAGCACCTTCGCCATTGCTGAGGGAAGCAGCTCGTCCCCACCAGCCCCCAGTCCACGAAGGAGAAGCAACAAGGGGACACCCCAGACCCAACGGCTCCAGCCAGCCAGCCTCCCGGCGCAGCCCAGATAAATTACTGCATTGCGCGCCGTCGAGATTTCACAGGTGCTTGTTGGCTGCAGGGGCTGACTGCTATGGGGCCCTGCACCCAGCTCCAGCCTCCTGGGCAGCCTGCACGTCACAGACTGCTGTCTGCCCAAGTGCCCACTGCGGCCTCCACTTGTCCAGAAATGTTCAGTGAATACCTCCTCACTCCACATCTCCCTGCCCCCCGGGAGGTGGGGTCAGAACTCAACGGTCAGGAAGATTGAACCAAGCCCTCATGTCGCTCCAGTTCCTCAGGCTTTGGGGAGGTGCTGGGCTCGGCGTCCTTTGAAGAGTCTTGTATTAGTCCGTTTTCACACTGCTGATAATGACATACCCAAGACTGGGTAATTTATGAAGAGAAAGAGGTTTAAGGGACAGACAGTTCCACGTGGCTGGGGAGGCCTCACAATCCTGGTGAAAGGCGAAAGGCACGTCTTACGTGGCAGCAGACAAAACAGAATGAGAGTCAAGCGAGAGGAGTTTCCGCTTTTAAAACCATCAGATCTCAGGACTTACTCACTACCATGAGAACGCTATGGGCAAACCGCCCCCACGATTCAATTATCTCCCACTGGGTCCCTCCCACAACACATGGGAATTATGGGAGCTGCAATTCAAGATGAGATTTGTGTGGGGACACAGCCAAACCATTTCCACTCTCATTCTCCCCTCTCCTGACTTGGTCTCCCTGACTCTTTTTCTTTTTATGCCACCCAGGTCCTTCCTGCTGTTGAACGCGTCATTTCATGCAGGCTTCGTGGACTGGGCTCACCTTTAGGCAGTGTTTTCAGGTGGGCGGTGGGAAGGCCGCACGCCCTCCGCCTGTCCGGAGTGTCTCGCTATTGCTGTCTCGGCTGGCGCGTGGGTACTGGCGCGTAACCCGGCACCACAGACTGGCAGCTTCAACAGCAGAAACGTACTTTCCCCCAGCTCTGGAGGCTGGAAGTCTGAGATCAGGGGTTGTCAGGGTTGGTTTCTGTCTCCCTGGCTCGCACGCGCCGTCTTCTCCACGTGTCCTCACAGGGCTGCCCCTCTGTGCGTATCTGTGTCTTCATCTCCTCTTCCTATAAGGACACGTGTCAGATGGGATTAGGGTCACCCATGTGACCTCACTTCGTATTAATCTCCCCTATCGAGTCCCTGTCTCCAAACACGGTCACATTCTGAAGTCCTGGGACTCAGGGCTTTGACAGATGGATTGGAGGCGGACAGAATTGCCCCAGACGGCTGAGCACAAAGTTCCTGGGTCACCGTGAACGCTGGAGATGGGGAGAGGTGGCAGGGGGGATTAGTGTGATGGCCCTCCAGGACCCCAAGCCCCATGGTGGGTGGACCTCAGGCACGGGGTCCCTTTAGGGGCAGGGGGCCTAAGGCGGCATTGAGTGGTGGGTTTCACCCCATTTCCCCAGCCTAGCTTGCCTGTCCACCTGCGGGAGTGGCGGCGGTGTGAGCTGTGGTCTCTGTTGATTGCAGGGATTCTGGTGGTGGGTCGGCGGGGTCTGTGTGAGGGCCACTTGACATGCCTCTTTAAACCAGAAGTGTTTTCCTAAACTCCTGGGGTTTGCGCCCCACATGTTTCTTTTGTCTGACTTTAAGAAATGGCATTCGCGGTTGAAGCTACAGATTGATGCCCAGTGACAGTTTGGGCTCTGTCTCGTTTGCTACGTAGTATGCTTATATTTATTTTAGTACAAACGATACGTCATTGTATGTCCTCTTTGCTCCCTTACTTTTATATTTCTAAGCAGTTGGCTTCTTTGTTTAAACTTTTATGATTTGTAGCTCCATTGCATTACGAGAAAGCAAGAGTGGTGTAAATTTTGCATTTTAAATATTTACTTAGATTTACTTTGCGTCTAAATGGTTGCAGTAGGCATCCCTGTGCCAGGCGCTCCTGCAACGCCAAAGCCCTGCTCATCTTGTCTTCCCACCCCTCGCTGGACTCATGTATTATGGCCTTCAGAGTGGACCTAATCCCTTCCCCCATATTTATAAAGATTTCCCTTTTTTTTGGTGTTTTGCTGCTGTCTTGGTGAGTTCACAAATGCTGCTTACTGTTAGCACTCCATCTTTATTTGCATATGTGAAGATTATAAAATGATTCCTGATGTAACAGTGAATGCTTCCTGTTGTAAATTCAATTTTGCAATACTAATGTGCCAGCCCCAGCTTTCTTGACTTTTACTGTAGTCTGTGATTTTTTTCATCTTTTCATTTTAAACCTTTCTGTGTTATTTTGCTTTATGAAGTCTCTTATAAGTGGTAAGACATTAGACTGGTCTTTTTTTTTTTGTAATCAGAAATCCTTTATATTTACATAATTCTACCTGGTATTTGGAATGAGTGTGTCATATTGACCTCTCGTCCTTCCCCTCCCCCTCTTCCCCCTCCTTCCCTCCCTTCTTCCCTCCTGTCCCTCCCTTCCCCTCCCAGTCTCCCTTCCTTCTTCCCTCCCGTCCCTTTCTTCCTCTACCTTCTTCCCTCCTATCCCTCTCTTCCCCTCCCCTCCTTCCCTTCCCCTCTCTCCCTTCCCTCCCTTCCCTTCCCCTCCCTCCCTCTCTTCTTTTCTTCCTCCCTCCCTTCCCCTCCCCTCCCTCCCTTCTTCCCTCTCATCCCATTCCTTCCTTCCTTCTTCCCTCCCATCTCTCACTTCCCCTCCCTCCCATCCCTCTCTTCCTCCTTCCCTCCCCTCCCTCCCTTCTTCCCTCCTGTCCTTCCATCCCCTCTCCTCCCTTCCTTCCTTTTCCCTCCCATTCCTCCCTTCCCCTCCTCTTCCCTCCCTCCTTTCCCCTCCCAGCCCTCCCTTCCTTCTTCCCTCCCATCCCTCCCTTCCCCTCCCCTCCTTCCCTTCTCCTCCCTCCTCCCTCCCTTCTTCCTTCTTGCCCCTCCCTTCCTTCCCCTCCCTTCTTCCCTCCCCTCCCTCCTTTCCTTCCCACCTCCCATCCCTCCCTTCTTCCTTCCCCTCCCTCCTTTCTTCCCTCCCATCCCTCCCTTCTCCTCCCTTCCCTCCCTTCTCCCCCCCTCCCTATCTTCCTTTTTCCCTCCCATTCCTCCCTTCCCCTCCCCCCCTTCCCGGACAATGAGACGGCTGACCTGCACCCATCATGACTGTCTAAGGGACCACCTTCTTCCTGTTGACCACCTCCTCTTCTTTGCACCCCCCAATTCTTGTTTTTCTACATGTGGTTACTTTTCTTCCCTGCTCTATAAACCCCTAAATTTAGCCAGTTGAGGAGATGGATTTCAGAATGAGCTCCTACCTCCTCAGCTGCGCACCTGCATGAAGCCTTCCTTCTTCCCTGCAGTATTCATTGTCTTGGTGACTGGCTTTCTGTGCAGTGAGCAACAAGACCAACATCAAACTCCTGGTGTTTCAGTCACATTTTTTCTGTCCATATATTTCTTCTTTTAAAAAATCTGTAATGATTTAGAAGGCAGATATCGTGTTTTTGAAACAGTCTTAAACTTATATTTGTCTAACAATGAAAGATTAAACAATGACATTTGACTCCCTTTTATGGAAAACAGAGAACTTAATGCTGCTCCTCCTTGTTATCTTCATCCCTTTCCTAAGTGCATTAATTTCCTCTGAATTTACAAACCTCATACTTTTTACTTGAAATTTTAAACCCCTTAAAGTTTTCCAATGCGTTCCACTTTGTTGGCATTGTTATAACTGTATTTTAAATTTGTGTGAGCAGCAGCCTTTCTCACAAGAGTTGTGAATGCTTTGATTCTCTTATTTTTACCTGGCCTATCATTCCAGCCCAATTCTTTCTATGGTGATGTCCCTGCTGTCCTGTTTGGTATTTTGAAGGATTCCGTTCAAGCAGCTTTTACAGAAGAGGCGACAGGTGCAGCCATCTGGAGCTTTTAGAAATGGCCAGAAAGTTCTCAGGTCCTAGGGTTTCCCACACAGATATGCCAGTATCAGTTATCCCATGGTGTATTAGTCCTTTCTCACGCTGCTGTAAAGAACTGCCTGAGACTGGGTAATTTATAAAGGAAAGAGATTTAATTGACTCACAGTTCTTCATGGCTGGGGAGGGCTAGGGAAACTTACAATCATGGTGGAAGGGGAAGAAAACGTGTCCTTATTCACATGATGGCAGGAAGGAGAAGTGCTGAGCAAAGAGGAAAAAGCCCATTATAAAACCATCAGATCTTGTGAGAACTCACTCTCTATCATGAGAACAGCATGAGAGTAACCACCTCCATGATTTAATTACCTCCTACCAGGTCCCTCCCACACTACTTGGGGATCATGAGAGCTACAATTCACGATGAGATTTGGGTGGGGACACAGCGGAACCATATCACATGGTCTGGAGGCATCTTTTATTTCAGCAGACACATTTGAAGACAACTTAATTTTAGCTTATTTGAAGATAATCTGTTGACTTTTGTCCTCTTGGGAGCTTTTCTGATGCCCTGTTTTTCCTGAAGTGCAAACTTCAGTGTAGCACAACACCCTCTGGCATTATTGCTCTCTCTGCATTATTTTTTTGCTCAGCATTTTCAATTTCTCCACCTGGAAAGTTTTCTTCTATTATGTTTTTGGCTGCTACTTCTGCTCCCTTCTTCATTTTCTCCTCAGGAGCATCTGCTGTGTGTGGTTTGGCTCTGTAAGACCTTCACATCCAACCTGCCTCTGTTCCTGACTTTTCACTTCTATATTTTAATTTCGCTTGCGATTTGGAAGTGTTTCTCAAATTTTTCTGTTGTACCACGACTTTGCTTTTCTGCAGCTGCAAGTCTGCCATTTACACTGAAGATTTTACAGCAGCTGTTGTGTTTCTTGTTCACAGAGGAGAGTATTGGTCTTGCCTTGAGCTCTGAGGGAGAAATCAAGTTTCAGCCTTGAGAGTATGATGAAATGAAAGGGCCTCCACAGATAATGATCTTGTCCTGGTCAGCATTACCCAGCCTCCAGCGACAGACAGTTTTAAATCCTGATGAAATTCAGATTCCTGCCTCTGTGAAGGATAAAGCAGCAGAGTTACCGGCTCTTCCATTTTCCTTAATGAATGTCAGGAGTTGTCTTAGTTGGCTCTCTTTGCCATAAGGAAATGCCACAGACTGGGCAGCTCCAACAGCAGACATTTATCCCTCACACTTCGGGAGACCAGGAGTGCAGGATCTTGGGGCCAGAAGGGCTGAGACTGGCAGTGCAGGATCCATAGGCCAGTAGGGCTAGCATCTGGGGAGGGCTCTTCCCTGGGCTGTGGGCGGCCGCCTTCTTACTGTGTCCTCACAAGGCCTGTCCTCTGAGTGTGAGGGAGTGGGGGGAGAGAGAGCTCTCTGGTGTCTCTTCTTCTAAGGACACTCATCCTGTTGGATTGCACTCCACCCTCATAATCTCATTGAACCTTAATTACTTCCTTAGAGGCACCAGCTCCAACTATAGCCACACTAACGGATAGGGTTCAATGTATACATTTTGGGGGGACCCAAATATTTGGTTCCTAAGAGGAGCTGAGCAAGATGCTCCTCAGGGAAGAAGAAACAGAGAGGACCAGGTCACAGGCACCTGAGCCCCAGGCATTATTATTGGTGGAAGGTGTTCAGTTTCTTGGCATTTTGAACAAAGACTTGGACAAAATGCACAAACCAAGCAAGGAAAGAAGCAGAGATTTATTGAAAATGAAAGTACACTCTACAAGGTGGGGGGCAGCAGCAGAGATTTATTGAAAATGAAAGTACACTCTACAAGTTGGGAGCCGGCTGAGCACAGGGGCTCAAGAGCCCCGTTACAGAATTTTCTGGCATTTAAATACCCTCTAGAAATTTCCCATTCGTTACTGGGTGTACACCCTATGTAAATGAGGTAATGGCTGGCAATCAGTCTGATTGAGAAGCCGCCAATCAGAGGCTGAAGTGACGTTACAAAGGTTACACCCTATGCAAGCGTCTGATTGGTTGTGAAAGCAACCAGTTAGAGGCTAAAGTGAAGTTACAAAGTTACACTCCTATGCAAATATCTGATTGGTTGCAGAAAGTTACCAATCAGAGGTAGTTTCAATTTTCAATCTGCAAAGCAGAAAAGGAGGGGGGTTTGCAAAGGGAATAGCCCCTGGTCCTTCTGTTACTTAGGTGTGGAAAGTTGAGGTTTTCCTTTTGATTTAGCTCTAGGAAGTCAGCGTGAATTGGCCTCAGGTTCCCTGCCTCCAGACCCTATTCTCCTGCCTCAGTGCAGCTGAGTGAGCCTTCTGTTTGGGTCATGCCCTAAGACCCAATCAGCTTTTGACCTTCTCCTGGGCAGGAGCCTGGGGGTGGGGGGTGGGGGAGTGGGACACAGACATTACATTCTCCTGAGGCAAATGCCCAGGACATGAGGACAGTCTGCCTTGCATGGGCTGCAGGCCCCTCTCCCTTTCTCTCCACTGCACCCACGTCTAGGCCTCCTTTCCAAGGATCCAGAGCACTTTGAGTGAGGAGGAAGCAAGGCATGTATAGTGCATGGAGCAGAGGCCAGGTCGTTGCCAATGTTTAATGCATATCAGCTATTTTTATTGTGAATTCAAACACACTTTTATTGGAGTATAAGGTGTGTTATAGACAAACACACTGTTATGAGTGGAATAGTGTCCCCCCAAAAGATATGTTGCAGGAGGCTGGGCACAGTGGCTCACACCTGTAATCCCAGCAGGAGTTTAAGACCAGCCTGGGCAACATAGTAAGACCCCCAAATCTAAAAAAATAAAATAAATTAGCCAGGCATGGTGACATGCACCTGTCGTCCCAGCTGCTCAGGAGGCTGAGATGGGAGGATCTCTTGAGCCCAGGAGTCCAAGGCTGAAGTGAGCTGTGATTGCACCATTGCATTCCAGCCTGGGTGACAGAGTAAGACTCTGTCTCAAATAAATAAATTAATTAATAAAAAAGATATATTGAAGCCTTAACCCCCAGTAATTCCAGAATGCAAGCTTATTAGTATATAGAGTTGTTGCAGATGTTATCAGTTAAGATGAGGTCATATTGGGGCTGGGTGAAACTTCTGCCTCAGGTGACTGCCCCATTGACTCTCTCACCAGCAGCTGCAAGACAGTTCTAGTTGTTCCATATCCTTGCCAACACCTATTATTTTCTGTCTCCTTATTTTAGTCATGCTGGTAGGTGTGTAAGTGGATTACACTGTAGTTTCAATTTGCATTTTCCTGATGATTAATGGTGTCAAACACTTTTTTGTATATTGCTTGGCCATTTGAATTGCTTCTTTTGCGAAGCATCTGTGCAAGTATTTTTCCCCTTTTCTGTGGGATATCAATCTTATTTTTGTTGGTTTACATGAGTTCTTCATATGTTTTGGTTAAGAGTCCTTTTTCAGATATATGAATTGCAGTTCTCATAACAGTGTCTTTTGATGATATGAAGTTTTTTGTTGTTGTTGTTTTGTCTCGTTTGTTGAGACAGGGTCTCGCTCTGTCACCCAGGCTGGAGTAAAGTGCTGCGATCTTGGCTCACTGCAACCTTGACCTCCCAGGCTTCAGCAATCCTCATGCCTCAGGCTCCTGAGTATCTGGAACTACAGGTGTGCACCACCACAGCTGGATAATTGTTGTAATTTTTGTGGAGACAGGGTTTTGGCATGTTGCCCTGGCTGGTCTCAAACTCCTGGGCTCAAGTGATTTGCCCACCTTGGCCTCCCACAAATGCAGGGTTAATGATTTGTGTTTTGTTTAAGAAATCTTTGCTTAAGCTGAGGTCATGAAGTTTTTTTTGTGTTTTCCTCTAAAAGCATGATTGTGTTCCCTTTTGCATTTAGATCTCCAGGCCATCTGAAATTTATTTTTGTATGTGGTGTGAGGCAGGGGTAAGGCTGCTTTCTTTTTTCCATTTGGATATCCAGTCGACTCAGCAATGGAAAAGACCACACCCCACCAGCCCCCCAGCCCCACATCTCAGACTTGTCTTTGTTATAGATCAGGTGACTGCACAAATGGCGGTGGCTTCCGGACTCTCTCTTAGGTTCTGCCCGTCAATTTGCCTATCCTTATACCAATGCCACACTGTCTTAATTTCTTGTTATTGTTTTCAAGGGTGATCTACTTGTTTGGTTCTCCTTGGTGGATCAGGTGGTCTCGGATACACTTTTCCCTTGATTTTAGTTTCAGAGCCCTGAACCATTTTGTTAGAACTCCATCATATCCCAGCTGTGTAACCTAGCCTCAGTTCATCTCATTGTACCATCTTTAACATAGAAACACAAATTCCTATCTTAGAGAGTCACTGGGAGAATTAAATGAGATAATGCGGCTGTTGTGCTTGGCACATAGAAAGCATTTAGTAAAGGTTAGTGATTTTGTAGTTTAGTGGTTGGAGGTACAGCACCTGGAGCCAAACTGCCTGGGTTCAAATCTTGGTTCCTTCACGGTGAGATGCGTGACTTTGGGAGAATTACTTCATGTGGGCCTACTGTCTTTAAAATGAGGATACTTGTAGTGAACGCTGGAGCTTAGAATGTGGATGTGGATGAAGTGCACACAGCAGTTCTCAGGTTTGTGCTCATGGGGGAAGACACTGATAATGACAATTTCCATGCAACATCTGGAGGATACAGGACCAGGCACCCCGTCTAGACTCACCTGTGACTCGCCCACATACCAGGCTACTCCTGCATGCCAGGGCACTCCGCCGGGAAGTGCTGAGTCCATATGTGTGAGGGGCACCCCGTTTTCTGGCACGTGGTGGGCAATCACTCCATTGACATTGCCTCTTAGAATCTTCCTCCTGTTGATCAGAGTGTCCTGGCCCCTGTGAGCTTGATTTTGATTTTTAGCAGCTGTAGTCCTTGTGCCTTATGGATAGCACAGTAAATCTTTTTTAAAAATATATATATATTTTTTTCTGTTACGTGAAGCACATCTATTTGTGAGGAAGGATTTTCCTCTGAGCCCTTGTTCCCTTGCTCTTCTGCTTGTGCCGCTGGTGTTTTCATAAGCTCAGTGCTGATTTCTTTCTGAATATCACTGCCCCTCGTACACAGGTGGTCTGATTCTGCCTTCTGCCCCAGTGAGGGTGGGCTGAGCCCCCTTCCAGAATGACAGAGCAGGTGACTGCAGCACGCTTAGTGCAGGCGTTGTGCCTCATGGGATGGTGTCTCCTTGGGGATGTATGTCCCAGGCAGGTGCCCCAGGATGGCTCAAAGGGAGGGCCTAGAGCAGAGTTGACAGCCTTTCAAGTGGGACCCACCAGGAGGTGTCACCTCCAGGGCTCATTAAAGCGTGTCCAGGCTCTCAGATTTCCTTGGAAACCAGAAACTAAAGGCAAAGTTGGGGGAAGGGTCTTCTGGCATCTTCCTGTGGGAGCAGATGTGGGCGGGAGCAGCTTCCCCCTCTGCCGCAGGGCTTCGCCACTCCCACCCTGCCGCCTCCCTATACCCCGCAGCCTTCCCACTCCCCTCCCAGCTCTGGCTCAGGCTGCCCTTCTTCTTGCTGATTCCTTGCTCTAGTGTAGGGTTTCTCCAGTGGCTCTCCACGACACGCCCAGGGTGACATGCCAGTGTGTGTCACCAGAGCTGCCCACGCACAGCCCTCTCAGAGAAAGCAGTTACAGCGAGCCTGGGGGGTGGGCCCTGTGGGCTGTGTGGGGGAGGGCGTTAGCACAGTGACTGTGACCAGCAGGCAGGATGGGTGGGTGGAGGCCCAGGAGGAAGGAGAAAGGAGCAGGGAGCAGCAAGACGGGGGGAGCAGCATGGGAGTGGGAGAAGCTGAGCGTGGGTTCTGGGAGGGATGGGGAGGGGCAGCCTGGGAGGGGGAGAAGCTGAGTGTGGGTTCTGGGAGGGATGGGGAGGGGCAGCCTGGGAGGGGGAGAAGCTGAGTGTGGGTTCTGGGAAGGACAGGGGGGAGCAGCGTGGGAGGGAGAAGCTGAGCATGGGGTCTGGGAAGGACAGGGGGGAGCAGCGTGGGAGGGAGAGGCTGAGCGTGGGGTCTGGGAAGGGCAGGGGAGGAGCAGTGTGGGAGGGAGAAGCTGAATGTGGGGTCTGGGTAGGACAGGGAGGAGCAGCCTGGGAGGGGGAGGCTGAGTGTGGGGTCTGGGAAAGACAGGGGAGGAGCAGCCTGGGATGGGGGAGGCTGAACATGGGGTCTGGGAGGGATGGGGGGAGCAGCCTGGGATGGGGAGAAGCTGAGCGTGGGTTCTGGGAAGGACAAGGGCGGAGCAGGTGGGAGGGAGAAGCTGAATGTGGGGTCTGGGAGGGATGAGGGAGGATCAGCATGAGAGGAAGAAGCTGAGCCTGGGGTATGGGAAGGACTAGCGGGGAGCAGTGTGAGAGGGAGAAGCTGAGTGTGGGGTATGGGAAGGACTGGGGAGGAGCAGCTGGGAGGGAGAGGCTGAGTGTGGGGTTTAGGAAGGACTGGGGAAGAGCAGCTGGGAGGGAGAAGCTGAGTGTGGGATCTGGGAAAGACTAGGAAGGAGCAGGGTGAGATGGGGAGAAGCTGAGCATAGGGTCTGGGAAGGACAAGGAGAAGCAGTGTGGGATGGGGAGAAACTGAGGATGAGGTCTGGGATGGACTAGGGAGGATCAGTGTGAGGGAGAGGCTGAGTGTGGGGTCTGGGAAGGACAGGGAGGAGCAGCGTGGGAGGGGGAGAAGCTGAGTGTGGAGTCTGTGAAGGAAAGATGTCTGGGTTGGATTTCTTCATGGTGTTCCCTGTAAACCGCAGGGAGGTTTAATGAGGAAATTGACAGTGAAGAACTACAATTCCTCAAGTCCCTCAGCTCTGATTTGGCTTCCTTTGAAGGGAAGTCTGTGCATGGACTGGGCCATCTGGACCCCTGGAGATATTTGGGTTACAGTGCCAGGCCCTGGATTGAATTCCTATTTAGTAGAGTTCATTGGTTACTCACAGCCACCTCTCCAGCCTCCCCCGACTTAGATCCCCATCAAGCTGTTGCTAGAATTACACCCCAGCCTCTTTGCAGATGCTGCTTGCCCCTGCTTGCCTGGCCAGAACCGTCGCAGCCTCACAGCTGGGTCTGGTCTCCTTTCTCTCCATCCTCCTGCCCCAGGTAGGACCAACCTCCTCCTCCCCAGGGCCAGGCACAGGGGGACACCTTGTGTATACTCTAGTGTGACTGGCAATGACTTGTCCCCCAGGGCCGACGTGAGCACATGTGAAATAAGGAAGGGCTCAGAAAACATTTAGAACTTGTTTTCACATCGGCTGTCACATATAATTGTCACCACAGCTCTTCAGGGTCCACGTTCGAGATCCCATTCTAGGAACAGTGCAGCTTAGGAGCAGAGAGAGAAAGCGACTCATCCAAGGCCACCCGAACAGGAACGGGGGCTGGGCAGGAAACCCGGACCCTTCCAGCCTCGTCTCAGGACCCCTGCTTGGTTGCTGAGGGTGAGTGGTCTGTGGAGGGCACGGCCCTGAGCAGCCTGAGGGGAGCTGGCGGCAGACACGATCCTCATGGTGGAAAGCAACACATGTCAAGGTGGCGTGTGTGCCTGGCCTCTGTGAGTCTGGATCCTCAGGGTTCCACCCAGCCGGGGCCTGGTGTGGCCTCAAAGGTGGAGGCTCAATGCGGCCCTGATGCTGGTCCCGAGAAACCGTGGGACTGAGGAACAGCCAAGCGTGGAGCCTCTGAGGGAAAGGCAGGCAGCTGGGGGCTGCAGGAGTCAGGGCAAAGCTCCCGCCCAGAGTCAGTGCCTTGGCCACCTCTGTGCCCACTGCCAGTGGGCGGGCCCTGCTGACCTCCCAGCCTATGTTCCAGCCGCTCCCACCCTTCCCCAAGTCTGAACGTCACTCAGGTGGAGGATGAGCCTGTTTCCAGAGGCTTGGGGCTACGGCAGGTGGCCCGGGCTTGGGATGTGAGGCTGATCGTACCTGTCCAGGCCAGCCCTGCCTCCTATTCACCCACAGAGGGGCTGGCATCTGCTGCTTCTCACGGCCTCAGTTCTGGATGGCTGACAGCCACTCAGTCCCCTCCAACCTCCAGAGCATGCTCAGGCCTCAGAGCCACGTGCTTCCTGTGCCCTCTACCTGGAATGCCCTTCGTGCTTCATGTCTCCCTCCTCTCCTCGGTTGCCGCCTTTTTCGGAGAGGCCCTCCCCACCGCCTCACCCAGAAGAGAAGCCCGTTTCTCCCTCCAGGACCCAGTTCTGCCTTACGTGTAGCACTTATCCCCTGACGTGCAACAGCTCTTTGTTGATGCTTCCTGTTCGTCTCACCCAGCTAGAATGCGTGCTCCTCTGTCTGATTTGTTCCTGAGGTGTACCCAGCACCTCAGTCAACACCTGGTGTTGGTGAGTGCTTGCTAAGTGTTTGTTAGTGAATGCATATTTGTTGAATGAATTCGTGGGTGGCTGGATATGTGGGGAAGAGATGGAAGGAGGGTTCAGGAGGTGGCCTGGATAGTTGGAAGGGGTGGACGGATGACAGGTGAAGAGATGGGTAGATGGATGGGGGGCAGTCACTATGGATGCTTGCCTGGGGTGTTGGATGGATGGGTGGATGATGGGGTGGGTGGAGGAATGGTTTGGCACGTGGATAGCTGATAGACTGATGGACAGATGGGTAGGTGGCTGGTTAAATGCATGGGTGATGTGTGAATAGGAGGATCAGCCAGACTGACAGACGGCTGGTGGATTAGTTGGTGTGTGGTTGTATTACTGAAGAGGTGGTTTGGGTTGGGGTGGATGGGTGAATGGATTCCTGGTTGAATAAAGGGGCTGATCAATGAATCTTTTGCTGATTGGATGGAGGTACTGGTTGCTATTGGATTGATGTGGCAAGCAAGTGGATAACTAGTTGCTAAGTGTGTGTTGGGTAAATGAAGGGCACGTGGGTGGTAGGTTGACAGGTGGGTCAGGGTGAGTGGCTGGCTGGATGTGCATGGAGAATGGGTACGCAGGTAGCTGGATGGTTTGATGGCAATGAATGGCTAGTGGGTAGGAGGACTGTTAGGTTGGGCTTGTGGGAGATGGTGGGTGGCACTGGAGGAGCTGGGCGTTGGCCGGTGTGTGTGTAGATGGATGGTGAGGCGGCTGCACTGGCAGGTGTTGGTGTGGGGATAGACTCATGGAGGATGAATGGCCGTGTGTAGATGGATAATGAGGGGGATGCGCTGGCAGCTGGATGAATGGTCATGTGGCTGGCTGGCTGGACTGAGCAGTGGGTGACCCCATCCTACAGTCCATCTTGTAACCCGCCCTGCACCTGGGGGCTCACAGGATCAGGCCCTGCCAAAGCCGAAGTGTCCTGCCTCCCAGCTCCTTTCCTGTCCTCCAAGGACACTTGTGGTTGAGGGTCTGTAGGACTCTTCGGGACCCTCGTTCTTCTCAGGAAGCCCCAGGTCAGCACAGATCCTCAGCGGGAGTTTTCTGGAGCTGAACCCCGCCTGTGAGAGGCCAGAGCTCCTGCTGGGGAGTTTCATGGGAGGGGGGCTAGGAGCAGCCACTCAGACCAGAGGCTGATGGGAAACCCTGGAGCTGGTGCTCCCCCCGTGGGGGTCCTGATGAGAGTGAGGGATTGATTCGGCATGTCCTGATGTGAACCTACTCTCCCGGCATCTGAGCTGCAGCCAGGCCCGCCTGCAGGAGATGCTGGCCGGGCAGAAAAAGGACGCTAGTTCCTGTTTAAAAGTCAGGGATCCGGAAACCAGTGCTGCCTGGAGAATCCAACAGCAAAAACTGGAGTGATGTGGTTGCACCACTCTAAGCGGGGCTGGAAGTTGCCTCCCAAAGCTAACGTTAACCTTAACTGATGAGATTCTGACCAGCTCTGTCTGGAAGGTTCTGAGACTCGTCTCGCTGCGTCTCCACGTGCAGCTGTCACTGTGCCCCTCCCTCCCTCCCACGGTGCTGTCCCCGCCTCACCTGGGGTGGCAATGTGGGTGCGCTGTGGTGGGAGCAGCTCCACTCCCACCCCCTCCTGAGCTGCGTCGGCTGGCTGGGGTGGGGGTGTCTGGGGCTGAACACCTGCCTCCTGGGAGGATGTTGGAGGCCAACGGGCTTGGCGGGGGGTCCCTTCCCTGTGCCCCTTCCAGTTGGCAGAGCACCAGCCCCTTGTCAGAAGGGCAGCCTTCACCTTGTGACTGCCTGGGAGCTGTATGGAGTGGGCAGGAGTGTGCGCGCAGGTGTGTGTGTGAAATCGTCCCCATAAACTTCATAAAATTAACCAGAGAAGAAGGGAGGGGGAGAAACGAAAATTAACCCAGCCCGGCGCCCTCACACTCGTCCCTGGGTGGTCATGCTCTGACGGGCTGCCTCAAGCCTGTCTGCTGCCTGTGGCCCCAGAGTCACACAGGCCCGGCCACAAGTCCACTGCCTCCTCGACTGCTCTGCGGATGAGCGCTGGGAACGTGTGTTTCCCTCTGAGATGCCCCTTCAGGCCCTGCGTACCGAGGAAGCTCCTGACGCCAGCTGGCCCGTAGGACCCTGGAGGACCTGAGCTACCGAAGAATCATCAAGTCCCCACACCTTGATGATTTCAGTCCCTTACCCTGGCCAATCAGCCAACCCAGTTCTCCAGCCTCTCACCTTCCATGATCCCCTTAAAAACCCCAGCCCGGAACTCTTCAGGGACAGGGATTTGCGGCTCCCTCCCACCCCCTCACTCACTGCCCTGTGATCAATAAGCCCTTTCTCTGCTGCAAACCCTGCTGTCTCCACGTCAGGGGTGTGTTACAGCGCTGTGGGCATACACATCTGCTGGTCCTGTAACACATGTGCGTGCCTCCTCCATCGGACGGGCTCCTTGGGGCGGGCCTGGAGTGTCTGTCGGGTGCAGGAACGTGGTCTCCACTGCAGCCTCTGAGCTCATCTGGCGAGCACTGTCTACTTGATTAGGTTATTTCAGAGGCGTTTTCTCACTTGGTCCTCCCAGCTACCAGTAAGGAAGGTACTAAAAACCTCAATTACATTTATATTTGGGGAAACTGAGGCTCAGCGGGGGACATGACAGAGCAGAAGGCAGACCCCAAGACAGACCAGCAGGCAGCAGGAGAAGCAGGCTTGGGCCCTGGCTCCCTCTGAGTCCAGAGTCCCTTTCTGGGCTCTTCCCTTGGTGCCCAGTGCGGTGCTGACAACAGGTGTCAACTCATGGAATCCCCGAACCAGCCCATTTACTGCTGGGGAAACTGAGGCTTAGAGCTGCGCCTGAGCCTGAACTGAGGCTGCAAAGGCAGCGCACACAGACGCAGGGCCCTCTGCTCCAGAGCCTGGCTGTGGTGACGCCTCGAGGCATTGGCCCACCCCACAGCCCCGCTTTGCTGCTGTGGAGCTAGGGGTGTGGGAAGGGGCCTCGGGCCCGGGAGGGTGGGAGGAAGAGCCCCTGGGCAGCCTGCAGGTGAGACCCTTCTCCCGCTGCCAGCCTGCTCACCAAGCCACCCTCAGAACATCGCTCAGCACCTCTGCCCAGAAACTGGAAAGATAACTGGGTCATGGCAAAGAGTGAATTATTCCTCCGGAGAAAGTTTTAAAATGCATGAGCCCTCAATGGCAGAGAGGGAGGCAGTTATGAAGCTCAGAGGCAGTCTTGGAATTGGAGTCACAGAGTGGCTCCTTCCCTGTGCCTTCCGGGGTTCAGGGAGGAGCTGGACAGGACCCCCATCCGTAAAGGAGCCCCTATTCTGGTGGGAGAGACAGAGACCCAGACGTGAGTGCTGGCAATGTGGGGAGGTCAAAGCTATGACCTCTCAGGGCTGTAGGAGGAGAGGGAGCGCCTGGGGCCAGCCTGGAGGGGGAAAAGGAGGGTCAGGGAGCACCCACAGAAGAGGGGACAAGACAATGAGGGGCGCCTCAGGGGGAGGGGACCGTGCAGGCTGAGGCTGGGGTTTACAATTTCCTAGCGTGGTGAGACTCCTTTGAGGACCGCTGAAAGGGAGGGCACCCCAGCTAGTGCAGCAGGCACGGTGGGACCTCGGGCAGCACAGGGAGCCCCCTGACCACAGGTGGCCTGAAAGTCGGGATAGGAGAACTCCTACACATGCTTCAGGGCCCTGCTCAAGTGTCGCAAATCCCTCCCAAAGGCTGAGGATACCGCATCTGAGAAATGGGCTTCTGAGCATGTGTCAGACATGGCCCAGGAGGCATCAGCCAGGGCGGGGCTCGGGGGCTCCTAGGAGCTGCTCCTAGCTGCTGTGCCCTGCCTGCTGGTCACCCGTCCTGCACTAGGCGATAGGGTTCTGGAGGGCAGCAGGACCATGTCATAGGAGGTGTGAATGGGGCTTTGCTGCAGGCTGTGGGCGGGGACTGGGGCTCCTGGGGGCCGAGGCACATGGCAGGCAGGGGAAGAAGCTGGGGCGGGGTGCAGAGGGTGGGGAGAGAGCACTCTCCCGGCCCAGGCCTCACCCGGAAATGGGAGGTGATTTTCCAGCACAGGCAGCTTCTGGGCTTAGAGGCTGGACGTTGCCTCAGTGAGCTACGGGCAGTGTTCCTCCTGGGGTGGGGTGGGAGGGGGGTCTTATGGCCCCTGGGGACCTTGGGGCCGGGTGGGGTCTAGTGCCCTGGGAGGGTCCCAGTGTGGGAGAAGGAGGGGTCGGGGGGTGGTTTAGGCATGTAAAGGGTGGAGATGCCCCTGTAAGTCTGGAGCTGGCAGCCCGGGTGTCTCAACTGCAGCCTTTAGGGCCGCAGTGGACCAGCAAAGGCTTCACCTCCCTGGGGACCCCAGCAGAGCGCGAGGCAGGAGCCCCTGTAGGCCTTGATCCCACTTTTCTCTGGGCGGGCCCGCGGCAGCAGATGTTTGATGAGCCGGAGATGGGGAGCCTGCCTTGCATGGCCTTGCCCTGCCTGCATGGGCGCTCACCCTGCCCCACCCTCCAGGACACTCCGTGGGGCATCACTGCTGCCCCGTGAGGATCCCCCTTGCGGGGTGGAGGTGTGTGAGGAGCCGTGTCTGGGGCCTCAGAAGATGCTGGTCCCCTGCCCTGTCTACACAGCCTGGCTGTCCTGGGGGGATGGGGAGACAGGACACAGGCCACGGGTCTGTGCGGGCTGCTGTGCGTCTGGGGAGAGCCAGCACCCCGAGGGAGGAGGTGGCTGCTGGGGAGCAGGATGAAGCAGGAAGGGGTCACCCCACTGAATGGGGTGTGGGTGCAGTCCATTCGTCCTGAAGCCACACATGCCTGGTTTGTGGCCTTTGACTCATGCTGGTGATGGTCACCGTGTGTCCAGGACAGAGCCTGGAAGATTAAGAGCGTGTTTAATTTTTACCACTGGCCGGTGATGCTGGTGTTTTCAGAGGGGAACTGAGGCCTGTGGAAGGGAAATAGCTGACCGGGGGCAGAACACTGCTGGCCAGTGACAAAGGGAGGGACCTACACCGGCTGTGTGCCTCTAACACGCGTCCTCCCACGTGGCACCACCCACAGCGACCCCAGCCCCCTTGCCTTTCTTCAGCGCCTGTATGGGGCCAAGAACCCGAGACTGGGCTGGTGACTGGGCTGTGACCACAGGCCCCTCCTCTCCAGCTGGGGTCAAACAAACACAGCTCGCCCACGCAGGGTCATCTTGAAGCTGAGGATGGAACTTGAGAAAACATGTTTCTTTGTTTGGCAATGAGGTCTGCGGAGGGTTCTGAGGGTTTGGAGACATTTTCTTCCTGGAGAGGGCCCTCGTTCCTCCCAGGTATTTGACTCCTACTCCCTGCGAAGCCTCCGAGAGCCGTGCTGGGCTCTCCTTCCTCGGCCGCCTCCTCTCCAGGGCAATAGCCCTACTGAGTCCTTGCTCACCTCCAGATGACTCTTCTGTGGAACTTTCCAGTGGAGAAGGAGGAGGGAGAGGAGAAGCAGGG
Organism: Homo sapiens; assembly: GCF_000001405.40. Lineage (NCBI taxonomy): Eukaryota > Metazoa > Chordata > Mammalia > Primates > Hominidae > Homo > Homo sapiens. The sequence goes on from NC_000004.12 coordinate 3,632,410, forward strand.
AGCAGCCCGGCCTTCCTCCTCTGTGCCCACTGCCCTCCTGCCATGGGCCCTGTCTGGGCACCCACTTAGGGGTCTCCAGCCTGACTGGTGGCACTGCGGCCTCCCCATGGCTCTAAGGCTGTCTGGGGTGTCCAGGAGTCACAGAGATGGAAACAGATTCACCTCAGTTCCTGCAGTGCCTGCTCCCGACACCATATGTTCAGGGTTAGACGGTGTCCCCCGTAAAGTCATGTTCATCCAGAACCTCAGAATGTGACCTTATTTGGAAATAGGCTCTTTGCCGGTGGAATTAGTTCAGATGAGATATGGGGGTAGGGTGGGCCCTGAACCTGGTGATGGGTGTCCTCACAGGAAGAGGGAAATCCAGACTCAGACACAGAGAGGAGGAGAAGGAGGCTGAGACGACAGAGTAGACAGTGGGGTGATGCGGCCACAAGCCAAGGACGCCTGGAGCCACCAGGAGTGGAAGACGCAGGAAGGGTGCTCCTGCAGAACCTTCAGAGGCAGCACGGCCCTGCCCGCACCTCCATCTGGGACGTGGGACTCCAGACTGCGAGGGAGTGGACGCCCGTTGTTGAAGCCCTGTGTGGGCACCCCTATCGCGGCAGCCCTGGGACTCCTCAACTGTGCCCTGTCACCTCTCACCCTGCTGCTGGAGAGGCTCGGTTTGCTCCTGGAAGTCGTGACTGTGAAACGTGGATGTTTTGCTGTGACGTCCATTGCTACTCTCATGCTGGGGTCCTGCTCTCTCTGTCCAGGTTCCGTCACCGCAGAGCTGGACATCAAGGCCGAGGACCTTCTCAGTGGGCAGAAGTGTGTCTCTACAAATAGTGCCAGGTCCTTTTCATTATCCTCCCTGGTCCCTCCCCTCCCCTCCCCCTTCCCCTCCCTCCCTCCTTCCCTCCCTCCCTCCTTCTCTCCCTCCCTCCTTCCATGTCTGGAGAGAACCCCGGCTTGGAGCAGGCATGCTCTGCTCTGTTACCGAGTTGTGAGGCAGATCTCGGGCCTCCTCACTCACCGTCCCACTGGCCAGGAGTTCGGAGGGCGTGGTTGGGGGCTCTCAGTTGGGGTCTCTCAGTGGGTGCCCTTGGAGGCTGCTGCCATTGAAAGCGCTCTGGGGTGAGAGGCCGGCAGTGTTTGCTAGGGGTGGGAGCTCAGCTGGGCTGCCAGAAGGTGTCCCCACATGGGAACCCCTGGATGGGGGGCTCGGATGGTGGCTGTCCCCTGCAGAGAGATGGCCCAGGAGAGTGACGTGGGCTGCCTGCTGCTCTGCACCGGCCTGGGCATGGCAAATCACTGTGCTGTGTCCACTTTCCAGTGTGGGGCCTTGAGCACTGCCAAGAGGTTTTGCCCCAGGGGCTTCCAGGAGGCCTTGCCATCGTCAGTGCATGATACCACCTCCCTGGGTCTGAGGCTGCGTCCTGGAGTGCATGGGTCCCTCCGAGGGACTAGGACCGGCAGATACTCAGCGTCCACAACTATGAACACCTGAGCAGAGGCGGGCTGGGATCCAGGCCCAGCTTGCTGGAAGCTTCTCCATGGGATCTCTCAGGATCCCCATTTTCTCCCGTACCAGTGAAGAAAACCAGCATCCACCCACCACAGAGCCCACAGCTCAGGCTCCTGGCCCAGTGGCCTGGTGATGCCTGGAGACCAGGCTTTGTCTGCTGGTCACTGCTAGAGGCCCCTGGCCACTCTCACTTGATCTCCCGCATGGAACTTCCTGCAAACTCTTGAGCGGAGGCGCAGTGGCCACCATTGCCAACATTTCAGTCAGCAGGACTGTGGGCCTGGAGAGCCCCGGGAGCTGAGGTTGCAGAATCGGGATCTCAAAGGCCCCCACCGACATCCAGTCCAGCACTTCCTGCTGGAGTCCGAGGACACTTTGAGCTCCGCCTGGAGCTGTCTGCTGGCCCCTCAGAGGGCGTGATGCGGGATGCGGCTCTGGCCACTCGCAATGTGGCTCCAGGGAGGCCGTCTCTGGGGTCTCCCCTAGAAAGATCTGTGAACAGGGTAGCCCCCCAGAGGCCCCTACCTTTCCAGTGGCTGAGATGCAAGTGGCTGGGGCCTGGATGTTGCCACTCAACCCGTGGTCCCTGCAGCAGGTGGCCCTGGCCCCAGAGCTCGCCGTGGCGCTGGAGGTGCCATCAGATTTTCAGGCCAGTCGGGTGACTCCTGACGCCCCATCTCTTCTGGGCATTACTGTCACCTGTCGCATGCCCCAGGTCCGCTCAGCATCTGCTTCCTGAGGACCTGAGCTGACCAGGGAGGGGTGTGGCTGAGGTGCTTCCCTCGTGGGCTGCTTTGCCCACCAGGGGATCTCCCCCAAGTACTCACGGGACTCTCCAGGGGACCCCCTGTAGAACCAGGACCACCCTTACCAGGCCTAGGACCCTCCAGGACTCCTCATCTGTGGGACTGGGCCTGGCTGGTCCCTATGACTGAATTGAGTGGTGAAGCCACCTTCTCCTGGCTCCAGGAATCTCATGGACCCGGGATCTTGGGTGTTCACCCCTAAATCCTCCCTAAGGCCCCTCAGGCCACCCTGCCCTGCCAGGAGCCCACCCTAAAGGTGAGTGAGAGGCCTCCAGGCAGAGGAGACAGCCAGGCAGGGCCATGAGCAGGGCCGGGGAGGAAGCTACGTGGTGAGCCCGGAAAGGCCGGCTCTTTGCTTTGGGACTCAATGTTACTGACCTCATTTTTTATGTATCCGAAGTGATCGTTTCAAAGAACAAGCCATAAAACTGGACTCTGCAGATGTTTCTCCATAAATTAAACAGGCATGTTTACCTTGGGCTGAAGCAAAACAAACTTGAGGCCCAGGGCCTCAAAACCATCATGGAGGTGGGGAGTGCTGAGAAGCAGGGAGCGAGGGAGGCAGGGCGAAGGGCGGGAGCAGCGGGAAACCACCAGGCCTCTCCCCTCACCACTCTAGGCCCGTCCGTCGGTGCAGTGACATCAGCCTTTGTAAAACACAGGGACAAACCAAACGGTTCCTCCCATCCTCAGTCAACACAGCTGACTGATCACCAAAACATGTGCGTTTCTCCCCACCAGCAAGTGGTCCTGCAGTGGACAGCAGCCGGGGGTCCTCTATTCAACTCCAACCTGATGCCGTCCACCCAGGGTGAGCCTCAGAGCCCACAGTGAGGGCTCAATCCCGCAAGACAGCCCCCGCCCCCTTCAGATGCTGGTCCCACCTGGAGTGACGTGAGAACCCACAGTGAGGACTCAGTCCCGCAAGATGGCCCCGCCCTTCAGATGCTGGTCCCACCTGGAGTGACGTGAGAGCCCACAATGAGGGCTGAGTCCTGCAAGATGGCCCCCACGTTAGAGGCTGATGGCAAGTCCCGGCATAGCCTGTGCTTCTGACCAGCTGGTTCTAAGTCAGGGTTCCCACGACCCCCGCCTTGGGTTTAATTTGCTAGAACAGCTCACAGAACTCAGGGAAACACTTTATGCATGTTTACTGGTTTATTCTAAAGAACACTGTGAAGGATAGAGATGAAGAGATGCGTAGGGTGAAGTGTTGGGGAGGGGCATGGAGCTTCCATGCCGTCCTGGGCACTCCCTCCAGGCACTTCTGTGTGTTCAGCTTTCCAGGAGCTCCCTGAGCCAGTCCTTTGGGTTTTATGGAGGCTCCATTACTCAGCCTGATTGATTGCATCATTGGCCATTGGCAATCAACTCAACCTTCAGCCCCTCCCATCTCCCCTTCCTAGCCTGATTGATTGCATTATTGGCCGTTGGCAATCAACTCAACCTTCAGCCCCTCCCATCTCCCCTTCCTAGCCTGATTGATTGCATCATTGGCCGTTGGCAATCAACTCAACCTTCAGCCCCTCCTATCTCCCCTTCCTAGCCTGATTGATTGCATCATTGGCCATTGGCAATCAACTCAACCTTCAGCCCCTCCCATCTCCCCTTCCTAGAGGTCAAGGGGTGGGGCTGGAAGTCCTAATCCTCTAATCATGCCTGGTCTTTCTGGGTGACCAGCTCCATCCTGAAGCTGTCTAGGAGACCCCAGCCCCCAGCCAGCTCATGAGCACACAGAAGACACTCTCACCACTCCAGAGAGTCAAGGGCTTTAGGAGTTGTATGCTGGGAAACAGGGACAGGGCCACATATATACTACACAGTCTCACAGTCCTCCCGATGGCTGCCTCTGTCCTGACAATGTGGTCAGTACCACCCCTTGATCTGCATCTCACTGGGGACAGTCCCCCAACCCCATCCATCTCAACACCTTCTCCACGAGCAGCTGGGCAATTGCTCTGAAATGCAAGTCTGATAATGGCCACCTCCTTGGAGTTCGTGCTCCAAGTCCCATCTCAAAGGAGGCCCACGCCACCCACCGGGCTCAATGTTGCCCCTGCTGCACCTCTTCCTCTTGCTCCTGCCCCCTGCTCCATGTTGATATCTCCCCCCATAGCATGACCACCTCCTGATGTGCTGTGTGACTCACTTGCCTGGTTTCCTGTGTGTGGGCTGTCTCCGTGGGGCAGAGACTTTTGTCTGTGTTCTTCCCTGGTGTGCCCAGCACAGTACCCTGCATCATGGGGTGGTGATGGAAGGACAGCAGTGACAGCATGTATCCGTCCAGCACTTGCCAACCCTGGGCAGGCACTGGTTGGTCTTCCAGAGGACTAAGGCGATGACCACTGTTACCAGTCACGGAGGAACATCAGATGAGAGAGGCGAGGACCTCGCCCCAGGCCACAAGGCTGAGACCTGTTCAGGACAGGCTTCAAACCCAGGCGCTGACCCTGGTCTTCGGTCTTACCCACTCTGCACTCCTGCCTCTGAAGCTGGTGAGGTGGGGGCCAGGGTTCAGCAGGTAAGCTCTCCCCAGTGTGCCTTGTTCTTTCCAGACAGGAAAGGCTTGGGATCTCATGGGTAGGAGAAGTGAAAATCACTGATTATTTGGTGAACACAAGCCAGCTGGGCACTCACTATGTGCCAGGCACAGTGTGAGGCAATGGGGCAGTCCCCATGCTCAAGGAATCCCAAGTCTGGTGGGGGAGGTCAACAGGAGGCAGACAACGGAGGCACGGTGGGGAGGGGCCGGGATGGGTGAGGCATCTAAGGCAGGCGTTGGGGCCAGGAGGCTCTGGAGGAGCTGGTGTCTGAAGGGAGACCTGAAGGAGAGGCGGAGATGCCAGGCCGCGGCGGGGTGGACAGGATTCGGACAGCAGGGGGAGGCTCAGTTCCAAGTCTTTGGTTGCAAGCAAAGAGACGCTGGCTCCAATGGACTCAATTTTAAAGAGATTTTCAGAGATTTCCAATTCCAGCCAAAATGGTATAACAGGGAGCAATAAAAAACAGCCAAAGCTCCAGAGAGAACAAATGAAACATGGCGTTCATGACATTGGCTGCAGTTCAGCCAAGGAGCGCAATTGCTAAGAGACAGGAAACCCGTTCTGCGAGCCAGCGCCTCCCCAGCTCACTGCCTGCAGAGAATGTCCAGGCTTCAATGCGGGATGCCGTGGCCAGGCCAGCAAAGGACATGAAATAGACCCGTAATACATTCCCAATGAATTCAGAAGAAGGTGGAAAAAGAGGAAACAGGAACCCAAAAAAGGGGGAAAAAACAGCAAGACGACAGTTTTAAAAGTGATCATTAATAATTAAATATAAATGTTCTAAACACTTCAATTTAAAGGCAGAGTTTGCCAGATAAAGAAAAAGAAAGAACCAAAATATGATAGGCATAAAAAACTTTAAATATGCAGGCAAAATAGGATAAACCTGAAAGAATGGAAAAAGACATACATGCAATCACTCATCAAAAGAAAGCTGGAGTGGAGATGTTACTCCCTAAGTAGACTTCAGAGTAAGAATGGCCGCAGGGATGAAGGGGTCACTTCATGACGCCATGGAGGTCAGTTCATTGAGGGACATAACATCCTCAAAGTTTATGCACCTTCTAGCAGACCTTCCAAGTCGAAACAACTACAAAGCAAGATGGAAGTTTACAATTATAATTGGAGATTTCAACACTCATCTTTCAAAAGTTGACTCAAGTAGACATAAAACTGGCAAGGATATAGAAGACTTGAACTCCATCCACCATCTTGACCTAAGTGACGTTTATGGAAACCCTACCCTGACATCAGCAGAACACTTCGTTTCAAGCACACACAGAACATTTGCCATGACAGGTCATATTTTGAGTCATAAAACAAGACTTAATAATTTAAAAGGACTTGAATCATTTGAAATATCTTCTCTGACCACAGTGGAACTAACTTACAAATCAATAGCAGCAGCAGAAAGACATCTGGAAAATCCCCAGATATTTGGAAAACAGCTAACACATTTCCACAGAACTCTTGAGTCAAAGACGAAATCAAAGGGAAAATTAGAATGTGTTTCTAACTGAACAATATATCAACATTTATGGGATGCAGCTGAAGCAGTATTTGGTGGGAGTTGTATAGCATTCAAATGCTTGTATTAGGAAAGAAGGCAGGTCTCACATCAATGAACTCAACTCCCACATCACAAAACCGGAAGAAAGAAGGGCAAATTGAACCCAATATAACTAGAAGAAACGGAATAATAAAGATAAGAGTGGAAATCAGTGAAATGGAAAACAAAAACAACAGAGAAAATGAATGAAACCCAAAGATGGTTCTTTGGAATATCAATAAAATTCATAAACCTCTAGCTGTAGTGGTCAGGAAAAAAAGAAAGAAGATGTAAAGCTTCACTATCAGGAACAAGAGACATGATACCACCACAGACTCCACAGGTGCTTCCGTGATAACAAGGGAATACTGTCAATAACCTTAGGCCAGTACATTTGACAGCTTAGATGAAATGGACAAATACGCTGAAAGACACAGACTACCAAAGCTCACGTTGGAAGAAACAGAGACCCTGAATAGCCATGCTGGTATTAGAGACATTGCATTCTTAGTTAAACACTTTTCCATAAGGCAACTTCTGGGTCCAGAGGGCTGCAATAGTGCATCATAGCAAACATCGAAGGAAGAAAGAATGCCAATTCCAGAGATACTCTTCCAGAAAATTAAAGAGGAACAAACACTTCCCAACTGTTCCCTTACTCAGTCTCTGGTGGTTCTGCCGGGCGTCGGGCTGTATGAAGGCCCAAGGGGTGAACAGATCAAAGGAAGGCACAGTGTTTGCTCTGAGTCTGCAGCCTGCCTGGGGAGTCAGGATGCTCACACGGGGCCCAGCTGCCTGGGATGTCCATGTTCAGTGCCAAATTGTGAGGTTGGGATATAAACACTGGCCCCATCCCGGCCTCTGCAATAGGTGGGGGGCATATATTATTTATTTTATTGAATTTTCACAACCACCTCGAGGTGCTGTGAAATTTTTCCCTGACTTTAAAGATGAAGAAACAGGTCCAGAGAGAGGCACAGTGACTTGCACCTTGACATGCAGCCAGAAAGCAGTGGAGCCAGGATTCCAGCCAGGTCTGTCTGACCAGCAGCACCGCTCCGGCTACTGCTGGCTGTGCAGTTAGTCCACGAGGATCTAGGGCTCCTCGGGAAGCCCATGGGAAGCCTCGCCTTGGTCTAGGATGGATGGCACAGGTGAGCCAGGGAAGGTGAGTGACCGAGTCAGAGGTAAGAACATCTGGGGTATTTTCAGAACGTTTTCCATAGGTGATGCAGCTTTGCTAAGTGCAGAGTCGGGTATAGGCTTTGGTAGCAAACGGAGTTTATCGTGGGAGGCCTGGAATGCAGGCCTCTGGGTGGTGGTTGGCGGGTCACGGGGAGCTCAGTAAGGTTCTAGAGCAGATGCTGATGTGGTTAGACTCAAAGCCTAGGACTGTGGGGGATGAGGAGTACAGGAGGGGCCGGAAGCAAGAGCTCAGCTCCTTCCGAAGGGTGCCAGTGCTCAGGGAAGAGGCTGGAAGACAGCGGGTGAGGAGTGGCTTAGGGGGCACCTGGGGGCTTGCGACTGATGGCATGGGGTGGGAGGAGGGAGGGGCTGGCAAGATGTGGCTAAGAAGTTGAGTGGGAGGGAGAAGGAGGAGGCCAGGCCCCAGGAGAGCAGGCTGTGGAGGAGCAAAAGGGCCTGGGAGGGAAGAGGGGCTCAGGCGGGATCAGGAAAGCTGAGGTTTGTGGGCACGGGGCTCCAGGTGGAGGACCCCCGGGAGATTCAGCTCTGGAAGGAGGGTGGACGGGAAGAAGGCACAGGAGAGAGACAAGATGGAAAGAGGGTGGACCAGGGACGAGCCGGGAGTCTCAAAGCCATGGGGTCAAATCAGTTAGCCTGGGGCAGACGCTAGGGCGGCCAACGCTGAGAACGTCATGTGGAGGAATGGGAGGGAAGAGGCCCTGGAAACAGCAGAGAGGGGCAGAGAGGGGGCGGTCTGGGACCGTGACGGTGACTCAGCTGCTGTTCCTGAGTCACCCACACGTGGCTCCCCCAGGGACAAAGCCGTCCGTGGGGACGAGGAGGCTGGCCAAGGGCTCCCCAAGGAGCATGGGCTGCTTAGACCTGCCTGGCTCAGAGAAGACTCAGCTGTTCTACTGTGCGATGCTCCGTCCCTTTCTTTCCTGATCTTGTTTTCCTGGAGCGAATTGCCCATCTCTCATTTGCTTATTTTCTATGTATGTCAGGTTCTCCAGTGAAACAAAACCAGGTGTGTGTGTGTCCATGTGTGTATGTGTTAGGGGGACCCACCTTCTAAGCAGTAAGAAGTCTGCATGTAACTCTGGACTCCCTTCAGACATAACCACTAATAGCCACCAGCAGACCGGAAGCCTCACCGTTAACATGCACAGTTGATGAACACATATTTTGTCTGTTACATGTATTATATTCTGTGTTCTTACAATAAAGTAAGCTGGAGAAGAGAAAATGTTAAGAAAATCAAAAAGGCCAGGCACAGTGGCTCACACCTGTAATCCCAGCACTTTGGGAGGCCGAGGCAGGTGGATGGCTTGAGCTCAGGAGTTTGAGACCACTCTGGGCAACATGGTGAAACGCCATCTCTACTAAAAATACAAAAATTGGCTGGTTGTGGTGGCATGTGCCTGCAGTCCTGGCTACTGAGGAGGCTGAGGTGGGAGGATCGTTTGAGCCTGGGAGGCGGAGGCTGCAGTGAACCAAGATTGCACCACCACACTCCAGCCTGGGTGACAGAGTGATACCTCGTCACACACACACACACAAAAAAAAAAAAAAAAAAAAAGAGCGAGAGAGAGAAAAGAAAGTCATAAGGAAGAGAAAATCTATGCCTTTGTGCTCCCGTCCTTTGTGGTGCGCGGGCTTTGCTTTGCCGGACGGGAAGTGGCCGAGCCTCGTTTATGAAAACAGTACCAGGAGAAGGCTAAACGTGGGCCCCCTGCCCAGGGCGAGGGACTCCAAGGCATCCAGATGGACTTGCTTGGCCTGAGCTTTGGGAAGTGTTCTCCTAAATGGTGCTTGGGCACCTTCCATTTTCCCTTCCATTTTTTCCCACTCTGGAACTTTCTACAAATCTTCTCCCCGGCAGCTGGGCCTCACTGTAGTGCTCGGGTCTTGCCTTTGTCTCTGCGCTTTATCTCGGTACATTTTTATTCCACTTTCTGGGACATCTTCACCTCCTCTTCCAATCTTTTTCTTTCTTGGGTTTTTAGAACTCTGAAGACGCCCAGCAAGTGGGTGGTGCGTGGAATGAAGCGGTGGCTCCCGCGTGCTTCGTGCGGGTCGGTTTCCGGGGCTCTCGCGTGCTCCGCGTTGGTCGGTTTCCGGGGCTCTCGCGTGCTCTGCGCGGGTCGGTTTCCAGGACTACCGCGTGCTCTGCGCGGGTTTCGGGGACTCTGGCGTGCTCTGCGCAGGTCGGTTTCCTGGGACTCCCGCGTGCTCTGCGTTGGTCGATTTCCGGGGCTCTCACTTGCTCCGCGTTGGTCCGTTTCCGGGGCTCTCGCTTGCTCTGCGTGGGTCGGTTTCCAGGACTCTCGCGTGCTCTGCGCGGGTGTGCGGGGCTCTCGCATGCTCTGTGTGGGTTGGTTTCCGGGACTCTCGCGTGCTCTGCGCGGGTTTCCGGGGCTCTCACGTGCTCTGTGAGTCGGTTTCCAGGACTCTCGCGTGCTCTGCGCGGGTGTGCGGGGCTCTCGCGTGCTCTGTGTGGGTTGGTTTCCAGGACTCTCGCGTGCTCTGCGCGGGTTTCCGGGGCTCTCACGTGCTCTGTGCTCTTCTCCAGGCATCTTCTTCTTGTCCCACCGTCAGGATGCCGTGTGCCTGGGAGAGAGGATTACTTTCCAGGCTGCCCCACAGAAGCGCCATTGCCACCTTCTTCTATCCTCCTCCGAAGGTTTATTTGGTCTCTGTCCTTCGGGTTGGGGGGTTTCTCCATATTAGTTTAGTTCCGGAGCTGGCTGGACCCTCTGCGGGTTCCAGGCCCGTGTTAAGGGAAGGACATCAGTGTGGGGACGGGGGGTACTGAGTGTGTCTGCATGGGGCCAAGTGCTTTCTCCAGATAAAAACCACCCTGTGCAGGCAGGCGGGACAGGTACAGTCTTTAGTCACCCCTGCCTGCCGGACGAGGCTGGAGCATTCCAGGCCTGGTTTCTCCAGATGACACAGCCAGGCCTGGCAGCCCGTCCTTCAGGCCGGGTGGTCTCCTGCTGGGACATGTGCAGGGCGGTTCCTCTGCACCCCTCCAGCAGCTGGAAGCCCATCGGCTGTCCTGGCTCTCCACTGCCCTGAGGGTGAGGGCTGAAATTCCCCACAAGCCGGAGGAGGCCCAGGGCACATGGTCTCTGGATGCGATGCCAGGTGACCTTTCTCTGCCTGGAGGCTTCTCCCCACCTCCCCCACCCCCACGCTGTCACAGGAAATGCCCTCTTCCTCCTCCTCTAGGCTCAGCAAGGATGTGGGGGTCCTGGGGCGGCCTGCCCAGCCCCTGCCCCTCCCTGTGACCTGCTCTGTTGCTGGGGCATGGGGCTGATTTGTGTATGGGGTGTGGGTTTCCCCACTGCCCTGGGAGGCCTGTCCCCTGGATGCAGTACAGGTTAATCACAACAGCTGTGGACTGAGTGAGGTGCCCGGCTGCCAGGCACTCTGGCCTTGTTTGACTCACAGACAGGCTGACACCTTGGAGGTGGGTGAACTGCTCTGGTCATACCATTCCACAGAGGGACAGACCGAGGCTCAGAGAGGTGCAGGCACTTGCTTAAGGTTGCACAGTTGGGCAGGAGCAGAGCTGAGTGGCCTACCCCCATGCCACACTCACTGCCTCTTTGCTGGGCGTTTGTCATGGGGAGGTGAGGCCTTGGCACACCTTGGGCTGGGGCGGGAACACATCCTGCCCCACCAGAGTGGGAGGCCACTCCTGGACGAAGTTCAACCCCTGGCCCTAAGTGGGATTGGGTGGACCTTGTGCAGGTGGGATGGGGGAGCCCCTCAGGGGAGAGACTCTGACATTTCTGGGAGGACACTCCAGGTGGCGGGTGCTGGGGAAGCTCGGCCGCCCGAGGAGACCTAGGGGCTTGGAGGGGTTGAATGATGGCCCTCAATGATATGAGCACATCCCCAGCCCCAGATCCTGCGGATGCGACTTTATTTGGAAAAGCCATCTCTGCAGCTGCTATAAAGTGAAGGATCTTGAGGTAAGGCCATCGTGGATGGGCCCGAAATCCAGGGACATGTTCCTTATCAGAAACGAGGGGAGACGCACACAGGGACGGAGGCCATGTGGAGACAGCGACAGAAGCTGGAAGAGGCAGGAAGAGGAAGGAGCCTCCCGCGGAGCCCCCAGGGGCAGCACCGTCAGGCCGACACCTTGATCTGGGACTTCGGCCTCCAGAACAGGGAGAGAAAACATTCCTGTTGTTTGAGTTCCCAGTTTGTGGGTCTTCGTTAAGGCAGCTCCGGGACTGGGATCGAGGGTCAGCCCAGGCTGGGTGGGATGCCCCAGGATGGGCCAGGCCAAGCTGGTGGGCATCCTGTGCCCTGTGGAGTCCGACCAGGTGCCTCTCTGTGATATTCTGGATGCTCCTCTGGGGTTGATTTCCCAGATACTCTCTCCCACCCTCTAGAGGGTCCTCGCTGAAGCTGCCTCTGTTGCTGCCACGCTTGTGCTGGGCCTGGGGGGTGCTGGGATGGAGTGGGAAGGACGGTGCAGGCTCCCCACGTCAGAACCCTTCCTTGGTTCAGAGTAAGGTCTTGAAGGGTTGGGGCAGCAGCATTTCCTGAAGCCTCAGGCAAAAAAGGTGAGCTTTCTAGGGCAGGAAACTTCCAGAAGTTTCTGAGGTGCCTCCACTGAGCAGGAGATGGATCAGGCCCTTTGGACTGTGAGCCAGAGCTTTCCTCTCCACAGAGAGTGAGGGGCTCCTGGGAACTCCATGCCCGCATTCTCCAAGGGTGTGTCCTTCCCTGGGAGTCCTGGGGTCTGTGGCAGTGGCGGGGGTGGGTAGGATGAATGAATGTGTGGCGGGTGCAGCTGGGTGTGAATGGTGGGCGCCAGTGGGAATGAATGAATGAATGTGTGGCGGGTGCGGTGGGATGAATGAATGTGTGGCAGGCGCCAGCGGGAAGGAATGAATGTGTGGCAGGCGCCAGCGGGAAGGAATGAATGTGTGATGGGCGCTGGTGGGAATGAATGAATGAATATGTGATGGGCATGGGTGGGAGTGAATGAATGTGTGGTGGGCGCGGGTGGGAGTGAATGAATGGTGGGCGCTGGTGGGAATGAACGAATGAATGTGTGGCAGGCTCGGGGGGAAGGGATGAATGTGGTGGGCGGGGGAGGGAAGGAATGGATGTGTGATGGGTGCAGGTGGAAATGAATGAATGAATGTGTGGCAGGCGTGGGTAGGAATGAATGAATGTCCACATGGGGCAGCCCTGCCCTGCCCACCTCGCCCTGGCCGAGGATCCCTGCCCTGTGCGGGGCCCTCACTTTCTGGTGTGTAAACCTGGTCAGCCTGGACCTGAGAAGCCCCGGAAGTTTCCTCAGCAACCCCTTGTCCCTGCCTGGCCTTTAAGCTCCTTGGTTTGCCGTCGGGGAGCCAGCGCCAGCCGCCTACGCCCGCCTCTCCCCGCACATAGAGAAGCACGTCCCCGCGTCCCTGTCCAGCTGGTCCCTGAGGACAGCATCAGGCGCAGCCCTTCACTCGGGTGTGGCTGAGGATGGCGCCGCCAGGAGATGACTCACCCCATCAAATGTGCGGCATTTGTCATTTTTCTCACCAGTTGCTATTTTTAAAACTCTGTCCTTTGGTTTCTGTAGTAATTTTGAGCCTCTTTTTAATAGAACTTCCAATGCTTTTGTGAATCTTACACTCGTTGAAAATGATGGGGTTAAAAATGTTTGTTAAACCCAAAACTAAATGCAGACCGACTTCCAGAGCAGACGTCAGGTGCAGGGCCTGGGGTCTGTTGGTGGTTTGCCTGCCTGCCAGGGCCGCCTGTGGTGGGAACAGGGTCACTGCCCTACGGCCAGGACAGACAACTGTGTGCACTGCCCTGGCCAGCACCCAGCGCCCTCTCCCACCCCTGCTCTCCCCAGAACCTGGGCCTGACAGGAACAGGGCGCCGACTAAGATATTTTGCAGCATGGGGCTCCACAGAGAGCCTGGGACCTAGGTTCCCACTGACAGGAGAAGGGGAATTGGGGTCTTGGAGCGAGGACAGGCTGCTTGTGCTCTGCCCCGGCACCTGGCTCGGTCTATGGTGCAGACGCCTCTGCCAGTGTGCAGGCTCTGAACCCCGTGTTCACAGCCGCCCTTCTGGAATGCCAAGGCGCTGCCTATCAGATGCCTGGCCGGCTGGAGCCCCACAGTGCTGGGACGCTGGAGTTTGGTGAGCCCCTCAGTGTACCAGGTGCCAGCCCCTTTACTTCACGATTCTCACAGCAGTCCTGTGGCAGTGACATAATTCTCATCACATCACATGATTTATTGGGGTTTCCTCAGGACAGAGGGTGGGGAGCAGGACCGGGTGGGTGAAGGGGCTGAGCAGGGAGGTGACCTCAGCTCGAGTTGCACCGTGGTCTGGTCCCCCACAGGTGCTCCGGAGTGGGAGCTGCACCCTGGGGTGGGCCTGCCCTGAGGCCAGGGGACGCCTTCTGTGCCTCCACGTGGTCAGTCACTGGCGAGGCCTTCACTGGTGGGAGGACAGCTCCCCAGGAGCAGCAGCTCCCTGTGGCCAGACTCAGCTATCTGGGGAATGGAGTGGCTGCAAGCTGTCAGACCTCACTCCCAGGAGCTGGCGACGGTGCAGCCGCCAGTGCTGGGGACCAGGTGGGGACCCCCGGTGTCTATGCCATCATGTAGACAAAATGCTGATTCAAATTTGAAAAACACGTTTTCCATGATAAAAATGCACATGCTTTGCTACGGGCTGTTTCTGTCCCCCAAGCTCAGATGTTGAAATCCTAGTCCCCAGGCTGATGATGCTAGGAGGAGGGGAGGTGAATACTCGTCCCCAGGCTGATGATACTAGGAGGAGGGGAGGTGAATCCTCATCCTCAGGCTGGTGATACTAGGAGGAGGGGAGGTGAATCCTCATCCCCAGGCTGATGATACTAGGAGGAGGGGAGGTGAATACTCGTCCCCAGGCTGGTGATGCTAGGAGGAGGGAAGGTGAATCCTCGTCCTCAGGCTGGTGATACTAGGAGGAGGGGAGGTGAATCCTCATCCCCAGGCTGGTGATACTAGGAGGAGGGGAGGTGAAACCTCATCCCCAGGCTGATGATGCTAGGACAAGGGGAGGTGATTAGGTCATGAATGGAATTAGTTTCCTTATGAAAGAGGCCAGGGAGAGACCCCTCACCCCCTCTGCCACATGCCACCCAGCAAAAAGACAGACGGCTGTCCAATGGGGAGGTGGCTTCACCAGACACCAAATCTGCAGGCACCTTAATCTTGGACTTCCAGCCTCCAGAACTGAGAGAAATAGATTCCTGTTGTTTATAAGCCACCCAGTCTATGGTATTTTGTTACAGAAAGCTGAACGGAGTGAGACATGCCCTGTAGAAAATGAAGAATCTGCAGAAAATTATAAGAAAGAAGGAAAAGCAAAATGGCACAGACCCTCCACTTAGGAATCGTTGACTCCAGCAGACATTAGCACAGCCTTTTACTCTCTCCATATGTTTCACACTCAGCTGCGTACTACGGAGGCCGTTGTGCATATGGCGACTGTAAGGCATCATTGGGAATATCATGAGGTGACATGACGTAGAGTTTGACGAATGGGGTGACAGACCCTATCTGTCACCGGGAGGCTTATTGGTCTTCTGGTGCAGAAACAAGCCCCTGACTCATGTCATTAAATGTAAGTTACGGCCACAAGCATGTGGAAAATCATCGCTCAAGCACCTTGGCAATAACAGTGGCATGGTGTGGCTTCACGAGTCTTTTTAAGGGGAAAAAGAAGTGTTTCGTTCAGTAATTGCTCCTGGATGGGGGCCCAGCCTGCAACAGCTTGGCATGTGGAAGGCTCTGGTGCCAGGTACAATGCTGAAGAATCAGATGCGGAAAGAGAGTCTCTCTGAACCGCAAAGCCAAATATTAGGTTGAACCCTATAGAATTTTAACCTACAAAATGGACAATTTAATATCGTTTCACTGATTGGTCCAAAGCACATTTTGTAGAATCAAGGAAGGAACCAAGCCCAAGAAAAGCAGGGCGGGGAAGTCATGGGGGCAGAACTCCCCACCACACCCCATCCTTCTTGCCCCTACCCTGCACCAGCGATGGCCTGATTCTTGAGTCTGGGGTCCCAGTAACTTCCCTAGTCTTGAATTCTTAGCTTTGATTCATCCCTCAGGGTTTGGGGCTCATGTTCAAGTCAGCTTTTCAAAGTTGTTCCTGAGGATAGCATTGTCTGCCCATTGATTTGAGAAGGCCCTTCTGCGACCTTCAGGAACGGGAAAGGTGGCCTGGCACCAACATGTTCCTTCCGGGCGTGGAGGCCAGGGTGCTGCTGCATCACCGGGCTCACAAACTCAGCCGGAGCTGCGTGAGGCCTGGTCCTCTGAAGTGCACTTCTTCAAGTTACTGGGAACTTGGTTTGTCCCCAAACCACCCCCGACCCCGCCCGCCTCCGCAGCTCAGGAAAGTTCAGCGCTTCCTCCTCCTCCTCACCTGCTCCCCACCCTGCCTCTCTTTCCTCTGGGGAGCACCTGCTGCCCAGCTCCCTGCCCCTTCCTGCCATGCCCGGGCTCCCTCCTTCCCCGCTTCATTCTCCGCGTCACATATTTTGTCTTCTTCAGCATCAGTTCTGTATGTTTCTGTTCCCAGGCAGTTTTGATCCACGCGTGGTTTTATTTCGTTGCCATCATTCCATTCTCCAGTTCCCGCTGTCTTTCTCATCAGCCTGGCTTGCCCATGGTGGGCATGCGACAGTTGCTAAAAATACCCTTCGGGCGGGCGGCTGGAGAAATCATTTTCATGGGGCACCCTCCCTCCCAGCCTTATGAGATGCGGTTGTGTTTGATTCGTCCTGCCGCAATTTTCCAAGGCCCCGGTTGCTGGGCTTCCTCTTCCTCATCCTCAGGTGAGAAAGGGTCCACCCACTCAGGTTTCACCCACACTCGGGATGAGTGGATGGCCCTCAGCCCAAGCGGCCGGGCCCCGGGCTGACAGTCTAACCCCTTCCTCAGACTCCGCAGGGGTGGCCTGGCGTGCACAGCTCCTGGGAGACACATTTCTGGTTTGTCTCTTTCCGGCAGCCCTGTTTCCCGACCCACTGAATGGATGAAGTGTCAGACAAAACGCCTGCTGTATACCCAGTGTGAACAGGGCCGTGGTCCAGGGCAGGATGCTGCCTTCTGAATGCAGGGCTCACCTCCAGCTCAACTGTCCCCACTCCCGGTGGGTTTTGAAGACTGATGAGTGGGAAGAGAAGGCAGTGTCAGTGCATAGGAGGCAGACCCCGTCTTCTGGTGGGGAAAAAAGCATTTTTCTATTTTGGGACGTGAGAGAGGAGATGAAGCACCTCCTTCCCTGTGTTCATCCTGGCGGGCTGGCTTCATCTCTCTACCTCACTGCGTTTGGAATCACTTTGTAGGCGACACACACTCATACCTGTCCTAGCTTCCAATGCTCTGTGAGCCTTGTTCTCTTATAAGCCCTGAGATGGGGAACCGTGGACCAGGGGCTGTTTTAAAGCAACAGTCCCACGATTGTTCCAATTTTTCCCACACATGAGACTCTGCACCTCTCATTTAAAATGTCAGTTTTTGAGGGGCGGAAGTGACGCCTCACATTTTCTCTGCACCCCCGTCAAGTCTGAAATCGTGCCGGATGCAGAGGAGACACTCAGCTCAGAGTGGCTGCTCTGGTTTAGGGCTGAGGGCTCAGAAGCTCCTGGGTTTAGAGTCAGCAGAGGAATCTGTGCTGTGAGAAGTCGACGCATCTCGGTCAGCGTGGGTGGCACAGTGCACGCCTGATCGCGTGTTCTTTTGTTTTAAAATTCTACCGCACTGTCATAAAACACTTCCTGCATCGAGGCGGAGCTCACCTCCATCAGGCTGCAGTTTCCTCATCTGTAAAATGGGAGTAATATACCCACTGTTATGGGCGTTTTTGGGGGGATCTTGAGGACTGAGTCAGGTGATGCTGGGGAATGGAGTGCCCAGGGCCTGGCCCCTCGGGAGCTGGGGTTTGTTCATTTGTTTCCTTTGTTAGGTGGGAAGGCAGCGTGGACCTGCCTGGCTCCCAGGGGCACCTGCTTTCCAAGGCGTGGATGCTCTGGGATGAGGCCTCCTCCCACTCTGCCCATTCTGTCTGTGACACTGGCCCTCTGGGTTTGCTTTCAGGTCCCCAGATGTGCAGCTTCTGTCTCCTCTGGGCTTTTGGATGTGGTTTTTGCCAGAGTGGCCCCTTACTCCGACCTGGGACTGGCACTCACTCCTTCCTGGGAGCCCGCCCCGCTCTTGGTTCCTCTTCTGTGCCCTCCCAGGACACCCTCACTCTTTGCTGCTCTCTCTCCCCTCTGGGCATCCTAATTGCCACTTTCCAGGCTGCCTCTCCCCTCAGACCATAAGTCTCGAAAGCAGGGACAGCGTCTCTCATTCACAGTACGGGCGGGTGACGATGGATGCATTCTTAAAAATGTAATTGATAACATGACATAAAACTTAGCATTTTAACCATTTCACATGCACAGTTCGGTGTCACTAAGCACATTCACAATGCTGCGCAGCCCTCAGTACCCTCCACCCGTGGAGCCTTTCTTCTCAGACTGAAGCCCTGTCCCCTTTAAACGCCAACCGCTCCCCTTCCCGCAGCCCCTGGCACCTGCCCTTCTCTCTGTCTCTATGAGTTTGACTCTAGGGACCTCGTACGATAGACTCCTACAGGATTTGTCCTTTTGTGACCGGCTTATTCCACTGAGCACAACGCCCTCAAGGTGCTCCCTGTCATGGTGTGCCGGCCGTTCCTTCCATTTTAAGGTTGAATACTGTAACAAATATATTTCACATAGAGCAAATGTTTGCACGTAGCTCCTCTGAGATGGGGTCCCGTGGTTTCTGTTTGGACCTTTCCAGGGACAAGGAACTCCCACATGGGGTGGCCACTTCCTTACGGGGCAGGTCTGATAGCTAGACTGTTACTTATTTGTACAGAGCTGGTCCTGGCTCTGCACTCCGGCATCCCTGCGTGCAGACAGGGAGAGGTCTGGCATCTGCTGCTGTATGGCCGGCGTCTCTCACATGGCCTCAGACCCCAGGAGCTCTGGAAGTGGCCTCTTTCTGCCTCCAAGATGGATGGAAGACGTGGCTCGGCCCGGCCTCACCTTCTGACCTGTCCCCTCTGCCAGCCCACCCAACCCAAATGCTCTGAAGGAACTGTACTCGGTAGCCCTCCATGGGGAGCCGCCCAGCACATTGTGGAGGGGCCTGGAGTGCTGGGGCTGCCTTTCCTGGCAGTGCCAGCAGCCAGCAGTTTTTTTTTATCTCAAAGCAGAGGTGTGTGGTGTTTTCCTGCTGCCCACCTTTCCAGGTGGAGAAAGAAATGGGTCCTGGCTCCAGGAAGGGGGGAAACCATGTCCCTGTACCGTGCCTCAGTTTCCCCATCTGTACACTGTGGAATGGCAGTGCGTGGGCAGGGCAGGCAGAGGGGCCGCCCCACAGTGCCAGCCTGTGTGCACCAGCTCTGTTGTCACGGCTGCCCAGCGCCCGGAGCTTAGTGAGGTTAGAGCTTTTCATCGTTCTCCTTCCCCTACAAACCTACAAACTCAAAAGTTAATATAGTAGCGTGTCTTTGCTCTTTTAAACCAATGACGTAAGTCACTTCACCAGTTTGCTTTACACCGGTTAATCAATTACTGAACAGTTGCAGTATCCTCCTCTCTTTTGCTGTTAGCTGGTGCTAACTGAAGTAAAAGCGAGTGTCATCTCTCCGGCCCTCACCGCTGCCTTCACCACCATTTACCCACGCGGATGTTGAGCTTCCCGCCAGGGCTCAGGGAGCTCACAGTGGGAAGCAGAGGGCTTGAGAAGGGGTGGCTCTGCCTGACACTCCCCGGCTCCCAGCTGGGCCCACTTCCAGGTAGTGGGTTGGGGCAGGACCCGCAGGGCACAGTGCTTCCCCTGCCCTTCCCCACGGGGTTGGAGGCTCTGGAGGCAGCACCCTCCCTGGGGAATCCTGGGGATTCAGGAACATCCCGAAGGTGCTCATTTTCATCCGTGGTTAAATGCTGAGTTTGTCTTGGCTGCTGGGTTGAGCCCTGGAGCCACATCCTGGCCGGAGCAGCTCTCCCGTCTATAGGTCCTGGCCCACCTTGCCCCTTGTGCTTCTGCACTGGCGCCCCTTGTGCTTCTGCACTGGCACCCCTTGAGAGGGCAGCTTGGGCAAAAGAAAGGCTTGCTTTTGAGTAAATTGGTGGCAGACCCCTCTCAGCGAACTTCAGCCCACTTGCTTTTGGAAAATGACTCTGCGTGTTATTATGTTTTGCAAGACATCAAAGGATGTGGAAAATCCATTATAAATACCAGGGTATGTTGCTCGCCCGAAGGGCCAGGGTTACTGAGGTGGGGGCGGGGGTGGAGCCTTGGGTTTCCATTCAGTTCCTTCTGCTCTCCTTCCCCTCCGTGGCCCCAAGCAGGGACCTCTCCTCCCTGGGGCTTGACCCAGTGGCTGGAGGGAGGGAGGGGCCTGTCTGAATTCACCCTCTGCACTGCTGCACCTGGAGCTGCTGCTGCGCCCAGGGTTCTTGGGTGCACCGGTAAAGGCGAGCAGCTGGTGGGTCAGAGGGAGGAGGCAAAGGGAAATGAAATGCTCCAAGCCCTCTCAAGGCAGAGATTGGCATCTTCCAGCATTGAAGAGGCACTGTTGGGCGGGTGAGGCCTTCGGGAGGAAACAAACGCGGTACGCCAGGGAGTGGGGGCTGTCGGCTGCCGGGAACAAGGCTGCATGGTGTGTGCGTGTGTGTGCATGTGTGCGTGTGTGTGCATGTGTGTGCTTGTACGCGTGTGCGTGTGTGCATGTGTGTGCTTATGTGCATGTGCGTGTGTGCACTTGTGTGCTTGTGCTTGAGTGCGTGTGCACTCACTGCAGGTCATGGGGGCAGACCTGGGAGGGGGAGTCTGGGCTCCAGGGCCAGCTCTGTGACTTTTAGTCAACAGCTCCTCCTCTTTAAGCCTCAGTTTCCCCTCTGTGCACAGAGGCCCTGGGCTGCAGCCCTGAGCACTGCCCTCTCCCGTGGGCTCCCCAGGTGTGTAGAACAGTTTGCAGAGTGCTGGCCTGGGTCCCAGGGCCCGTCTGTCTCCCGCTTGTTGGTAAGAATCCCTGAAGAATTCTGTGCAGAATCCCTCGTTTCCTCCAGCAGGTATCTGACAGGCACCACAACCTGAGCATGTGTAGATGGACGCTGGTTTCTTCTGCTCTCTGCCTCATCTCAGGTCCGGCCCTGCCACCTGTCCAGGGGCTTAGCCCAGAACCCCAGAATCTGCTTTGATGCCCCCGGGTCTGCAGGCAGACTTTGCTCTCGAAGGCACCTGAGTCTCACCTCCTTGGCCGTCAGCTTGGCACAAGTTACCCTGGCTGCTCCCCAGACTGTTCCCATGGCCTGGCCCTGGCCGGGGACTCCCACTCTGCTTGCGGTCCTGAAGACAGCCAGAGAGGCCTTTGAGAGTGGAAGGCAGACACCATATGCCACCGCCCCCAGCTGACACTCATAGGGGCTGCCCCTCATGCTCTGGATAAAACTCCGACTGGCTACTGTGCCTCTTTGGGTCTCCCCGGCCCAGGCCTGGCCAGGGGTTCCAGCCTTCACCAGGGGAAGGAGCATCTGTGAGTCCAGGGAGTGTGCCTGGCCCAATGCCTCTGCCCAGGGCCTTTGTGCCTGCCGTCCCCTCCCCAATTCCACGCCTCCTGTTGCCCTCCGCAGAGGCACCTCTCCCGTGACCTCCAAGCACACCACCCACTAAATCTCCGCCCTTCCTCTGCCTGCCTGCCCTCCCAGCACAGCCACTCTGTCCGCTCAGGCTCCTGAGCTGCTTACTTGTTCACCTGTCTTCTGCTGGAGACCAGGGAGCCCTCCCCTCGCTGGCTGTGGGGTCTGGGAACAAAGCAGTCTTAATAAATACTTCTCGAAAGAATGGAGTATGTGGTTGAATAAATAAGTCCCAGACAGGAGTTCCTTCTAAAATGGTCTAGTTCAGGCTTCTCAGTTGCAGGTGGGGAAACTGAGGCCCTGAGCGGGCGGAGGTGGAGGGAAGTTGAGTGGCCCTGCCTGCATCTCCCACCAGCGCTACCTCGCATCCTCCTACAGCATGCGAGCAGGGTTATTACTCCCATTTTCTCAGGAGGAAACCGAGGCCCCAGCATGGCATCTGTCCTCGGCCACCTCTGGCAGCTCCAAGGTGCTCTTTGCTGCCCATAGCGGTGAGCAGGTCGGCCGCAGGCAATTCCAGGCCACTGGGAGGGGTGGACCTGGCCAGACCCAGCCTCCAGGGAAAATGAAGGTTCCAGCAGGTCCCGGCAGGTTCTGGCAGGTTCTGCAGTCCCTCCTTGACTGAGGCTCCTCTGTCCACGTGCCGGTCCTGGCTGCCCACCTGTGCAGAACCTGGCACGGCCAAGACTTCGTCCTCTGCGGTTCTGGAACATCTGCTTCCCGTCTGGTCATTTCTGCGGCTCTGGGCAGTTCTCTGGTGCCCTGAGAGCTCTTCCCTGGCTAAGGTACCGGTAAACAGTCAGGGGATCCTGAAAGCTCAGGCCCCTCCCCAGGCCAGGTCCCGGGAGGAGAGGCCCCACCCGCGTGGCCGCAGCGTCTGGGAAGGCAGCGTGAAAGCATGTGCACCGCTAGGCTCGGGAGCCCATTGCTCCCCAAGAGCTTTGCCCCTGGAGACCCTGATTTCAGCCCACAAGAAGAGTGTGGGGCGTGGTGCATGGGTGCTGGGCATGAAGCCTGCCCCTGCCCCGCGTTTGTATTCGGTGGTGACCGTGGGTGGTTGCTCACTGCTTCTGGCCCTGGGTCTTGAGGTCTGTGGAGTAGGGTAATGCCACACCCCACGAGGGTCCTGTGAGGACACAGGCCTGCCCCACCCCTTCCTCTCTGTGACCCCACCACTCACCTAAGTCTCACCCTCACTTTGGCCCCTCTGACATATGCGGCACTGGCGGCATGGTCTTCCTCAAACCCAAGTCTGATGACCCTTCCATTCCAGGATGGTGGGGGCAGGATGGCTCCATCTACCGGGGGACACTTGCCCACCAATAGCTGCCCTGCTTCCTTCTCTGTGATGGGCACCCAGGGCCAGGGCCCAAGTGACCCGTTCTTCTGTGGAGATGCTGGGTGGCACGTGATCCCTTCTGCTGGCTCTGGTGTCTTCATGACCAGCTTCTCTGAGTCGGGAGACACTCAGCCTTTCACAATGTGCCACGGCAGCCGGTGCCTGGGGCAACTGGACTTGTGGCCCCTCAGAGTCTGGCTGCCCTGCGGTTGCTGGGGCTCTTCTTGTCCTCCTTGAACCCTCACCTGTCCACCCTGTCACCAAGTCTGTCCCCACTACCTCCTGAAGACAGAAGGGTCCAAATGGATCCCTTCCCCCAGCTGGATAAGGAGCCCGGTTCTGGGCAGCACCGGAAGGAGGCCAAGGGTCTTCAGTCACCTGGAGCTGATCTTCCCTCCCTCCCCCAGGGCTGTCCCCCTCCCTCCCCCGGGGCTGATCCTCCCTCCCCAGGGTTGTCCCCCTCCCTCCCCTGAGGCTGATCCTCCCTCCCCCAGGGCTGATCCTCCCTCCCCTAAGGCTGATCCTCCCTCCCCTAAGGCTGATCCTCCCTCCCCCGGGGCTGATCCTCCCTCCCCAGGGTTGTCCCCCTCCCTCCCCTGAGGCTGATCCTCCCTTGTTGCACTTGTTCAGAGAAAAACTTCAGGCAAATTAAAGCTGATTGAGGAGGGAACGATTCTCAGCTGGGCAGCCCCTGGGGGCGGAATAGGTTCTGAGAGACTCCAGGGTGGCCCCGCGGTTGGATAGCATTTGCCCACAGAGATGGAGGTGACGTCCAGAAACAGCCGGCTTGGTTGCTGCAGGAGTGGGTCACGTCTGTACACCTGCAGTTAGGTACAGTTCACTACAGACCTAGAAACCTTTAGGCGGAACTCACAATACAGAAGGAGGCAGCTTTCTGCTAAGCTGAATGTAACACATTTATGATTGTTACCACAGAGCACCCATGCTCCTGACCCTGTGCCAGCATTTTATGTGAGAAAGAAAAGAAACTTTTAATCTGAGGAATGTGAGCTCCGTTAAATTATCAGGCCCAGAGAGGCATTAAAATGTGACAGCAGCCACGTCCCACTCCCCCTCGAGCTAGAGAACGACCTCTTGAATCTGCCAGCTGTATGGGCTCTAGGCTGACACCGGGTAGCCATAAAGTGCCTCCTGCTGGACCCTGTAACTCATCCTCTAGAATCAATGGTGACGGCCAATCACCGATCCATGCTGTCTCTTAAACCAATGAGAACTCCTGTCAGAGGACTTTGTATCCGCCCACTCCTTACCTGCTTTGCCTTTAAAACCTGCTTGTAACAAAGGCCGAGGTAGCACCCCCAATGTCCCAGCCACCGTCCTCAACCTTGACCCAAATAAACTCTCTCTGTTCATTGTGCCTCAGTTTCTTTCTTGTGATTGACAGTGGTCATTATCACAGAAGTCCTCACTCGATGTAGGGGCTACCAAAACCACATCCCTGCCGAGACCGTGAGCCCTGGGGCGCAGGCATCCTGCCCGTCACAGCCCACAGGTCCCTATTCTTTAAAATCGCCCATCCGTGCTTTCTGTCACTTACTCATTCACACCGCGATATTCATGGGGCACAGGTGTGCTGTGTCCCGCTCCAGGGTCTGGGGTTGTGACAACAATAAGGAAGATGAAACCGCAGTGCTGTGGACTCAGCATCGTTGGCGGGACCCCCAGGGCTTCCCTCATCCCTTCTGTGGGTCTGGCGCGTGGCAGGTGCATGTGTGCTGGTGGCCTATGCACTGTGAGCTGTGGCAGGACACCCTGCAGGGAGGGCCTGGCTCCTGGCCCAGGCCTGAGCCCCAGAGCCCCCTAGAAGGATGATCTCAAACTTCAGATGCTCAGGGCTGGCCAGGCCACACCTTTGTGTCTATGGATCTGTTTCCTCTTCATTTATTGCAAAAAAAAGGAAAAAATGCGAAGCCGAGGAATCCACTCCCCGCTCTGCCCAGAGGAAAGAAGACACAAAACAAAAGGCAGGAAAGCCTGCAGGTCGGGAGAGAAATGGCACCGAGTGTGGCCAATCAGCTTCCAGACAGTCTAAGGCCTCAGTGCTTCATAAAAATAAATTGGCTGTGCGTACTTGAAACAGGAGGTTTATGACACCCGGAAGCCAGTGCACTCTTTTTTCATGCAAATAAGGATGTCAAGTCTGCCTGTGCCCGGGGATGTGGGCTCCCTCCCTCCCCTGGTCCCCCTCTTCCCTCTCCCGCTCCCCCTCTCTGCACAGGTGCCTAATGGTAATATCTGGTGTTTACTGAGCACCTAAGTGGAGGCCCTGTGCTAAGGTGCTAAGGACTTTGCATGTTCTCAATCAATCCCCTCAGCAACTCCATGAGGATGGATACAACTATTCTCGTGCCATTTTACAGATCAGCGAAGTGAGGGCCCAAGGGGCAGAAGCACGGCCAGGAAGCAACGCGCCAACTCCAAGCCCAGGCGCTGGCTGGGGTCTGAGTGAGGAGGGGTCCGGCTCCCTCTCCCACCTCTCATGGGGGCTGCCTGGGGTGGGGGAAAGGCAGGGGCTTCACCCTCTGCCTGCAGGTCCACATTCAGGTGACCCTTGTCGCCTACCCACTGACTCCCTTTCTCTGGTTTTTCAAACATGAATACACACCATGCTGATGACAAACCCAGCCCCTGACACTTTGGTGAGAATAAGCTCGTTTTTCTTCCTAAGAGGAGACGACTGGAGGAAAATGTTGGCGTCTCCGTCGCTGACCCTCCGTCTCGCTGGTGGAGGATGTGAGGCTGGAAGAGGGAGAGGAAGTCGCCCCTAAACCAGGGATCTCTGACATGGCTTTGGGGATTTGTCCTGGCTTCTTCAAGTGTTTTTCCAAAATACTTAAAAATAACATTCTCTTAACTCAATGTAACTACGAAGTATGTGCGCCCTGGCCCTCTCGGGGAGTGCGTCATGAATTCCCCAGTGGTGAGGAGGTGTCAGAGCTCAGAACACACAGCGGCCGGGCCCCACAGGAGGCTGCCAACCCTGCACCAGAAAACAATCCCATGACATCCCTAGGGTGCAATGCCTTGCAATGCCTCACGCCTGGAGCACCCCCCCGCCCGCACACATACACAGCACCCCCTCTTCAGTCTCACACCAAGGCCTGGAGCGCCGAGCTCTGAGCCACGCCTTCCTCCACCGAGGAGCCGGCTGGGCGTCCTGGAACCCTGGCTCAGGCTTCTCCTGGCACAGCCCGTCTCCACCCGGCTGGGCCTGGCAGAGGGGCCCAGGGAGACCTGTCTCTGGTCCCCACTCCCCTGTGTGCTTCCTCTCTGACCCTCCTGGTGCCTCCCCTCCCCTGTGCCTGGCAGCCTCTCCCAGGGTCGCAGTGCCTGGGGCCTTCACTGTGGGACCAGCCTTGCTTTAGTCACTCTCGGCCGTCTTTCCTCTCCCTGGGCTCAGATTTCCTTGGGAGCTTCTCTAGCATTTTATTTTACCTTGCAGTTGTGTTTGCTTTCAGCAGGCTGCTTGTCCCTGTTTCAAAACAAGGAGGATACAAACCCCACAATCCAACCCGCTGGCACCCCGGCCAGCTCTCAGCAGCCCCAGGAAGCCCCGGGCTCCCTGCCAGGCTGGGGCTTTCTCCTGGCGTCTGCCCAACCTCACACGGCATGAGGCACCCTGGTCTCCAGCCCCCGGTCCCCTTCCCTTCCCCTAAAGGCTGTTCTGTTCCATCCTGCCCTGCTCCAGGCTCCAGCAGAGTTGCACACTTTGACATACACGACATGGGGGCCGCTAGACACACGGTGTCTGCAGATCTGACATCTCCCCACACACCCGCCCTCCAGCCTCGGGGACGTGGTCTCTCCTGCTGGGCCCTTCTGGTCTCTTCTGCTAACGGCCCCCAAGTCTGTCCTGGACCTTCTGTCCCTGTCCCCAGCCTTCCCTCCTCTCCTTTGTCTCTCTGCCCTGGCCCACAAGCTCCCTGAGTCCCCAGCCAGAAAGGGCTCTGGAGGATGTGCTGCTGCCAGAAAAGTGGGTCCCGATCCAGACCCCAACACGGGTTCTTAGATCTCACTCAGGAAAGAATTCAAGCGAGTCACAGAGCTCTGCGAAAGAGGCAAGTTGATTCGAAATGACTTCATTACAGAGTAGGGCGTCCTCCAAAAGCGGGAGGATGAAGGCAGCATCCTCCACTGGTGCTGCCATTTCGTAAGAAACCATCAGGAGCTCTAACTGAGCCTGGAACGTGCAGATGCTCTCACTCAACCGAGGACTGTCAGTGACCGTGCATCCTCCAGCCTCAGCCGCTAACTGTCCTCATCCCTGAGCACAGTGGCCTGCACTCTCAGGACATCTGGATGTCCTGCAGGCTTGCCAGGAGATGTCCTGTATGGCCATAAATATTCTGCAATTATCACTGGTGGTCAGCTTAGGATGTGGCTATTTTCAGAACACAAGCATTACCTTACAGGTGCCTTGTGAGTGCCTAGTTACACACTTCAAGATGGAGTCATTCTGGTCACGTTTTATTAAACCAGGGACCTGGTGAGCAGGGGTCCCACACCTCTCCCTGCTCCCTCTGAACGCCCCCCACCACACACTTGCTGCAGGGGCCACCTCTCTCCTGGACTCCAGCCCCTGCTATCTGCCTCTGCACCGACAGGCACATGCCCACCCACCTGACTGGATAGCATGGACCTCCCCGCTGGGACACGCAGCCACTCCCTTGGAGTCTGCAGCCAGCTCTCTGGGCTCACCTCCTCCCTTTGATCCCCCACAGGCCCTTCCAAAAACTCCCAGGTCCCCAGTGGCTTCCCTGACCAATGAGGGGAGGGGGCGCTTGTCTGGGGAGGGCTATCCGGTGCTTTCTCACCAAGATGGCTCTGCCTGGCCTCTCCCGGCAGTGCAGAGCCTGGTGTCACTGGCAACTGGGCACACACCTGTCCCCGGATGTTTCAGGTCTCGGTGTTCCCCATGGATATGTAGCGCTGTCCCCCTACGTAGTCTCACCCTGCACATTTTTCCTTCATTTTCGGCCCTTGGTCCAACCCTGATTTCTTTGGGGCTCCCCATGTCCAGTGGTTGCGGGTGACATTCCTCTGGACTGTAACCCACACCAGGCAGCTTATCCCAGATGAGAGACAGGCAAGCTTTGGGCAGAGCCTGGAGGGGATCTGCGGAACCGCCCATCGTCTGTGACAGACCAGGGGCTGGGGCTGGGGACCTGGGAGCCTCCGAACCTCTTGCGGGTCACGGAAGGAACTTGAATGCGACCTGCCTGCACGGAGGGGTGGGGTGGGTCCAAAATCACCTCCCTGAGGACAGGAATCCTGGTCACGGTTCAGCGGCCCTGTGGGGTTGCTTGTATCAGGGGCTGGTGTCTGCCCTGTCATTCACGTAATCCCCTACGGTCTTCCCAGGGGGTGGGGTCAGGATCCCCCGGTAGACAGGCACGAGATGCAGACAGCTGTGCTGTGAGTGTCTGAACACACAAGCGGACAACCGCCCAGCCATCCTGAAATGCAGAGCTCAGACCACACCTGCAGCTGCTGGCCCAGGGAACCAAGCCCAGCCTCGGCACCCAGCCGAGAAGCCAGCTGCATGGCAGACTTGCAGGGAGGCGACTGCTCTCCCTCGACAACCAGGAGGCTAAACAGCAGCTCTAACAGTCGGCCCTTCATGGCCAGGGCTTGTGTGTGATGTGTATGGTGTGTGTGATGTGTATGGTGTGTGTGTTGTGTAGTGTGCTGTGTAGTGTGTGTGTGCTGTATAGTGTGTGTTGTGTGTGCTGTGTGTGTGTGTGTGTGATGTGTGGTGTGTATGTGTGTGTGGTGTGCGTGTGTGTGTGTTGTGTGTGTTTGTGTGTGGTGACCCTGACCCTGACCCTAACCTTGTCACTGTGGCAGGAGGTGAGAGGGCCCTGAGGCAGCTGGGGGCCCTGGGGTGAAAGGAAGGGGTGGTAGAGTGAGGGAGTGCTCAGGGCTCCCCAGGGAAACGCTGTCTCAGGGAGGCAGAGGTGGAAGAAAACACCCTTGCGTGTGTCAGAAGCAGCCACACAGTTAGAACTCTGACGGGGACACCTGGGTTGTGGCCCTTCTCCTGCCCAGCCTTCCACAGTGGGTGGCAGGGGGGTCTGCAGGCTGGAGGCAGGTTGGGGGTGCCCTCCCTGCCAGCCAAGCCAAAGTGACAAGAATTCAGAGGAGCTGGGGAGCGGAGGGTGGGCTGTGGACGGGGCCGAAGACCAGAGCTGAGCTGGCCTCAGAAGGCCCCAGAGCCCGTCTGGTTGTCCCCTTGGACAGATGGGGCATGCGACGCCCACAGTGAGGAGGGCCTGCCCCAGGATCTCACGGGGTGAGGGAACAGCAAAGGGAGGCTATACAGCTGGGATCCGATACCCAGTCTAGGGTTCCTAATAGCTTCCCACGACCTGTGCCGGGCAGGGGCAGGTGCCCAGGGCACCCCTGCATGTGTGCAGCATTCTCAGAGCTAGTGCCTTCCAAAATGAAAATATTCACCAGGGCCTGGCCACTTATCTAACATACCCTGCCCACCACCAGCCTTGTCCTCAGGCACAAAACCCAGACCTTCCGGAAGATTCTATATGCATCAAAATACTCCAAAAGGATTTTGCAAACCTTGCAACAACAAATAAAAAGGTCTGAATTCTTGAAGCTCACAGGAGTGATCTGGAGCTGTCGGGAGTCTCACACAGTGTCTGATGGAGAGGGGCTGTGGGGGAAACGCGCCTGTCAGTGCTGCTGCAGACCAGCTGCAGGCGTCCACCCTGGCCTGAGGAGGGGAGCGCGTGTTCCTCTCGGGCTTGAGGGTCGGCTGAGGTCTGCTCACGGCAAGGACTGACTGGTCCTGCTTCACGCTGTGCTCTTGATGGATGTGGCTCCCACGCAGGTCCCCCTCCTCCGGTGGTTGTCCTGGGGCCCAGGCTGCAGAGGCTGCCCTCCTAGGGTGTATTCCCCTCCTGGTTACCCCTCAGGCACACACCAAGGCCCTGCTTCATCACCTCTGCCATCAAACAACTCACAAGTGAACCAGAGTCAAGGCTGGTGGGAGCAAAGGCAAAGTCACATGGCACAGACAGTAGACACCGGGAGGGGAGAGTGCGGCCAGGACCCCTGCCGGCCACGTGGCTTGGCTCACCGCTGGAGAAGAGGTCGCGGGCAGGAGGGATGGCGCGTGGAGAGAGGATGAGGGCGCGTGGAGGGCGGATGAGGGAAGGCCCTTGAGCCTCCGGCAGAGCCCTTCCTGCACTCACAGCTACAACTGCACAGTTGTGCCTGGAAAGTCCTATCTGGGAACAGCAGAGGAGTCTTGCGACTTTGCTGTCCTACAATTTACTCTGAGAGATCGCTCTCCCAAGTCAGCGCTTGCTACCTGTTTGTCCATTTGAAGAAGTCGCGCTTCATTGCATCCCAAAGTTGAATTTGTTCAGTGGAAAAGAAAGTAAGCTTGCTTCTGTTTCCGCAGCTGCCGTTTGACTCTGGGGATACAGTCCCGCCCAAATGCAGGTCTTGCAACCTGCTCGGGAGGTGGGGTCCTTGGCCTCTAGGGGACTCTCCTGAAATGGCAACAGCCCCTGCACTGCGTCCCGGGTGAGGAGGCCCCTTTCACAGCAGAAGAGGTGGGTGGGGTCGCCCAGCTTTGGAAGCTGCGTGACTTAGTGGGAGAACCCCGGCCTTCTTCCAGGCTGCAGGGGCAGAGCCGGTCCCACCTGCTCCGGCGCCCCGTGGCTGCTGTCTTCTTCCTTTCGAAACACCCTGGAGGTCATCCTGGGAGACATGAGGCACCGAAGTCAGTGATCCTAACATCGGAGTTGTGTGGAGATGGGACCACCCTGGAAAATCCTTTACGACGCTGTTGTGATGCCACCACTTGGGCCCGAGAACCAATGTCTCCTTTTCATTCACCTTTGGCCTGGGGCTGCCCCTCTCGTCACATAGGAGACAGTGGTGTGTCCTACAGTGGTGTGTGTACAGTGTGTGTGTGAGAGTGCAGTGTGTGTGTGAGTGCAGTGTGTGTGAGTGCAGTGTGTGTGAGCGTGTAGTGTGTGACTGCAGTGTGTGAGAGTGTAGTGTGTGTGAGAATGTAGTGTGTGTGAGAGTGCAGTGCGTGTGAGTGCAGTGTGTGTGAGCGTGTAGTGTGTGAGTGTAGTGTGTGTGAGAATGTAGTGTGTGTGAGTGTAGTGTGTGTGTGAGTGTAGTGTGTGTGAATGCAGTGTGTGTGTGTAGTGTGTGAGAGAATGTAGTGTGTGTGAGTGCAGTGTGTGTGAGCGTGTAGTGTGTGAGTGTAGTGTGTGTGAGAATGTAGTGTGTGTGAGTGTAGTGTGTGTGTGAGTGTAGTGTGTGTGTGTAGTGTGTGAGAGAATGTAGTGTGTGTGAGTGTAGTGTGTGAAAGTGTAGAGTGTGTGAGAATGTAGTGTGTGTGAGAGTGTAGTGTGTGAGAGTGCAGTGTGTGTGAGTGCAGTGTGTGTGAGAGTGCAGTGTGTGTGAGTGTAGTGTGTGTGAGAGTGCACCCATGTGTGTGAGTGCCTTTGTTTCACCTCATATTCTTCCTTGCCATCCTCTGGAGAGGCGGCAGAGGGTGCATGGCCAACAGTGTGTGCCAACCCATGGGCGACCTCGGAAAAGGTGAGGTTGCAATGGAGACTGTAGAACAGCAACTCAAACAGGAGGGGAGAGGACAGGCCGGGGGGAAGCCAGGGACAGCCCTTCCAGGCAGAGCCTGCGTCCCTGGTGACAAGGGGAGCTTTTCAAACAGAACCACAGCAGCAACAACAGACAGCCCGGGGCCCATCCACCAAGGTCCAGAGCACGCTCAGGACGGCCACTGGGGAGAAGATGGGCAACGGTGATGAGGTGGAGTGAGGAGGAAGTGCCTGCCACCTGAATAATGGCCACCTGCAAGCCTGTCCTTAGTGGCACCTACTTGCATGGCCCCAGCTGATAACCTGCAGCTGGGCTGTGAGTGAAATTGCTCAACCCAGGCATGCAGAGAGCAGAGCCTCAGGGAGCTCAGAGCCAAAGCTGTGTCCCTGGCCAGCTTCACAGGCTGTGCCCCCAGCAGACACACAGAACCCCTCTCAGGAGGGCCCCGGGCTCAGGAGGACTCACTGATCAGGAGGACCCTGGGCTCGGGAGGACCCTGTGCTCAGGAGGACTCAGTGCTCAGGAGGACCCCGTGCTCAGGAGGACCTCATGCTCAGGAGGACCCAGTGCTCAGAAGGACCTGGTGCTCAGGGAGACTCAGTGCCCAGGAGGACCCCGTGCTCAGGAGGACTTGGTGCCCAGGAGACCTTGGTGCTCAGGAGGACTCCATGCTTAGGAGGACCCGTGCTTAGGGAGACTGTGCTCAGGAGGACTCGTTGCTCAGAAGGACTCAGCGCTCAGGAGGACTTGGTGCTCAGGAGGACCCTGTGCTCAGGTCTCAGTGCTCAAGGGGACTCGGTGCTTGGTTTAATTCTCTCTTGTTGCCATCCTGAAATTGTTAATAATTTTCGGTGAGGACCATGCATTTGCATTTTTTTTCTGGGTCCTACAGTGGTGTGGTCTGATTTGTGTCTTCTGCATTCACAGCTGAATATAGGCCCAGGGGCTTTCTGAACTGGACTCAGTGACAAGGGCCTGACTCCCGGGCACGTGGTACTATTCTTACCACAGATGTCCGTGCTCAGAGCTGGGACATGGTCACTCCTGGGTAAGACACATTAGGTCCTTAACTAGGAGACACTCACTGGGGATTTTCTCGTGGTTCTGCTGTGCAAGTTGGAGGCAGTTGGGAGGTTGCCGAGGTGCAGCCCAGGCCCTGGCTCAGGGAGATGCTGTACAAGAGCAGCCCCTCTCCAGACAGACAGCCCTGGGCACTGCCAGGCCAGGCCCGCCTCATTGACATGCTAGGGCCTCACTGGCTTGCTGCATGCCCTGTGCCCAGGGATCCAATTTCAATATCATTACTGAGAAGTCCAACCTTCCTGTGAGCATGAGTTATTACTCAGGAATAACAGCCCAAGTGAAGAAAAATGACAAAATCTGCTGTCTGCCAAATGCGTCTGCTCGAAAGATAGAGGAGGAAAAACAGCTACCAAGGCTGGGCTTCATGTGGACTGGCTTTGAGAGCAGATGAAACCCGCTCTGCAAACCACCAGCGGGCTCAGCTACCCAGTACATTTAGAACAAGAAAGAAAAAAAATCCATGGTTAATTTTAACAGCATTGCTGTTAGGGGCAGGGCTGAGTCTGTGGAGGAACTTATAGGTCCAGACAATCTTAGGTCTCCAGACTCCCAGGCAGACAGTTTGTGTGCTCATCCATCTGTTCCCCACATATACATCTATCCGTCCATCCATTCATGACTATCTATTCACCATGTACCTATGCATTAATCCATCCATCCCATTCATCCATCCACCCAACCACCCATCCATACACCCACCCATCCACCCCTCTATCCATTCATCCATTCATCCACCCACCCACCTATCCATTCACCCACCCATCCAGTCATCCACCCATCCATCCACCCCTCCAGTCATCCATCCATCCATCCACCCATCCATTCACCCACCCATCCACCCCTCTATCCATTCATCCATCCATCCATCCATCCACCCACCCATCCATTCACCCACCCATCCACTCATCCATCCATTCATCCATGCATCCATCCACTCCTTGATCCACCCATCCATCCATCCATGCATCCTTTTACCCACTCAATCCCTTCCTTCCTTCTTTCCTTCCCTCACCACCCATCTATCCATGGGCCATTTCCTATGTGCACATTTCCAAATGCACAGCCTGCAGCCTGTGCTGGGCATTTGGCACACAGAGATGGGACAGATCCCATGCTGGCTCCCAGGAGCTTGCCGCATCGTGAGAGGGACTGAGAGTGATTTCCGATAGGGCAGGGCAGCCCTGGAGCTGCAGGAGCACAGAGGAGGTACCCATCTAGCGGTGAAGTCTTCTTGGGAGGGCGGGGCCTAAGCTGAGTCCTGCTGGAATTGCTGGTGAGTCTCAGAAATGGAGGAAGTGGAGGTCCAGGGCAGTGTGGTCTTGTCAACAGAGAAAACTGGAAAATCCCAGGAGCAGAGGTGCAGAGGCCTGCCCCGGGTAGATGAGT
Organism: Homo sapiens; assembly: GCF_000001405.40. Taxonomy (NCBI): domain Eukaryota; kingdom Metazoa; phylum Chordata; class Mammalia; order Primates; family Hominidae; genus Homo; species Homo sapiens. Next base: position 3,666,156 of record NC_000004.12, read on the forward strand.
GCAGGGAGCCCTGAGCAGCCTCTGTTTCTCGAGCAGACAACAACTTGGCCACTAGGAAGGGGCATGGGGACTTCCTCCCATCAGGGTTTAAACCTCTGAAGGGTTTAAACACAGAGTAGCCAGAGAGCGGTTTTAGAAGATCACACCAGGGATCTGTTAATACAGGACAAGTGTTGGCAGATCTTTTCTATAAAGAACCAGAAAATCAATATTTTTGGTTTTGTGACCCATCTTATGTGTTTTGTGAGTCTATTGAAACTACTCACTTCTGCTTTTGTAGTAAAAGCAGCCATGGAGGATTCATGAATGACTGGGTGTGGCTGTGTCCCAATAAAACTTTATTTAGAAAAACAGGCCATGGGCTGGATTTGGCCAATGACCATTGTTTGCCTGGCCCTGTGACAAAATAAAGCAAAATGCATTTGACTGGGCAGCCATCAGGGAGCCCATCCTGCAGGGAAAACGCAGCAGAGCCCGCAGCTCCAGCATGTACGGGACTCGTGTGCGAGGCTGTTTACAGAAACATTTGTGGTGTCCCCAGGGGAGACTGCTGAGAGCTCCTCGAGTGGGAGAACACAGCAGGTGTTCTGGGGGCCGGTGGGAGGCTTCCTGGAGATGAACCCACACCCATCCTGGGTTGGCACTCAGGGTCCTGCCTGGCCCCGGCAAGCCTCCTCCCCAAAGTCGTTCTGGCCCACAGGGAAAGGAGGTCATGGCCAGAGGGAATTCCATTGCCCAGGTTGGGCCGGTGGGGGCTCAGGCCCTGCAGAGTTGCTGCTGGGCCCAAGGGTCCAGGGAGGAGGGGACTTGAGGGGGCCCTCAACCCGGGATGCCAACATCTGGTAATGCACAGGACAGGAAGTCACACTGGGAGATGGGCAGGCCTGAGCACAGGGCCAGGGGTCCATGGCAGCAGGGTCCCCAGGGCTGCACTCCTGCTCATATCACACCATTCACCATGTGACTTTGCAGCTCCTCTGATCAAGGGCTGGGGCCTAATCCCATACCCCTGGACCCTGGCTGACCTCATGTCTTGCCTTGGCTGGTGGAATGGGCTGGAAGTGACAATGACATAGCAGCTCCAAACCTCAGCCTCAAGAAGCCCTGTGTGCTGTTCGTCCTTGTCGGGACCCCTGCTGCCACCATCTGAGCCAGGCTGGCCAGCCTGCTAGGGACAGGGCAGCATAAGCAGAGTTGAGCCACCCGTCTTTCTTGCAGAAGTCCCTGAGATGTGAGGAAGCTCAAGTGGAACCAGCAAAACCACGCTCTCAACCTGCCTCTGCTGGCCGACGCATGAGAGGCCTAGTGAAGAACCTCCCAGCTGAGCCCAGCCTGAACTGCTGAACCTCAGAATCTTGAGCCAAATGAATGGTCTATGTTTTAAGCCTTTGTTACACAGCGATAGCTGACTGAGAGAGAACAGGAATTTTAAAGGCACTGCCTGAATTCTCAGGACACCAATAATAACAGGAAGGAAGGAAGGCAGGGAAGGAAGGAGGGAATGAGAAAGGGAGGGAGAGGATGGAACTGGGAGGAGCTGAAGGTGACAGGAGGAGGATCCCTAGTGAGAGAGAAAGGAGAAGAGAGGGGAATGGAGAAGTCGGGGAGGAGAGGAGGAGAAAACCCTTTCTATGAATGATGGTTTTTCTTGACCTTAATTTCCTGAAGTCTAATGATTTCTGTTGATCTCATGTGCTCAGTTTAAACACACACACACACACAAACACACATACCGCACACAAACACACCACACACACACATACAAACACACACACCACACACACACACACCACATACACAAACACACACCACACACAAACACACACCACACACACAAACACACACACCACAGACACAAACACACACACATATGACACACACATACTCTAAATTTGCACTTTTTTGGGTCTGCAGCTAGACCGCAATGAGGATCTGAGGGCAACGTAAGTCTCTAGCCCGCACTCTGACACTTGGACCTAAAACCTTCTAAAATAAATGCTGCTAAGATTCAATTCCTCGGATGGGTAGTTAAAGAGTCTGTGGTCCCTGAGTCCCAGGACAAGGAACTGGGAGTCTGCATATCCATCCTAATGCAATCCACACAGGTATCTGGCTTCAAGTAAGAGGCTAAGTCGTGCACGTGTGGAAAACAGGAATGACACTAATGAGACGCACCCTGACCTCACTGACTCTTGGAAGAATCAAATGAGCCAAAATATGTGTAAATAATTTGAAAAGCATGAAGTTCTAATATCCCTGTAAGGTGGGGGCTATTTAATAATGATAACAATAATGACTCCAATAACCTAAAAATAATGTCACCTGCCCACTAAGAAGCCTTGTTGTTTTGAATCAGGCTTGGCTTTCATCTGTGCCCCCTTTGTCTGCTCTGGGTGGCATGGTCCAGGCTGCCCTGCCCCTGCATCTGAAGATACACCTGAGACAGCCTCCCTAAGCACTCTTCTGGCTTAACTCCCGTGCCCAAACCTCTTCCATGGCTCCCCATTGCCCTTGGGCTGCAGGCCAAAGCCGGTGCCTGACATGCAAGGTCTGGCACGTTCTGTCCCTTGCCCCCCCACCCCCGCCATTTGTTCCCCGCTAGTCTTGCTTGCACACAGTCTACTGCAGCCCCCAAATGGGGCTCGGGGGATTTCAAGCCTTCAGGCCCTTGCTTAGATTGAGCTTTTAGCCTGGAATGCCCATATCCCCAAAGCCCACCACACAAAAACCGACTTCTCCAGACCTCGGCCCTGGGGCACCTTCTCCTTGGGGGCTGTCCGTTCACCTGGTGCCCAGATGGAGGCGACCTCAACCTCTCTCTGTGTCTCACTTTGCCTTGCAGGAAGTCCACCGGAGCCCTCACTCTGGGCCCTCATCCTTTCCTGCCTGACCCCTGGCGGGACTGTGAGGCCCTAGTGGCTGGCCTGTGTGCACATGGTGGCTTCCGATGGCAGAGCCCGTCTGTGCACTGGCCCTGCGGAGAGCCTTCTGTGGGTCACCAGCTCCGTCCCCACAGCAGCCCCACACAGCAGGCATCGCTGCTGGCTCAGGTCCACAGGGACCAAGGCTGGGGAGGCCCAGCGGCACAAGGGGGCCTGGGGTGGAGCACCTCCTGGCCAAGTGGGAGCCCTCGACACGCCCCCTCTGGGAGGTACTTGGGGGTCTTTGAATGGTGCCTGCCGAACGAGCGAAGGGCAGCCAGGGAGAGGGCGCTGCTCCAGGGCTTGGAAGACCCCAGATGCCCTGAGTCAAGAACTCGAATCCTTAAACTTCATCGTTGCTCCGGGAGGCTCACGGTTCATTCTGCAGCTGTCTGCGCGGCCGCCCCCCAACTGCAGCTCCATCGGTTTAAAATGGGGGCCACTTTATCGCCCAGCTTCCTGGCAGCTGCTGCAGCGGCGGGGACCGAAATTGGCTATTTGTGCTGCTGGCCCAAACACTGGCTGGGCCACGCCACCAGCAGTCGGGGCACCTTCCACGACACAGCGTCATCGAGACGTGGTTTCATCTTAGCGAACGCTGTCTGTCCCCGTGGACTGAATTCAGAAGCCAAACTGCAGAGCCCCGGCCCATGGCAAAACTTTCCATCTTCAAAGCCGAGTTGCTGGCAACCAAGGAGGCGGCCCACGCCGGCGGGGGTGCTGGCTCCGGAAGATCCTCTCTGGTTGGGTGCTGAGCCGGTGTGAGTGTGTGGCTGGCGTCCGGCCCTGTGGTGTGTCCATCCCTGCCACAGCTGGCCTGCCTGCTGGAGATGGTGACACCTTGAATGTGACAGTAGGTGAGGGTATTGACATGCGGGCGGGGCCGCGTGTGCCGTGATTAATATTGTCCTTGCAATGACTGTGATTTGAAGACTCTCAGCTGCGGGACACTTACCGTTGATTTTGTTGGAGAGAAAAATGAATTTTAGTTGGTTTCAGTCTTATATGTGATTTAGAGAAATTTCCCATTTCAGACAAATAGTTTAAGAAAATGACTAAGCATCACTTTATATAACAACCATTAAGATAATTTGACTCTCTGTTTTGATTCAGGGTACAATATTCTCTGAGAAAAGAGACATTCTCTGCTTTCTTAAGTACTTCCAAAAGACTGAGTTAAATCCCTTCCCCAGTAAAAATAAAAGGCCCGGTTTTCCATCTAAGTATTCAAATTTAGCTGAAGCAGGAACCAGAGTTTCCAATTATTCAGCAGCCTCTTCAAAGCACAGATTTTATGTAAGGAAAATGACTGACATTTATTGAGTGTTTAGTTTCAACCAGGCACCATCAGCCTGTGAGACAGAGGCTGCTGTGACCCCACAGGAGGCAAGGAACAAGCTTGCCCCGTCACACATCTATTAAGCGACACCATTGTGTCCGAGTCCAGCGGCCCTCCTCAGAGCCTGGGCGTGTTGCCGCCAGGCTGTGCATCCCCTGTGAGGTCCGGGGAGGCCAGGACCCTGGTGCGCTCTTGCAGGCGGGGGCAGGAAAGTGGAGGCGTGGAGGTGAGGAGGGCTTGCGGCAGGCTGGACTTCCCTCCCTCATGCTGTAGGTCTCAGGCCACCTTTGAACGCGCAGCCCTGACCCCCTTACTCACCTTCCAAAGGCTCCTTGCTGCCCACCTGAGGTCCAGCACCTTGGCAGTGTGTCCGGAGCGTGCAGGGACTGGCCCAGCCCACGTCTCCCGCAATTTCCCACTCGCATGGGCAGGGGGCTCTGGTGACCAAGATCCCTGGACCATCCCTGCTTCCATGTCTGCTGTGGCAGGAGCCCTGTCCCGGGAGCGGCAGGCTTGGGGAGCCCCCACTGCTCCTGTGCCCCCGGCAGAGAACATCGCTGCCTCCCCTTCCTCCCGCGTGTCTCGGATGTGCCCTCTCTGCTGTTCACACCAGCTGGGGTTGCTTCACTCTATTCCAGTGATACCCCTAGGCTAGACTGAGGCCTCCTGGCTCCACCCTGTACCTCTGGGGCCCGGCCCGGGGCAGGGGCTCCCTGGGCGGCTGTAGAACTGGCCTGGGTTGATGTCTATTAGGCACCTGGTGAGCCGCCGAGCCATGCACCCTGGTCCAGGCTCCTCCTGGAAGAGATGATTCTTTCCCCATCAGACTGGCCTTGGCCACCATGTTGAAAGTCAGTGGACAGAGACAACGGGCCTGTTTGTGGCCCTCAGGTCTGCTGCACGGGTCTGGCTGTCTCTCCCTGCGCCACGCCACGCCACACCGCCTTGCTGCTGTCGCTGTGTGCTCGGCTTGGAAGCTGGAGTCCTCCTACTTGGTTGTTCTTTCTCGAGATTCCCTTGGCTCTTCTGGGCCCATGTGTTTCCACATGTATTCTAGAATAATTCCGTCCCCATCTATCTACAACAAAGTCAGCTGGGATTCTGATGGGGATGGTGTGGAAGGTGTAGACCAGCGTGGGGGCATCGCCAGGCCACTTCTTTGCTTTACGAAGTCCACCTTCTAGGGTTCTGTCAATCACTCATTCATCCACTCAGACATCACTTTTCGCTATAGGGCTTCAGTGCCCAGCACTGTCACTGCCATCAAGGAGCCCAGCCCTGCGTGGGGGGCAGTGAGGGTGAGGGCAGGGTCCAAGGCTCCGGCAGGGTCTCTACCTGGCTGAGTGGGGGCCAGTGCCAAGGAAGAGCTTTCTGGGGGTGCTGCAAGCAGGAGAACAGTGGGACGGGGTGGGCAGTGTGGGTTCACTCAGCCAGGAGATCTTCAAGCCAAGGGACCTGGGTGTCCAGGAGGGGCCTTTCCTCTGCCTCACTTCTCTGAATCTATAAATGACAAATACTCCTTGAAGACATCAAACAGCCAACATTTCTCTAAATATTTACACAGGGCTTACATGACTCATACATCAAAACAGGAATTCAACAGATTACATTTCCCCAGATATGTAAACATTGATTATAATGAAACTCTTCTAAACATTCAGTTAAAATCATGGAAGTAATCTATCTATCTCCTTATTGCTTTCAACACTTCAAAAAGCAGAACATACGGTTTTGGATTTCAAGCCTAAAAATCCGGCGACATAGTGGCCTGTTAATATTCCTTTCATTGTCTTATCTGTTCTTTGTTCCCTCCTTCCCCTTCTCCTGCCTCCCTCCCCCTCTGCCTCCCTGTCCTCCTGTCTCCTGGAGCCGCCACTCCTGGGTGACATTCTGGTGTTACAGTAACACCTGCCTTCACTGACACCTCCTCTGGTCCCGCAGGGTGTCCGTGGAGTCTGGAGAACATGACATGGACCTGGAGTGTCTCCCAGATCTGCAGCCCCTGTGCAGCTGAGCTTCCTTTCATTGTTCAAGTTCACGGCTTATGCTGATAGACTCTTTGGGCTCTCATCTTTCTCTGTTTTGCACCCTGGTGTTTTCTTTAGGATGTGTGTCTGTCTGAGTCACTTTGGGCTGCTGTAAGAATACCACAGATGGGGACCTTAAATAATAGCTCTTTATTTCTCATAGTTCTGGAGGCTGGGAAGTCCAAGAGCAAGGGGCTGGCAGATATGGTGTGTGGTGAGGGCTCCCTTCCTGATTTGCAGACGGCGCCTTCTTGCTGTGTCTCACATGGTGGAGAGAGGCCATCTCCCTGGAGTCTCTTCTCATAAGGGACCACTGTGAGGTCCCACCCTCAGGACCTCGTCTGACCCTAACCACCTCCCAAAGTCCTCACCTCTCAATACATGTGATATGGTTTGGCTGTGTCCCCACCCAAATCTCACCTTCAATTGTAGTTCCCATAATCCCTGTGTCTCGTGGGAGGGACCCAGTGGGAGGTAATTGAATCATGGGGGCGGTTACCTTCATGCTGTTCTCGTGATAGTGACTGAGCTCTCAGGAGATCTGATGGTTTTATAAGGGGCTTTCCCCTCTTTTGCTCTGCACTTCTCCTTACTGCTGTCATGTGAAGAAGGACGTGTTTGCTTCCCCTTCCGCCATGATTGTAAGTTTCCTGAGGCCTCCCCAGCCATGTGGAAGTATGAGTCAATTAAGCCTTTTTTTTTTGAATAACTTACCCAGTCTCAGGTATGTCTTTATTGGCAGTGTGAGAACAGACCAATACACCATCCCACAGGGGATCTGGGGGCGATGCAAACCTTCAGTTCACAGCAATGCCTTGTGGTTTTCCTCCCTGGGGTTCCCTGGCCCAGACTGTTATATGTGGACTGGTCATTAGCACTGGCATGGTGTCCTGTCTTGGGTGCTGAAGGACGGAGCCTGTGAACAAGCTGTGCCTTTTGGGATGTGGGCTCGGGCAGGCCACTCTGGGGGCACCGTGGTCTCTGGGATTTGGAGGCAGGTTCTGGAGCAGGCCCTGCCTTCCTACTCTTAACACAGACACTGCTGTCTCAGTTTCCTGCAAACACTCTTCTCCTCTTAGACAGAAAAGCAAATGTGTATCCAACCTTTATAAGCAGACAGAAGCTTAGTTCAACAAATGGACTACCCATGTATATTCAATTTCTCCTATTTATTAAAATTAATAAAAATGGGACGTGTTGTATGAGACCCTTTACTGTCACCATTTCTTAGGCTATATCCATAATGGAATGAAGAGACCCCTGGATGCTGCAGCTTGAAGGAGCTGGATGATTGCTGCTCCCACCTAACAGTCCTGAGCTGATTGCTCCAGGTCGATGGTCATGGCCACTCAGGGACCCAGGTCTCCCCATGTTGCTCCCACACCGAGGCCATGGTCACCTGGCAGGTGCAGGTCCAGCCTACGGGAAGTGGAGAGGAGTGAGAAGGATGCAAGGCCAGTATCTCCAGCCCCATCCAAGCCTGGATGTGGCACAGGCCAGAACAGACTCCTGGAGCACCTTCATGGCTGGGCCTGAGGTGGGTCCGGCAGGGCAGCCCTGGCCTAGTTCCCTCCCTAGGAAGAAAGTCTGCAGCCCGCACCATGAGGGGTGGCACGCTGTGTGTTAACTTTCCTCCTGTGAGGAGCCTTACGGACCGAGAGACCTTCTGAAACTCAACTGATTTAATTAATCAGTGTTGTAATTATTATTGTTTTTGTGCTCAGATTATTATAACTTGGCAGGAGGGAGAGCCTTCAAGCAGGATGCTTTGTCCTTCCGGAAGAACCCCTGGTGTCTGGAAAGCATCCTTGCTTTCTGGCAAAACAGGATGTTCTAGGTGGTTCCGGCTATCTCCTCCCTAGAATGTGGAGTCGGCGGCCCTCCAAGGATCCTTGCCACCTTCCATTGCAGAGGAGACTCCAGGCACAGGAAAAAGTGACCCGTGGCTCTTTGTAGACATAGGATTGGAAAAAATGGTCTTTTTATAAATATCAATAATTTTCATAATTTTCCCAATTGCACATGTAATGCTGCTGCTGCTCTTTTCCCCAGTACTAGGGCCCTGTCACATGGACGTGGGGTAGGCCGTGATCTTGGAGCCAGGAGCACAGGAGGGCTGTGGGGAGGTGGAGGCCGGGGGTTGCAGCTGCACTGATGTGCAGGGGGCTGGGTCCAGGCCAGCTTTCCTGTCTGCACTGCCTCCTTCATCCCGACCCCCGTCCTGACCCTGTGTCCCTGGAGAGCTGCCTCAGGGTCACTGTCCAAGGGGCCTCTGCCCTGGTCACAACCCTCATCCTGTTCTTGTGGTTCCAGGACACCCTGCTGAGCCGTTGTGGACCTCCGTGGACCCAGGATGCCCAGAGCCACAGAGCAGACACCTGTGTCTTCCAGGGCCTTGCTCAGAGCAGGCTGCGGGGACAAAGAGCATTTCCTCCCTTCCTCCCTCCCTCCCTCCCTGCCTCTGTCCCTTCCTTTCTCCCTCCCTCCTTCCCATCATCCCTCCCTCCCTCCCTTCTTCCCTCCCTTCTTTCCTCCTCCCTCCCTCCCTCTCTTCCTTCCTCCCTCCCTCTCTCCCTCCCCTCCTCCCTTTCTCCTTCCCTCTCTCCCTCCCTCCCTTCCTCCCTCCCTTCTTTCTCCCTCCCTCCCTCCCTCCTTTTCTCCCTCCTTCTTTCCCTCCCTCCCTTCCTTCCTCCCTGTCTTCCTTTCTCTTCCTCCTTCCTTCAGTAATTTATTAACCAAAAACTCCCTATTGAGCACCTACTGTGTGCAGTGTAAGAGGCTAGCCTGTCTGGCTGAGCTGAGCCTAAGGCGGAGGTGACCCCTCCTGAGAGCTGCGCCACTCTCAGAGCAGGTAAGGGCTCCCATCACACAGGAGGCTCTGAGGCCCGGCATGCACTGGCTGTGCTGTGGACTTGCGCATGTCCTAGGCACAGGCTCACACCTGAAGCCCGGCTCTAGCGGCCGAGACAGCCTTGACAAGGGCTGGCTCCTGCCAGCCAGAATAGAGATGAGCCAGAAGCCCCAGGCTGCCTCCTGCAGGAGGCGTCGAGTCCCGACGTCATCCACAGAGGCACAGGCACGTTTCCTAGGCACACATGCGCCACCCCACCCCCCACCACAGGCGCATTGCAGGCGGCTTTCTGAGAGGGGACAGCACAGGGAAGTGGTGAGCTTTGGCATCAGGATGACCAGGGAACCCCGGGCTGCGACCAGGGCACAGGCTACCAGCACTCTGCCTCTGTGCCTCGTATCCATGACATGGGGCTCACACTAACAGCACACACTGCGGGAAGGATTAGGTGTGATACTCTGGGCCAAGTGTGGGCACGGGGAATCGAGAAATGGCTCGGTGGCCCACGGCTGCCATCAGCATTGTCGTATGGCGAGGATTTTATGGTTTCACCACGATGGGTGTACATTCTTCAGACAAGGGCGGACACCCGGGAACCCGGAACCTGTCCCGCAGCTGTGGAGCCAGCATAGGTCCCACCGCCCCAGGGACAGGCCCAGCTGCTTGTTCTGGGATATGGGGCTGCAAATGTTGTGAACTTCCCAGGGGGCTGAGAGAGGCCAGCTGGGGACTCCGAGGACAATGGGGAGGTGGGGAGGTGGGGAGGTGGGGAGGTGGGGAGGTGGGGCTCCAGCTGGGGAGGAAGCATGGGAGGGTGGGGACCGAGGTCCCCAAAGTCTTCTGCAGACCCTGAGATTCTGAGATGTACGCTTTAGAACACGACAATGGCTTAGTGACTTTCACTCAGGGACAAAGCCCCCAGCAGAGTCAGCATCCACGCTCCTAAGTGTCAGGTGCCTCTGGGCCGCCTCTCTACGCTGTGCCTGCCCCTGCCTCTGCCAACGACCTACCCCTTAGGTTCTGGCGAGAGAGTCCCAGGCTTTCTTTACACCAGGGCCAGGGCTGCTCAGATCTCCTGACACAGCCACCTGCTGGGCCTCAGGGACACTCAGGCACCCTCCCCCTGGAAAGGCCACCTGGGTTGTGGAGACAGACAGGCACAAGTGTGGCTCAGAGCTCTGCCTCCCTGGAGCTGCCTCCTGACCACTCTGGGTCTCCATTTCCCACCTGTAGAGAGGCGAACAACAGCACTGGGCATGGGGCTAATGTGGAAAAGACCCTGTGGAATCTGCATGTCGCATGTGCTCACCTTGTGTTTCCGGAAGGATTCTCAGGCTTGAGGCGTGGGAGTGAGGAATCCCAGCCAGGGCTGGGCCACCAGCAGAAACCTGCAGGGAAGAGGACCTGGTGTGAGGAGTGGGCTGCAAGGTGAGGAGTTCTGGGGACTAAGGGGGTGGGATCTGTGCTTCATCCTGGGAGGTCATTCAACAGGGGCCTGCCCCCAGGAGCAAGTCACCTGCCTGGTCGCTGCTATGGCGACATAAACACCAATGACAGGCAGGCCCCGCTCTGGACGCTGGCTCTGTGGTTTTAATCTTTCCCAGCTCTATTTTACGCTGTTTATCAGCATTTATGAAGGACAGGTATGCCTTGGGCTGTCCCCAGGAATCCTGCTATCCTCATTGTGGGTCTAGATGGCTCCAGACTGGTCTCCTCGCTGCTCCATTGCTGCAGTGGGGACCCAGTGAGCACTGGGGGCCGGGGCTGATGCGGCTGGAGCACAAGCACGCGGGGTACATTTGCAGCCCCACCCAGCCGAACGGTGCACAGCAGGCCGGGCTGAGAGCAGCGGGAGGAGCCCGGGGCTGGGGGTTGACCTTTTCCCAACGTCCACGTCAGTGCTGGCAGGCGATGGGCTTCTCTGTGGCCGGTCCCTCTCTGGCTCTCTCCAGGTTCTGCATGTGTCCTGCTCTCTCCTGAGCACCTGTCACGCCCCTGAGGCTTGCTCACTCCTCTGTCTCGGGGCTTGCAGAAGAATGCTTGGGCAGGTCTCTCTAGCACCAAGGCCCTGCTTCTCCCCAGCCCATGGTTTCCGGTGTGGACCTGCCAGCCTTCCCGGTGAGCACAGGATGGTGAGAACCTGCAGCAGCCATGTAGGTGGGGCTTCGTGGAAGGCTGCGTGGGTACCCAGGCTCTCTAGGGTAGCCTATCCTGCACACGGCTTGGTGTGCACAGAGCTGACTTGGAGGTGAAATGGATGCATTTTGTAGATTCAATACCCTGGATGCCCCACCCCAGGGATAGATGCGCCACAGAGGGCCTGGCTGGAACTTTCCCCAGACCACAGCAGGGACAGCTCTGTTGCAGGTGCTGACAGCAAGGCCTGGGGAGTAGAGGGAGCAGTCAGAGGCAGAGAGACGGAGGTGAGGCACAGTTCTTCCAGATCCTAGAATAAAGGAGAGGAAAATATCTGTTAGAAAATCCGCTGCAGCACCCCCAAGAGGCGCAGTTTGGTGCCCGTGCACTCCCGCTCTCCCTGCAGCTCGGGAGCTGCTGTGCAGTGGGGGAAGCCGAGACCCCCACAGCTCTGTTTTGCTCTCAGTGACAGAAGGCGTGGTAAAAGCTCTGTGTCCAGCCCTTGCCTGAGTTACATCACAATATGAGGAAGCTGCAGCTGGCCTGTGGTTCACTGTTGACTAAGAACAAGGCAAGCTAGGAGCAGCAGAGTGAAGCCCAGGCCCTGCAGAAAATAGCAGCTGAGGGTGAGGAGGAGAGGAGGGTGAGGAAGGTGAGGAGGTGAGGAGGTGAGGAGGTGAGGAGTGAGGAGGTGAGGAGTGAGGAGGTGAGGAGTGAGGAGAGAGGATGTGAGAAGGTGAGGAATGAGGAGGTGAGGAGTGAGGAATGAGGAGTGAGGAGGTGAGGAGTGAGGAGGTGAGGAGTGAGGAGGCAAGAGGTGAGGAGTGAGGAGGTGAGGAGTGAGGAGGTAAGAGGTGAGGAGTGAGGAGAGAGGATGTGAGGAGGTGAGGAATGAGGACGTGAGGAGTGAGGAATGAGGAGTGAGGAGGTGAGGAGTGAGGAGAGAGGATGTGAGGAGGTGAGGAACAAGGAGGTGAGGAGTGAGGAATGAGGAGTGAGGAGGTGAGGAGTGAGGAGGTAAGAGGTGAGGAGTGAGGAGGTGAGGAGGTGAGGAGTGAGGAGGTGAGGAGGTGAGGAGTGAGGAGGTGAGGAGGTGAGGAGTGAGGAGTGAGGAGGTGAGGAGTGAGGAGTTGAGGAGTGAGGAGTTGAGGAGGTGAGGAGGTGAGGAGGAGGGAAGTTGAGGAGGTAAGAAACTGAGGAGTGAGGAGTGAGGAGGTGAGGAGTGAGGAATGAGGAGTGAGGAGGTGAGGACTGAGGAGGTAAGAGGTGAGGAGTGAGGAGTGAGGAGGTGAGGAGTGAGAAGGTGAGGAGTGAGGAGATGAGGAGTGAGGAGAGAGGAGGTGAGGAGGTGAGGAGTGAGGAGGTGAGGAGTGAGGAGTGAGGAGGTGAGGAGGTGAGGAGTGAGGAGGTGAGGAGTGAGGAGGTGAGAAGCTGAGGAGTGAGGATATAGGAGGTGAGGAGTAAGGAGTGAGGTGCCTGGCAAGGGCTGACTCTGCAACCATTTCTGTGGTCTCCAAGTACCTGCTCCTCACCTTGTTTCTTTCCCTGAAACTCTCAGGCTGCCCGCACAGCAGAGGCACCCCAACCCCTTCCCAATTCTGTCCCTGGCCTGGTGCTGGGATGGCAGGACCTGAGCTTTGTGGCCTCTGAATCCCAGGCCCCCTGGACTTTGCCCTGCAGTCTGAGCCTGGGTCACAGGGTGCCCTGAAAGGCCTTTCCCCAGGCAGGGCGGATACGTGGGTGCCAGACAGGTCCTGATGAGCCCCAGGATCCCCGCTGGCCTAGCCCGGCCTTGCGTGGTATCTGCTATGGGCGTCCGGAAGGGTCCGGAGTTATGGGTGCAGGGGATGGAGCAGAAACGGCCATGACAGAGAGGATGGAGATGTGGGGTTCAGAGATGTTGGAGGGGGCATGGGCTCAGGGCAGCCTGGGCAGAGGTTTCGGGACGCATCGTCCTCCAGACAGCATCTCCGCGTCGCCCATTTCCCGTGTTAGGAATCCACAGATTCATTGATTTCACCAGCATCTGCTGTTTAAGAAGCAAGCTCTGGACTGGACTGGATTTCTTGGCCACTTCCTCATCTCGGTGCAGCGGAGAGGAGAGGCCAGACTCAGGCCTGATCCAGCTCCCCTGACCCCAGCCCTGCGTACCCTCAGCTCGGCCCCCTCTTCCCACAGGCTTGGGACTCGCTCTGGGGGGCCCTGCTCTTCCCAGGGGTTCCTGGGGGCTTGAGGAGCCTTCTGCCTGCAGCCACAAGCGTTCCTGGGGGAGCAGCTGACCGGCTCCAAGCCTGGCTGACTGAAATGAAATTCAGAAGAGAACTTCATCGCCTCCTGCCCCCGAGCCCGCTTCCCTCACTCTAAATAATTTAGACAAACACACATCTCTTTCACAGTGGCTGCCCTGAGCTCCTTTAGTCAAAATCAGTCCTTTGCACAATGTTTTCAGAGGACAGGAGGTTGCCACGAGCCGTGGATTCGGGGCGGATGCATCATGCGTGACGGGAGACAGCTGCTCCGGCCCCGCCCAGCCCCAGCGGCCGCAGTGGCTGAGAGTAAGTCACCTCCGCCTTCTCCTATCAGCAAGGGTCTCCTGCAGGTCCGGGCGGGCCGCTTGCTCAGTAGACTTATATGCAGTTGGCTTGAGGTTCGGCGGTCCTGGTCCTGCCCTGCAGCAGAGCCCCTCATTCTGGGATTTGGGAGCAGTCATTCCATGCTCCCTGCTTGGAGGTGGGCTGGAGGTGGACGTTCACACCTGTGACTGCGCCGGTGCCCCGTGCCTCCGGGAGGACAGCTGGGGGTGCCTAGAGCACAGTGGGTGTGCAGGGCGCAAGGCCTGGGTTCGCTGGGCTGGGGGTGCGGGGCTGGGGTCGTGTGTGTTGTTGGGGGTGGGGGATGTGGGTGCCTGCCTCTTCTCTCACCACTTCTGACCTATGCGTGCCTTCTTTTTTTTTTCTATTTTTTAGTCTTTTTTTTTTTTGGCGGGGTGGGGGAGGTTGTCTCATTCTGTCGCCCAGGCTGGAGTGTAGTGGCTCAATCTTGGCTCACTGCAGCCTCCATCTCCCGGGTTCAGGTGATTCTCTAGCCTCCCGAATAGCTGGGGCTATAGGCGCACGCTGCCACACCTGGCTAATTTGTGTATTTTTAGTAGAGAGAGGTTTTCACCATATTGACCAGGCTGGCCTTGAACTCTTGACCTCAAGTGATCCACCCGCCTTGGCCTCCTGAAGTGCTGGGATTACAGGTGTGAGCCACTGCGCCCGGCTCAACTTTTTAGTCTTCATAGACTATTTTTTGGAACAGTTTTAGGTTACATCAAAATGCAGAAGAGAGTCTAGAGAGTTTGCCCGCGCCCCACCCAGTTTCCCCGTTATTAGCGTGTGCCGTTTGCATGGGGCATGTGTCACAGCTACTAACCCGATACGCATGCATCATTGTGAACTATAGCCTAGCTGGATTCCAGTCTCCTCCGTCCTCGGTGTCTTCCTTGGGCGCAGGATCCCGCCGGGACCCCATGCCTTGGTGCATTTCCACTCCCCTCTCTCCTCGGGATGGTGATCTCTCCCCTCCTGCCTCACTGTCCTCTCTTCCACACGTAGGGAGTGAGGAGTTATGCACCCTCTCTCTGAGGGTGGACTTCAAAGAAAGGTTAAATCACCTTTCTGCTCACTGGCTTGGCCAGCATTTGTCATCATAGGTTCAACGGTGGCCACCCAAAGGCGCCCCAGTGCCTGGAGTTGTGCAGGGGTCTTATTTGGAGAAATGGTCTCTGCAGCTGTAATTAAGGATCTTGAGATGAGGAGGCAATCCTGAATTATCCGGGTGGGACCTGCACCCAGTGACACATCAGGAGAAATTTTTTTATATGAGAAAATGTGAAGGGAATTTGAGACAGACAGAGGAGGAGCAGCCCGAGGGGAGGCGTTGTGTGCAGGCGGAGGCAGGGACGGGGCGATGCACCACCGGCTGAGGAAGGACCGCGGCCACCGGGAGCTGGAAGACGCAGGATGGAGCCTCCCCTAGAGCTTTGGAAGGAACACAGCCCTGCCAGCATCTTCGTTTTGGTCTTTGGGCCTCCAAAGACCAAAATCAGGCTTTTGAACAATGTTTTCGGAGAACAAACAGGAGGTTGCCACGAGCCATGGCAGGATGAATGTCTGGTGTTTTAAGCCCCCATTTGGTTACAGGAAAGCTATCTCATCAACCTGGCCCACAGGGCTGGCAGCCCCTCTTCCTGGGGAGCGGTGGCCGGCCTGGGCCTGCCTGTGATCGGTGCTGGGGCTCTCTGCCATCTGGGCCCCTGCTGAGACTGAGCCACAGCCACCACACCAGCCTTTCCACAGAAATCCCACATGGACACACATCTACACACCCTCACGTTCTAACCTAAATTTCCAGAACACCAAAATCAGCCTCAGGCTCACAAATACAGGCAGAATTGGAAAAGAAAAAAAGAAACTTAAATACTTAAAAACAATAGGGGCTGGGCGCGGTGGCTCACGCCCGTAATCCCAGCACTTTGGGAGGCCGAGGTAGGCGGATCACAAGGTCAGGAGATCAAGACCATCCTGGCTAACATGATGAAACCCCATCTCTACTAAAAATACAAAAAAAAAAAAAAAATTACCTGGGCGCGGTGTCGGGCACCTGCAGTCCCAGCTACTCGGGAGGCTGAGGCAGGAGAATGGTGGGAACCCTGGAGGCAGAGCTTGCGGTGAGCCCAGATCGCACCACTGCACTCCAGCCTGGGTGACAGAGCAAGACTCCATCTCAAAAAAACAAACAACAACAAAAAAAACCACACACACACACAAAAAACAATAGGTAAGATTCCAAAACAAGCCATTGTGAGGCAGGAGAGTGGGGTCTGGAGGCAGGGAGCCTGGGGCTGTTTCATGCTGGCTTCCAGAAACTGAGTGTTGTGGGGAGGCCCCCACCTCTCCACACCCAGGTTGATGGTGGGGGCGGACAGGCAGGAGGGATTGGGGCTGCTCCCTTCGCAGGCGTCACAGATGAAGGGTGGAGGGGACCTCTGATGAGTCCCCTCCGGCCTTCAGGGCTGGTCATGGGCCACTACTTCGTCTGCGTGGGGTGAGGCCAAGTAACGGATGGGAAACCTCTAGAGGGTATTTGGACTGCAGAGAGTTCTGCGGCCAGGGCCCTTGAGCCGCTTGCCCCAGCTGGCTCCCGCTCTGTGGAGTGTACTTTCATTTCAGTAAATCTGTGCTTTCTTGCTTCACTCTTTCGTTGCTTCGTTTGTGCATTTTATCCAATTCTTTGTTCAAAACACCAAGAACCTGGGCGACTCGAGGTCAAGACCCTCCACTGGTCACAATGGGCCTGCAAAGACGCTGAGGCTGTGTGTGTCCTGGGTGAGCCCTGGTTTTAGGGCCTCCCAAAGCACACCCAGGAGGGGATTACAGGATGAGGTGGGTGGGATCATAACAGGGGGAATATTTTGTTACTGGAAATGACTTTGGTGCAGAAGACCGGTTCCCGGGAGCACAGGGAGTGGAAGCTGGACTCTGGAGCTGGGAGGTTGGGTTTGAATCTGCTCTACTGAGCAGTCACCCGGGAAGTGACCAGATGATGGGACTTCCGTGCCTGAGTTTCCTCAGCTGCAAAGTGAGAACCAACCTCAGAGGATGATGCTGAGGATCTGTGAAGGGAGAGGGTTCCTGAGGCCACAGGTGCATGTCCTGGGCAGGATGCCCGACCCGCGTATGTACTCTGCTCACGTTGTGATTCTCCCCCAGCACCTCCGAACCCCAGCCAGCTGCAGGATTATTCCAGAAGGCCCAACCCTTGTCCTGCTGCAGTTCGGAGCCTCCTGAGAAGAACAGACACCCAGACACTGAAGGAGAAAGTGTGACGTTGGGACAGGGCCGGAGGGGATATCGGGGGGGGCTTTTGGTGGGGGTGTGGCTGGACTCGGGGTGCAGAACACTGTGGTCCTGTGACTTCCCACTTCCCTGCTCCCCTTGCTGCAAACTCCGTTCCTTTTGTAAACAGGCCCCACAGCCCCACCTCCCATTCTCCTTGGGACCCCCAGTCAGGTCCCCTCCCCGCAGCTCTGCTGGACGGTGAAGGCCGCGGGCCCCACGCTGGGCCTGGAGGTTGGCTGGTGGCCCTCCCAGCTGCGGAGGTGGGGTCGCCCTTTTCCTCAGTCTGTCTGTAGGTTTCCACGTGCCCCTGATCTTCGTGTTGGCCGCGCCTGTGCTTCTCATCCTCTCTCCACTGCCCTCGCTCCTCCATCTCCTCGCCGCCCCACCTCCTCCACCCGCCCCGATCACCGTTCACCCCAACAGCCCCAGCGGCGCCTCGAGCTCCAGATGCACCATCCGCCTACACGCCTGACACCCTGCTTGGACACCGAGGAAGCGTGTTGAACTTGATGTTTGGGGCCCAGCCGCTCCTCCCCGAGACCCACTCATGCCCCTTTCCTTGCTGTTGTGAGATGGGATGGTGTTGCGCCCTCAGATGCTTGTCCTCAAACCTCTCACAGCATCAGGATCATTCGGGGTTTCCCTGTCACCCACGGTTTCGGCAGCTCAGTCCCCCGCCTGTGTTCTCCAGGTCCTGGTGCCGTGCGTGGACCCCAGCTGTGCACCTCCCCCACAGCTATCGCTGCCTCTGTGGGGAACGTGCTTCACCTGCCCGCTGGAGGGCCAGAGGCACCCCTGCTCCGGGCCAGTGGCGGAAGGGGCAGGAGTGTCAACGCCCTGGCTGCTGCCATCAGTGGGGACACTCCGATGTCCAACTTGCACTGCCCCAGAGTTCCCCTGGGGACTGGCTGGCATCCCCGCTCCTGGAGCTCCTTCCCTTCCCAGTCCGGCTCGTGTTCCCCAGGGGATTGAAGCCACACAGGTCCTCACCCCAGGCTAGCCTCACTGCAGGCAGACACCCACTTCGGGGGCTCACTGCATCCCAGGCTCCCCCTACCCTCCATCCCACCACGGCTAGGTGGTCAGGCGGCCCGTCTCCATTTCTGCGGATCTGAGACCTCCAGGGCCTGTCTGTGCTGGTCGTTTTCTTTGTCCCGTGTTACTGAGTATGGGAATGCTGGCGGGCACCCTGAGACTTATAGCATCCTCCTGGCCCCCGTGTCTCTGAGGATTTGCTTAGCACCCAGGGCAAGCCCTTTCCTGTCTGCTGGCTGGAAGGTAAAGCCCACCAGAGGCCTGACAGCAATCTCAGTTCCTAACCTGCAGGGACCACAGCTGTTTCCTAAGACAGCACTCCTCCCACCAACACCGGACCCTCCAGGTCGTCCGGCCCAGAGCCACGGAGGGCGGCTGAGCACTGTTTAATGGGTTATTTGAGTAACAGTTCGGGGGCTGCTCTCACCTCCTGCCTGTGGCTCCCAATGGAGTGTACTGGAAATGGGGGAAATGGCGCCAGGCATTAGTCATTCACTTAAAGCCTGTGCCCCATCCCCCTGTAGAATCCAGCTCCAGAGCTGGTCTCCTGCAGGCCCTTCTATTCCTCCATCAGGCCAGCTGTGCCCAGGAACGGCGTGTAAGTTAGGCCCACGAAACCCAGGGACAAAAGCCCAGAGCTACACTTTCTTTCAGAGAAAATTGAGTTTCTTGGTCAGAAATAATGTTGGACGAGATACCTCGGGAGTGAATAGGTGTTTGCAGGACCACAGACGACGATGCTGACAATTGAATGGGATTTGGGAAAGGCAATTCACATCCCAAACACGTATCTCCTTCCACGAGGGCATTTATGGCTGAGGACAAGCATCCAGCCTCTCTGTGCAGGTGTGGAGTGACAGCCCCAGCTTCCTCGCAGCCTTTCCACCGGCCCCTCCATCACGAGAAGGGGCTACCAGAATCCACCTACCAATAGGGCAGCCTGGGACAGTGCCTCGTGGGAGGTCAGCATTGGCCTGGGCTGTCAACAGGCTGGACATACAAGAATGAGGGCAGCTAGGGCGGCCTTCGTGAGGGGGTGTCCGTGCTGTTGGCCCCCCACTACTGCACTGACCCTTCATACATGACCATTCAGACACATGCCCTCATATGCACTAAGGCAGCTGGAGAGTGAGGCTGGAAGATATCCACATGAGAAGGCATCTCGTCCAGCTCATCACCGAGACCCCCACTCCCGGGGGTCCAGCCACACACCTCTTCCCACACTTCCCTTGTCAGCAGCCTTGAAACTCGCTCTTTTCAAGTTCTGAACAGTCATTACAGTCACATGTCCATGGGTTCATGTGACCTGGATCCCGGGACATCTTTCTTCCCTAAGAGACAACGGGCGCCCTAACCTTAGGGGGAAAGACTTGAGAAGATTGCAATGAAGCTGAAGTTGTCACTTTGCACCCTGCACAGGGAGACCCCAGGTCTCATCCTCAGCCACCAGTGCCCTCTGGATTTTACCTGCTGGTATTTTGATCTGAGGCACTGAAAGTCAAAACAGATAAAAAAGATCAGAGCAGAGATCAGTGGCGTTAACAGTAGGTTTAATTAATGGCGGAATTGATACATGGATCTATGAGCTTTACCCTACCACCCACCCCCCCCACACACGTGTGCACACATATGCACACACACACATGCACACACACTCATGCACACACATACACATACGTGCACACACACAGGCACGCACACAGGCACAGGTGTGCACACACACTCTCCAACAGAAACAAACCTCCAGCCCATTTGAACAAGAAAAAATGAATTCTAAACCAGCAAACAGAAAGGGAACACAAAAATAGACCTGAAGAGGTTCTAAGTAACTAATCTACGCATTCTGATAAAAATGATATTTTCTTGGAAAATATGGATGATCAAGATCACGTCAAGACAGGAAGAAGAAAACCTGAATATGTAAGGAAGATATTGAAGAATTCTCACCATTGCCTCTTCCCACAGCTTTAGGGTCTGGTGGTTTTTCCAGTGACTTCTTTTAAACATCAGAAGAACTGATGATACTAGAGCTCTATCAATTTTTTTTCCAGGGGAGAGAAAAAGATGGAGAACCCCCTAATTAATTTTTATGAAGCTAGGTTCATGTCAAAATCTGTAAAACATGACATACACAGACACACAGACTACAGAACTAGCACATCACGAATATAGGCTCAGAACCCAATCAAAATACCAGCAGATAAAATCCAGCATCACGTCACGGGAGAAGATTAATCTTCTGTAACCAAGGAAAGCTTATTCTAGAAATTCAAAGGTTGTACATTCAGAAAAACAATAAATCACATAAAAGAGTAGGATAAGGAAAATAAACTGCAGTTTTATTAGATTCATACATTTATACATTTATTTCTAAATATTTGTCGGGCACTTATTAAATGCCAGATACTGCTAGATGCTGATAGATTAATATAACATATTAATTAATTAAATCCAACTTCTTTAATTTAAAAACAAAGTTTTGCATGCCAGAAAGAAAAGGCTGTCTCCTTAATCTGACAAAGAACACGTGTCTAAAACAGTTGCCCAAAAAAATGAGCCTGAAGCATGGCACATGTTTCTACTGAGATCAGTATCAGGGTGGAGCTCGTGTCACAGTGATTATTCCACATGCTTTTGGGCTGGTCAGGGTAATCTGACATGAAACCCAAATGCGAGGCATGGGAGTTAGAGAGAGGAATATTATCCATTCCTTACCCCATACGGCTATGCACCAAGAAAGCTGAAATGGGCCAGGCGTGGTGGCTCACGCCTGTAATCCCGGCACTTTGGGAGGCCGAGGCAGGCGGATCACAAGGTCAGGAGATCAAGACCGTCCTGGCTAACACAGTGAAACCCCGTCTCTACTTAAAAATGCAAAAAATTAGCTGGGCGTGGTGGCGGGCGCCTGTAGTCCCAGCTACTCGGGAGGCTGAGGCAGGAGAATGGTGTGAACCCAGGAGGCAGAGCTTGCAGTGAGCTGAGATCGCACCACTGCACTCCAGCCTGTGCGACAGAGCGAGACTCCATCTCAAAAAAAAAAAAAGAAAGAAAGAAAGAAAGAAAAGAGAAAAGAAAGCTGAAATGGTTCAACCACAACAAAACATTCTGGAAGTACCGAGCACATGGTCGCGGCAGGATGGGACTCCATGGATGCTGGGCAGGTGCGGGTTCTTAGGCCTTAACAGCAACCAGCGTAAAAGATGAATCAAGCCTGAAGCACCATTTATGAGAGGAGCCACGCGAAAGATGGAGGAGTGGTCTAGAAGCACCAGCGTGGGAGCTGGATGGAGACTGGACTCTTTCCCAGGAGGCCCTAGGAGGCCAAGTCTGTGCAGTGGTGCCATCTTCCCCGCGAAGCCAGGCCGGGTGCGGGAGATGCAGTGCATGCCCTTAGTGCATTCCGGGGCCACATCTGGTTTTGTTCTGCAACTGTAAAGCATGCCTGGCAGGGCTGTTGAGGACCCAGCGCCCGCAGGGCCAGGCAGGTGGTGGCGTGAGCCGAGAGGCCAGAAGGTCTGGGGGGGACTGGAGGCCACAGTCCATCTGGAGGTGGGGCTGGGTGGGTGGGAGACTGGCAGGAGTTGGGGGGGATGTTGAGGTGGAGAGGGGGGTTTGGGGGGCTGCTGCTTCCAGCCAGCTGTGCTGAGCGGGTGTAGGCCCTAGGTGGGCTGAACTCTGGATTTTTTAGGAGAGGCCAGACATTTGGCTGGTTGGTAAAATGTCCTAGTTTTTAAATGTTGATGACGAAGTGAAGTTTAAAACTAACACTTTACGGGAGTTGGAGAGAACACAGGACAGGCTCACGTTGCGGTGTTCTGCACTGCACAGTGACCTCACCTCTCTGCTTGGTCGCAGGATTGGCAGTCGAGCTGCGGTCGTGTGAGTCATACAGAGCGCTCCCCGATTTGTCTCTTCTGCATGTCTTGAGTGACAGAAATGTCTGATGCTCATGTAACTGCATGGGGTGCTGTTTACAGTTCAGCTCTATGTGCTGTGCCCCCTGCCACACACCCCAGAACTCTGCAAGGGATCAGGGCAGTCCTGGGACGGGGCCCTGGGGACGTGGGGCCGCAGAGGCCTGGAGCCCGACTCTGTCTTGGGTGTGAGTGGCTGTGGTGGGTGATGGGAGAGGGGAGGCAGAAGTGACCAGCTCCACCTGGGTCCCTAAGGCCCTGAGGGAGGAGGTGCAGGTGACAGGGAGCACCCACCGGTGGGGGAGCACACCATGGAGGTGTGTGTGAGCCGCCCTCTGAGCCCAGAGCAGGTGCCATGAGGAGGCGGGGCAAGTGCAATCCCTTATGGTGAGCAGGAGGTGGCTAGGGGACAGGTAGTGGCAGTGGGGGTGATGGGGGCCTGGGGAGGGTGGGAGAGGAAGCTGGTGCAGGTGGGTGCAGCCATCCTGAGATGACCGGACGCCCACCCCCTCCCTGGCCCAGGCTCTGTGGCCACAGTCAGACCTCCCTGAAGGCCCCTGTCCACGCGCTGCCCCTTCTGGCTGTGTGACCAGGGGTCATTCACCACCAGCCCTCACATCCCACAGTAAGGAGCCGGCCACATGTTTCAAATTGCACCCAAAGAACAGGAATCGAGGCCACCTAGGTGACAAGCACTGCTTTAAGGAATATTGAAAATTGTGAAAAATGATCCCGATAGTCTGTGATGCCGACAATTTTAAAAAATCACACAAGCAATAGGAGCATCAGAGGCTTTGATTATTGGTAGAAGAACTTGAGACACACCTGCGTGCCTGCCGTGGCCTGAGAGCGTCCCCAGAGGCTCACGCGGTGGAAGCTGGATCCCACGGCCGGCCGCGGTGCTGAGGGGTGGGGCCTGGAAGAGGCGGTGTGGTCACGAGGGCTCTGCCACCACGGGTGCATCGGTGTCGTGATTGTGGGGGTGGGCTTGTTAGGAAGGTGAGTTCCGCCCCTTTTGTTTGCGGCTCTTGCCACGGGAGGACGCAGTAAGGCCCTCTCCAGGGACTGCCTCCACCTCGACTTCCCAGCCTCCAGGACAGTGAGCCAAATAAATGTCTCTCCTTTATAAATGACAGTCTACGGTATTCTGTTGTGGCAGCACAAGATGGACTATGACAGTGTCTGACTCTGGGCAGTTATCCAAGGAAATCTAAAGTCTGCGATGCAATTCAAAGTCACGCTTCTGACGGACAGGTAAGGCCACGGGGACATCCGTGGTGCACTGCTTGCTTTGAAATGGTCAACCCGAGGACATTATTTTGAATCCCCGCCCCTGACAAGCCTCCAGGACGTCGTATGAGAAACTGCGGTGTCTCTGGGCTGCTCGGAGAGGCGTGTGGCAAGGTCGGGGGGCTGGTGGCCTCTGCAGCGTGTGATTCCTGAAGCCCACATCATCTTCTGTCCTGTGCAGAAGCGGGTGGAGGAGAGGGCCTCGTCCAGGGAGGGGGCCGTTGGGAGCTGAGGTGCAGGGGAGATGGCTTATGCCCTTCTCAGGACAGATGCAGGGGCTGCCCAGCTTCCACCTGGAAGGCATGGGAGTTTGGATTTGGTTCATGGTGGAGGCCTGTGAACCTTGCCTGGGCTGTGGGCAGCAGGGGAGCCTGAATTCCGAAAGCTCCCCATCGTGGGATTGAACCAGATTGTGGGCAGGAGGTAAGGGGGGATGGCCGGGCAGGGACAGCAGGTCTCCAAAGGATACGGCGGCCTGGGCGTGGGTCGGGCGGCAGAGGTGGTGAGAGCAGATGGAACGCCAAGTACACTCGGAGGCAGAGCCGGCGGGATGTGTGGAAGCATCACTGAAGTTGGGTGTGAGAAGGTGGCGCCAGGGATGGCTTCGGGAGGCGGCACTGCTGGCCACGGCCACCCACAGGATCCCTGCTTCAGAAGCCGGGCAGGGTATGGGTGAGTTCGGCCAGTGACGTGGACAGGAGGGCACATAGCTATCCCCTTGGGTGGCAGCTTTGAGAGCCAGAGTGGTGAAGCCTCTGTCAGCCTGCGTCCTCGAGGGACTGCGTGAATGGGGGTGGGGCGCTGGCTGTCCTGCTCTAGTCCCTGGGATTCGGCTTGAGGGCTACCGCAGTCTGGCCCGGCCGGCCCTGACTGATACGGGCTCTGAGGTTTCCAGGTCTGGGCAGGACAAGGTCCCTGGTGACGGAAGCAGGTGAGCCTCCTGCAGGAGAGCAGGCTGAGGTTGTGGGATCTGGAGTTTTGCTGGGGACGTGTTTGCAGCAGAGTTGGGATTTGCAGGGGAGGGCCGGGCTAAGCTTTCACTGCTAGAGTCCTCTGCATGTACACTGTGAAGCCATAGTAATCCCACCGGCTGACGTGTGTCTGTACTCACCCTGTGCAGGGCCCTTCTGAACGAGTCTCACCTGTATTAACTTTGGGTCCTTGGGGCAGTATCAGGGAGGCTCTGTCCTCGCCCCATTTTACCCACCACGGAATTGAGGCACAGTGAAGCCAGGGCAATGCCGAAGGCCTCTGGCTCATCCTGCAAGGACTGGGGTTGAAACCCCGGGATCTCGCTCCAGGGATCTTACACACGACAACTTCACACCCGGCCCAAGAGCAGCGCAGAGGAAGGTGGCCCCAGGGCCCTGCCATGGGGAGCTACGGTGTCTTCCAGGCAGGCCACTTAGCTGAAGGCTGACCAGGCGGCAGCGAATTCCAGGCCCACCGCCACCCAGCCTCGCGACTGCAGCGGCCCAAGGCTCCTGTTCACTGACTGCACCCAGTTTCCTGCAGGTAGGGCTTGGGGGCCTTGGCTGTGTCTTTGTTCTTTGGATGCCCAGGGCCCATGTCAGGGGTCCGTGCTTCAGCGTCGACTGTTAAATAATCATAAGGAACTTTCCAATTCCATTATGGGGGAAATGGAGTTTCCAAAGACGAGGAGATGAGCCAGGCCCTGCCAGACAGGGCGCAGGCTTCTTTCCCGCAGAATGGCTTGCACTAGGCTGATGATGCCTCACGATAGTAAAGAAACAGGTGTTTCCGACCCACTTGAAAAATAATTTGAATAGCTGAGTAACATGAATATTTCCATGCTGCCTCCCATGTAAGGAACCTGCCTGCCTTATCTCTAGGGTGCTGATCCCTGCCTATGTCAGCATCACCCCAGGAGAGGAGATTCCTGGGCGCCCACGGCCATATCCCAGGGTTTGGCATAATGGGAGAGGCAGCGGGCCAGCCAGGACTGGCCACTTTGTTTCTGCATGGCCTCTTAAAATGATGCTCGCCATCTTATAAAATGCTTTGAAGGTTGAGTGAACTATGCTGAGAGTATCCAGCACACCACAGCCGCTCAGCAAATGCTCCTTCAAGGGTTAGGCTCACCTGCGGTCAGCTGTGGGGCTATGGGAGTGGGATGTTCATCTGCCCAAACCAGCGCTGTGTCATTTATACCCCTCTGGCTGAGCGGAAGAGTCCCTGCAGGTCCCTGCCTCACAGCCCTTGCTGTTGTTAGATGTCTTACCTTGGGCTACCTGGCAGGCCTCACAGGATACCTCATGGTGGTATTAATTTGCAATTCTTAATTTGCATAAGGGTTGAGGTAATAATGGATGAGTGTTTAGCTGCCATTTGTATTTCTTCTTCTGTGCAACCCTGTTTCTGTCTTTATGTGCTTTTCTATTGTGTCACTGTTATTTTCTTGTTGGTTTGTGAATGCTCTTTACATGTTCTGGACCAAAATCCTTTGTTGAGTTATGTGTGTGGCACTGAGTATATTACTGTCTTTTCACTTTCTTTCTGGTGTCTTGTTCTTTTTTTTACCATAATCACTTAAATATCTTTTGCATCAAAATCTCAGCTCCATTTCGTTTCCTTGTAGATATTTCACCAGGCATTTTTTTAAAAAATAAAGAGAATACATGCTGGATTATAACGAACAGAAGTTACTACCTTCATGGAGCTAAACGGATCAGTCATTTTGCTATGGTTGGTGGGTTGTGTGGCTTGCTATGAAATCCTTACCCAATCTGAGGTTATAAAAATAGTTTTCCTTTTTTTCGTTTTAAAGTGTTGTCTTTCACATTTAAAGCACTAAATTACCTAGATGTGAGTTTTTGTATCTGTTGTGAAGAAGGCAACCAGTTCGTTCTCACGTGTACCATAACCATTTTCCCAGCATCGTTTATGAAGGGAGACCTTCCTCCTGGTGCAGACCTGTGGCCCACCCTGCTGGGGTCATTTCTTTATGTGGTTGCATCCCTTTCTGGGCACTCTGTTACTTTCCATTGGTGATAGTGCCCATCCCTGCTCAAAACCACCTACTTTAAACATATTATAACTTTACAGAAATGCTTGTGATCTAAAAGGGCAAGTCCTTCTGACTTGTTCCTTGCTCACTAACTGATTAATTTAGCAAATATTTACTGAGAATTTGCTAAGTGCCTGGCTTGGTCCTAGGCTCTGTGCAATCCATCCATGAATAAAACAAATAAAAATCCCTTCTCTTGCTCAGGAAGAGGCAGGAAAAAAATCATAATAAATAAGTAAATTAAATAGTATGCTAGAAGTCATTAAGTTATACAGAAAATAAATAGAGGATGAGTGGGATGGGGAGAGGGGTGGGAAGTTAGCAATTTTTAAGTTTTATAATTCTTATACCATAATACATAATTCTATGTTTTTAAATTTTATGATTTACATACAATAACATGCACTGCTTTTAACTCTACCATTTGGTGAGTTTGGGTAAGTTTATGCACCTGCAGAGCCACCCCACACTCAAGACATGAAGCATTTCCGTCACCTCAGAAGCCTCTGCATCCCTTCCCTGTCCGTCCTCCCCCAGCCTCAGGCACATGCTCTGGGTCACCCAGGTTAGAATTATCCTTCTGGGATTTTCTCTACACAGACCCATGCAGTATGCACACTTTGGTGCCTGGCTTCTTTGACTAGCATGCTTTTAGGATCCATCTGGGTCTGTGCACAGGGAGTTCCCCGTTTTCACTGCCGACCAGGACTCTGTTGTATGGAGGGACCACATTGTTTTGCTTATTCACCTGTTGATAGACATTTGGGCTGTGCCCAGTTTGGGACTATTGCGAATAAAAAGCCTTTGTGCACAAGTCTTTGCATAGACATGTTCTGGATTGTATAGTGTGTTAGTCCACTCTCACACTGCTATAAAGAACTGCCTGAGACTGAGTAATTTATGAAGAAAAGAGGTTTAACTGACTTACAGTTCTGCAGGCTGTATAGGAGGCATGGCTGAGGAGGCCTCAGGAAACTTACAATCACAGTGAAAGGGCGAAGTGGAAACAGGCACGTTTTCACATGGCAACAGGAGAGAAAAAGGGGGGGGGTGTGCTACACACTTTTAAACAACCAGATCTCATGCAAACTCACTAGCACCAGAACAACATGGGGGAAATCCACCCCCGTGATTCAATCACCTCCCACCAGGTCCCTCCCCCAACGTTGGGGATTACAATTCAAGATGAGATTTGGGTGGGGACACAGAGTCAAACCACGTCCTATAGTTAACATTGTACGAAACCGTGAGCCTGTTTTCCAAGGAGATTGTCCTCTTTCACGTTCCTGCAGTCAATGCTAGAGAGTTCTAGGTGCCCCACATACTGCCCCATGCTGGGCGTTGTCGATCTGTTTAGCCTTAGCTGTCCAGAGGTTGTGCAGACGTGTCTCAGTGTGGTCCCCATTCGTATTCCTGGATCACCCATGCTGTTGAGCCTCCTTCCATATGTTTATTACTCATTGGCATCTTCTCTTTTGTAAAGTTTCTGTTCCAATCTCTTGCTTATTTTAAAGTTTTTTGCTTTCTTATGATTGAGTTGTGTGTATTATTGGGTTGAATTTCTTCACACATTCTGAAAGCAAGTCCTTTGTCAGACATATGTAATGCAAATGCTTTTTCATTGTCTCTAGCTTGTCTTTTCACTTTCTTAGTGGTATTTTTCAAAGATCAGAAATTTTATTATTTTACTGAAGCCCAATTAACTTTGTCTTTTATGGTTTGTGTTTTACATGTTTGATCTCATAAATCTTTGCTTGACCAAGATGTAACAAAGCTTTTCTCCTATGTAATCTCCTAGAAGTTTCATAGGTTTAAGTCTTACATTTAAGTCTAATGATCTATTTCGTGTTAATTTTGTTCTGATGATCTATTTAATGTTAATTTTGTATATGGTGTAGATTAAAGATTAAGGTTCATTTTTTTCTTTTCCGTATAGATGTTAAATGTGTTTCAGCACTTTTTAAGAAGACACTATTTTTTCCCTATTGAATTACCTTGGTATGTTTTTTGAAAATCAGTGGACCATACATTTGTGGATTTACCTCTGGACTGCATGCTGTTTTATTAAACTACATGCTTATCATCACGCCAATACCATACCATCTAGCTTACCGCAACTTTATGATGTATTGAAACCAGGTTGAGTGAGTCTTTCAAATATGTTCTTCTTCATCAGCATGGCTTTAACCATTTGATGTCTTTCACACTTCAACATAATTTTTATTATCAATTTGTCAACTTCTATTTTTAAAAAGCTGCCTGGGATTACATTAAATTGATAGATTAATTTTGAGGACATCTTAATAACAACGGATCTTCTCACCTGTAAACTCAGTATATCTCTCCATTTATTTGGGTCTTTAATTTATTTCAGAAATGCTTTGTAGTTTTCAACCTACAAATCTTGTACATATTTTATTAGGTTTGTCCTTAAGTATCTTACCTTTTCACTTTCTAATACTTTTGAAAGTATTTTATTCCATTGTGAATGGTATTTTAAAACTTCAGTCTCTAATTTTAAGTTGCTAGTATATAGAACTACACTACACCTTTCATATCCTGTGACTGCTAAACTCATGGGCTGGTTCTAGACGCTTTCTTCATGTATTTTCTTTATTGCACTGGCTAGGACCCTCAGGGGTGAAGGTAGAATCCTTGCTTTGGAGAAGGTATTTCTTCTTTCACCATGAGGTATGATATGATCTGCAGGTTTGTTTTTCTAGATGCCTCTTATCAGGTGGAGAAGTTGCTATGTATTCCTAGTTTAATGAGAGCATTTTTAATGAACAGATGTTGATGTTTGTCATATGCATTTGTTTTCATGCATCTATTCAGACGATCTTATCATTTCTTTTTTTTTAGTCTGTTGATGTAGTGAGTCATGTAGAATGATTTTCAATGTTGAGCTAACCTTGCATTCTTGGAAGAAATCCACTTAATCATGAAGTTTTATCACACATACCTCATCATTTTTACTAGATTCCATTTGGTAATATTCTGTTAAGAAGTTTTATACTTGTGTTCATGAAGGATACCAGTCTGTAGTTTTCTTTTCTTATAATATATTTGCCTGGTTTTGGTGCCAGGTATCATAAAATGAGTTTGGAAGTGTTTTCCCTACCTCTCTTTTTCTGAAGGAGCTTGTGGGGGGGTTGTTATTATTTATTTTAAATGTTTGTCAGTGTTCTCAAAGGAGTTTTCTTTGTGGACACATGTTTAATTAAATTCGACTTCTTTAATTGATATAGTACTATTTAAAGTAAGTTTTATTTTATAATAGTTTTAGATAACAGAAAAATTGCAAAGATAGTAAAAGAAGTTTTCATAAACTCCACGATCAGCTTCCCCTATTATTAGCATCTTATATTAGTATATGATGTATGTCACAATTAATGAACCAATATTTATACATTATTATGAACTAAAGTCCATATTTTATTCATATTTTCTTAGTTTTTACCTAAAGCCTTTTGTTTCTTGCTAGAATCCCATTCAGAATCCCATATTACTTTTAGTTGTTATGTTATGCTCTTGTGACAATTTCTTAAACTTTCTTTGTTTTGATGACCTTGATGAATTTAAGGAGTGCTGGTGAAACGTTTTGTAAAATGTCCCTTAATTGGATGTATTTGATGTTTTTCTCATGGCTAAACAGTGTCAATGGGTTTAGGGAGGAATACCACAGTTGTGAGGTGCTCTTCTCGTCTGTGGTTCAAGGGTTCACAGTGTCAACAGAGCTCATCACTGCTGATGTTGACTTTGGTCACCAAAAAATTGCCCCTCCCCCTTCCATACTCTGCTTTCTGGCAAGAAGTCACTGTGCACAGCTCACAGTTAAGGAGCGGGGAGCCATGCTCTCCTCCTGAGGGCAGAGTAGCTCCATAACTTATTTGGAATCCTGCCTGGAGATCTGCTCATCTCTCCCAGTATCTGATCATTTTATTCCTATCAGTGTAAACTCATGGCTGCTGGGTAGCGCCTTATTTTGTTGTTTAAATTTTTCTGGTTTTAGCCATTGGAAGCTCTTTCACTTGACTCCTGTGTTCCTTTGACACAGCCTCAGTTGTGTGTGTGTGTGCACATGTGTGTGCATGCGGTCCTTTTCTGAGCACTTTCTCAGTTTCTAGCACTACAAGGTGCTCCAGACTCATCTTGGATCATTCTTTACACAGGCTTAGAATCACCCATTTCCCTGAAGAGCCCTGGTTCTTTTCATTGGAGAGCAGTATTAGAAACCAAAAATGGGACCTGCTGTTACTGGGGAGTCATTGCTTCTCAGCCCTCTCAGCTGGCAAAGCAAGGAAATATGCATGCATAGCAACCTGTGTATATATACGTATCTTTACATATTTCTATATATAACCCCCTGTATCTGTACGAAGCTGGACATGAGTTCACATTGAGGTCTATTCCTAAGCAATTATCACATGGATCATTCTAGCCTCCTCCCCTTGCTTATCTGTAACCTCTCACCCCATCAGACAGAAATCTGTCTCCCACCATCTGCTATCCATTACTGAATTGTGCAATTCCTGTATCCATGCTTAGTCCATTTTGATAAACTATCTTTCAACTCTTGTATTTCATCAAAGCTGCTCAACTCATTGACATGAAGTTGTTCATTACATTTCCTTATTATGCTCTTCATGTCTGTAGGGTCTGTAGTACTGTCTCCTCTTTCATTCATGATATTGGCAATTGGTGTCCTCTCTTTGTTTCTAGACCAAGTGCAAATACAGATTAGGTGGAGAGTTGAATGTCACCAGGGTTGGGGTGTTATAACTGAGTGTGCTAAAATGAGAGAAGGGTAAGATGATTGAAAGTGTACGTATGTGTGTTTGTGTGAGGGAATGAGGGCACGAAGGGGGTGGGGGTAGTAAAGGTGCATGAGGGAAATGAGGGTGTGAAGGGGGTGAGGGCCAGTAAAGGGGTGATGGGCATAAAGGATTGTGAGTCCCAGGACAGTCATGTTGCTGGGGTGAGTACTTGCTGGGATGAGATGGAAAGACGTGAGGCTCTAAGTCTTGAAAGTAAGACTCTGTAAGGTGTGCCTTTTATGGCAATGGGAAAATCTACGGCATTTTCAGGGAGATGAGATACTGAAGGAGTGAATGGCTGTATCAGAGGAGAAGAGAAGGTCAAGGAACCAGTAGTCCAGCTGGTGCTGAGCTGGAATGTCTGCTCTAGGCACCATCCACAGAGATAGAGATACACAGGACACATGTAACCATCCAAACCCTGGTGGGGATGGAGAAAGGGCTGGGTCTGGTGTGTTTTGGATCTTAACTTGGCCATTTACCAGGAGAGTGACCTCAGAGGGTTCTTGGACATATTAAATGAGGTACAATACCTTGTGTGGTGCCTGGCACAGAGTAAGGACTCAAAATAGGCCAGGCACAGTGGCTCACGCCTGTAATCCTGGCACTTTGGGAGGCTGAGGTGGGAGGATTACTTGAGCCCAGAAGTTTAACACCAGCCTAGGCAACATAGTGAGACACTGTCTCTACAAATAATAATAAAAATTAGCCATGTGTGGGGGCATGTGCCTCTAGTCACAGCTACTCAGGGGGCTGAGGTGGGAGGATTGCTTGAGCCCAGGGGGTTGAAGCTGCAGTGAGCTGTGACCATTCCACTGCATTCCAACTGGGTCAATATAGTGAGACCTCGCCTCCCTGCAAAAACCCAAAAAAACTAAACAAACAAGAAAAGGACTCAAAATATTTGAATCCCTCAGTAAAAATAATTAAGAACTTTTTGATGTGTTTCCTTCCTGTCTTCTATTGGTGTCCGTTTTCATGGTAGGCTTTGTACGTCATTTTTCAACAATTTTCCTCCACTCATGATCTCGTCACATGGCACCGCTATCTGATGAAACATTACACAGTCATGCTTTAGTGTTTGTATCAGTTTCACCCCATCAGGGAGAAATCTGCCTGCTATAACAAGGTGCCACAAACTGCGTGACTAAAACAACAGCAATTTAACATCTCACAGTTCTGAGGCTGAAATGAAAGTGTCGGTGGAGCTCCCCCTGGGACTCCTAGTAGAATCCTTCCATGGTGGTGACCTCGTCCATCCTCCATGCTCCTCGGCTTGCAGCTCTGTCACTCCAACCTCTGCCTCCACCTTCCCATGGCCATCATAGGATTGAAGGTGTGTGTGTGTGGCCTTCTCCCTCTGTCTCTCTTTCTGAATCTTCCCTCTGACAAGAACACCAGGTATATTGGGTTAGGCACTACCTCACTCCAGCATGACCATCGCCAACTGAACTAGTGGCAGCCACAGCAACCCTATTTCCAAATCAGGTCGCATCCTGAAGTCTGTGAGGGAGGGGTCAGCATGTCAACATATGTTTTTGGGGAGCACAATTCAACCCATAAGGGTATTCCACCAAAAGCAGAAATAAAAATAGGAGTGACAATAGACAAATGTAAGACTGACAACATATTGATGATTGTTGAAGTGGGGGTGAGCACCTGGAGAAATTCCATAATAACATGGTTTTTAAAATCATGCTTTCAATGGACATTTAATGGACTGGAAAATGTTAAGTGCAAAAGGTAATATACAAAACTATGCATACTATGGAAGCCTGTATAGAAGAAATAACCCCAAAATGTTCATGGCAGTTTTCTCTAGGGAGTTTGGGGGCTTGTGGTTTTCTTCTTTTCACTTTCCACTCTTCTGTATTTTTGCAAAATTCTCATATTGGACATAGAGTGTTTGTACAATCATCAAATAATTTTGTTTTAAAAAAAATCAGACTGCCTCTCTGCTCATCCATTTCTATATCATTCACCAGACAGACCCCTCCTGGGGGCCATGCTTGCCCTGACCGGGTCGGCACCGTCCCAGCAGGGGGGCCGGCCACACCCACACCATGACAACCGAAGTCTCTGCCAAATCTCAGTGAGCCACAGTGGATCTAAGTGGCTGTGGTGGAGGCAGGAGAAGATGGCCCTCTTTAGAGTATTTGAAATCATTAATGGTTTTGATAAAAACCAACCCAGGAACCTCCAACAGGCCTGGTGGGAGTGTAGTGAGTGGGCCTGGGAGGGCTCGCCAGGCTAGGAGGGAGATGGAGGCAGACACGGAGTCGCGGGTGCAGCAAATGTGACCCACTGAGCTTCTCTCCCTGGAGGGGCGGGGGCAGAAGGGCCCGGGTGCCAGGAGAAGGCAGCAGAGCTGCTGCAGGGACCCGCGGGTGGTGAGGGGCTGCTCAGGGTGCTGGAAGCACTGAGGGGCAGAGGCAAGAGGGCTGGGGGCCTGGGGAGCACCGGGCAGTGAGTGCCAACACTCCTGAGCACTAATGCCCCTGGGGCCAGGCAGGAACCTTGGAAGGGGAGGTGCGGGACCTGGGATGGGCCCGGCCTGCAGCCTGCTCCTGGCTGTGGTGGCCACTTCCTGTTCCTCTGGGCACCCCCGCTTTCCCTCCAGTGACAAGGTTGACGGAGACTGTCTCCCGGGGCTCCTGCGAGGATAGAAGCTGCTGTGCTTGGAATGGGCTGGGCATCCCCAGTGCAGAGGGAGGACTCAGCAAAGACAAAGATGGAGGTGAAGGAGACGATGATGAAGCTGAAAATGCTGCTGCTGCTGCTGCTGAAAAGAGGATAAGAATGATGATGATGCTGGGAGGAGTGGAGGGGGAGGGGGGGAGGTAGGGGAGGAGTGGGGAGGGTAAGGAGGAGGGGGAAGAGTGGAGGGGAGGAGGGGAGGGGGAGGAGGAGGGGGAGGAAGTGGGAGGAGGAAGGGGAGAGGAAGGAGGAGGGGAGGAGTGGAGGAGGAGGGAGAGCAGGAGAGGATGGTGGCACTGATGAACAGGATTCTGGGGCTGGGCCGGGTAGCCTGGGTCTGTGCCCCGCCCAGGAGGGCGGATGGGCAGGCCGACAGGCGGATGGCTGGGCAGGTGACAGGTGGGCAGTCTGTACTAGGTTTTGGGGGAAATTTCTGGAAGGTCCCTCATAGGAGGCGCTGCTCCTTGCAGACTGGGCAGATGGGTTAGGGGTGAGCTGCATTTTGATTGGGTTGAGTTAAAATGAATGGAAATAAATTTGGATCTGTATTGAGTTGGATCTGGACTGAATTGAAATGAAATAAACTGAACTGAATTAAATTTGAGGTGAGCTGGCCTAGGCCAGGCTGGATGGATTTGCTGAAATGGGAGCCTCAGAGTTGAGTTTGGAATCTAAGAGCGTTCCAGCCCTTAGTAATCCTCAGCTGCGTGGGACTTGGCCCTTCCTGATGCGATGGCCTGGGGCAATTGTTCTGTTTGTGGGGTTTGCTGCCAGCCTCACCTCTGTACCCTCCCTGGAACCCTCCCACCCCACCTTCAGTGAGCGGTGGAAGCGGCAAGGCCCCCGTACGTGGCCGTGGTAGTTGTAGGGTCTGTGTGCCTGCATGCGGATGTGTGGGGCTGTGTGGGATGTGTGGGGGGTTGTGCATCCGTGTGGGGGAGGCACTTGTGAGCAGGTGTACCTGTCTGCATGCCAGCAGGGGCTAGGAACCCCTTCTTCTTCTGAGGGATGAATACCAGGGCCTCTGCATTTTGGAGGCAAACCATGGCTTCTCTCCCTTCTGGCCCTGGTCTATGAGCCCCTGTTTACCCAGGGCCAGGTTCTCTCAGTGAATCCTTTAAGAGGGTGGATCCTCCCAGGGGAGCCTCTGAAGCGGTCGCCAAGTCCACCCTGTGTGCCATAGGTGCTCCCCACAGCCAGCGGGCGCATGAATCCTCCCCGGATGGGGAGGGAGGTCACTGCTTCTCAGAGCCCAGACTGGCTCCCTGCCACTGCCCTGCACTGGCTGTGGTTCAGCTCCGAGACTGGTGCGGAGCCCGTCCACACCCTGGACAGCTCCTGCACATGACCGGGCTCCACTGGGGGTGGGCCGCGGGGGCTCAGGAGTTGCCAGCTCTGCCCTGCTCCCTCTCAGCTGGTGCCCTGGGCCTTGGCAGCCACAGAGGGCAGGGTCCTGGCTGTCTCACCCGGCTGGGCCCAGGAAGCTGTCACCTGGCTCCCCATCCAGCTCACATCCTCCTTAGAAAACAAGGCTGGAGGATGCTGGTGCTGTCCTCCAGGGGGCCTGAGAAGAGGAAGCCAGGCGGGCGGGGTGAGCCCCTGGGAAACAAGAGCCATCCCTGCTGTTGCTGGGGTCACCCCTTCCCGCCCTCTGTGAGCCTCCTGCCCCAGCCCCTCCCACGGAGGGCCCGGGAGGCTCCATCTCCAGGCAGCAGCAGCTGCTTTGATCATGGGGTCTCTTCAGGAATGGGAGGATCAGGGTTCCGCTGCAAGGGGCTGTGTGGGGGAGGCTGGGTCCTGGCCCTCTTTTCGCCTTAGTGCGCCCCCCATCCCAGGTCATCCTGGAGCCCCACCGTCCCCTCCAGAAGCGAGTCGCAGCTCCAGGTTGCTACAGAAACAGGCGAGCTCTGGCGTTAGCAGCCTCACAACCCTGGTTCCTCCTGCACCGCTGCCTTTGCGCCTGCCGGAGTTCTTGGTGGGTTCCCTGGGGGAAGGGAGGTAACACGTAACACAGATCAGCACCTGTGGGGCACTCCCAGCTCCCTTCAACTCAGACCGCCTGCTGGTATTTGCACAATTAGGAGGCCCACTTGCAGATGACAGAACAGGCCTGGAGAAGGAGAGCCGCCTGCCCAGCCACACATCTCCCGAGGGCAGGAGAGGACCTCCAGGCTGGCCTCAGTCTCCCTCGGCCGCGATCCCGTGGCCCCCAGGTCTCAGGGGCTCTGGGGTGCTTGGTGTTTGGGCTGCAGGAGATGCTTCTGCTGTGTGACCCCCCTCCCACTGCCCGGACTGACCCCCCTCCCACTGCCCAGACTGACCCTCCTCCCACTGCCCGGACTGACCCCCCTCCCACTGCCCGGACTGACTGTGTCACTCTGGGTGAACCTCTCCCAAGCTGGGCCTCAGTTTCCCCATCCAAAAAATAAGAGGTTGCCCATACGACGGGAGGGCGCCCGTTATGATGCCCGGGTCCCTCCCAGGCACCCCCCATTTTGGTGCCCAACACTCTTCCTTTCCCCCGCTCCTGCATCTGCCTCTGCTCCTATCTCTCCCCGTGGGGTGACCCTCCTTCCGCTAAGGCCGGCAGCATCCTTGGTCCAGCCTCCTGGGGGGAGCTCAGTGCTGACTCCAGGGGCAGGGGCTGCAGGGGAAGGGGTGGGGAGTGCAGAGCTGAGGCCTCCACAGGGGCTTCAGTGCAGGGCCTGCCCCAGGTCAGGGGAGCAGCCCTCGGTGCTGGCCAAGATCGGGGGGCCCAGCTGTCCCTGCGGGGCAGGCCTGGCCCACCCAGAGAGGCCCCACCCCACGTTAGCTCTCAGGTCTGCTCCTTTCCTTGGAGTCCCTGAGTTCTGAATCCAGCCCCCCTCCCCCGTGCTTGGCAAGGGGGGCTCCAAGGAGAGGGAGGAGGGGTGGACAGGAGGAGCACGTGATGCCGTCACGGTGGGGGCTGGACATTTGTCACGACCGTAGAAGGTGCCACACAGACGGGGAGCCCTCGTGCCGACCGTGGGCTTCAGCTAATGGCGACGCGTCCATATGGCCCCTCAGTGCGGCAGACGCCCCCACCGCACCAGTGCACGAGGCACTCGCGGAGCCTGTGGGGCGGGAGGTGTGCGGAGCTGCGTGCTGTGCTTCAGGCCCAGTTTCCCTGTGACCTAAAACTGCTCTAAACACTGAAGTCCATTAATTAAGAGGGGGGGGAAGGGTGAGGGGCAGGACAGCAGTGAGGGTGCGGGTGGCTCTGGAGGAGGGTGGCTGACCTCGGAACCTGTCCCCATCCCAAGGCCATTTGCAGCTTGTCCCTGAGAGAAGCACAGAATGGCACGGTAGCAGCAGAGATGGGGGCAGGGTGGGGGCAGCCGCCTTCTGGAACAGTCAGCCCAGGGCTCTGGACCCCTTCGGCCTCCAGAGGCCCCATCTGGCATCATGGGAAGAAGAGAGGGTGGGGAGGGGAAGTTGGGAGTTCTGCCTGTCAGTGTGGGGGGCTTTCTGTAGCTAATGGGGGCGAGGCCCAGGGTGGGGACTTCAGGGAGAGCTCCCATCACTGTAAGGGATGTTGGGACCTGGCTGGGTTCTGTCAGTGCCAGGCACGTCCCCACCAAGGATCAAACTGCCACCTGAGACCTGGAGAGGAGGGCCGACATGCCAGCCCCACGGGAAGACGGGCCGCGGGGCTGGGCCCCATCCTTTGGAATCTCCCAGGACTCTCCTGCCTCCCTGGGACCAGCTAAGGACAGGAGCCGCTGCCAGAGCTATTACCGGTGGGCGCGGTGTGCAGAGACAAAGGCACTGATGATCTCAGGTTTCTTTAAATGCACCGAGGAACTCAGAGGAAGTGGGCTGCATTTCTCTCTAATCTGTGATTCTGTCAACTTCATTTTTTTCCCCTCTTCCCTGTAATTATCCCATCGGTGGGTGAAAATAAACTCCTGCAAGGAGACAGCCTCCCAGAAGGCGAGATGCCGAGCGGTGGGAGGCCAGGCAGCAGGTGGGTGGGGAGCCGTGGCTGGCGGCTTCCTGGGCTTCCTCGCACCCTCTGCGGTTTGGGAGCAACTCATAGAGTGACCTATTGTCGTGGCTCGCCCAGGACCGTCCTGGTTTTAGCACAGAAAATCCCATGTCCCAGGAAACTCCCCTAGTCCCAGGAGAATGGGGAGGGTGGCCCCTTACACACAGGCTCCTGAGGGTGTCTGGGCTTCCCAGGACAGCTGGCTGGGACCCCACGCCCCGTGTCTGCCTCCTCCGGGCGCCCCCACCACAAGCACACCAGCCTCATGTGACTGGCACTCTTTCCACCTCCCTTCCCTGCAATTCCAGGGCCTCCCCTCAACCTCTTCCCTGGGGACGTCCACGTGGACTCTCTTCCCCAAGGTCCACCCTGGGACTCCCCCGAGCACCACACACTCAACCAATGACCCTCTGAGCCCCCAGTGTCCCCACCTGCTACTCTGCTGGACAGCAAGTGAGTTACACCTTGTGCTTTGGTTTTCCCATCTGTAAAGTGGGAATCATGGTGAAATCTAGCGGTGGGGGTTTTGCAGGGCTTCAGCTAACGAGTAAATCTAAGGTGCTTAGACCCAGTGCTTGTTACGAACAGATAGCGATAAAGATCGCTATTTCTATCACCTCTGCATGTCAAAAGCCACTTACTTCCCATAACCACTTAGAGATTGTTAGTGGAATCTGCATTTCACAGATGAGGCACAGAGAAAGGAAGGAACTTGCTGGGAGGACTGGACCAGTCAGTGCCCACGGCCGGCGCTGCCTCCAGCTCTGTGGACTGTGAAGCCAGGATGACCCTCTGCTGAGGCGCCTCTCGTGTGGGCGTATAATCATCCCGATCATCATTTCTGGCAAATCAAAAACCCAGCACAACCCCACATTGAAGCTCTCAGAAATGTCTCTTAATAGCTCTGATTAAAGAAACACACATGAGCAGGTTAGAACCAGAGAGAATTGATTGTGCTGGGTAGCGGTTAAGCTGTCTCTGTGTTATTTAGCTCTTAAACAAGGAACTCTGCTTTGGAGAAAATATTAATTATTTCTCTTTTTCCTGGCTCGACTCTTAATTGCTATTTTGCGTGGGTGGAGTGGGAGCCTTTTGAGGTGAGGGAGGGAAACTGTTCTCCCCTAAATGGGTCAAACTGCCCTGGGGTTATGATCTCTGCCTCAGGTGCAGAGACGTCCAGTCACATGGCTTACTTGGTGGGGAAGCCCCCTTTCTCCAACCTAAAGCCCCAGGTTGGGAGGTGCAGGCTAGGGGATGAAACACACGCTCCCTCTGCTATAAATGTCCAACCAACTCTCCAGGGCTGTCCTGGTGTTTAGCGGCAGGCAGGCTGCAGCCCCAGCGTCGGTGACTGTGATGTCCACAGGACAGTCCTCCTGGCATTCCTTGACCATCCCTTATCCAGAGATGTGTCCTCCACCCTAAGTCAATCGCTCGCTGACTCC
Organism: Homo sapiens; assembly: GCF_000001405.40. NCBI lineage: Eukaryota > Metazoa > Chordata > Mammalia > Primates > Hominidae > Homo > Homo sapiens. The sequence goes on from NC_000004.12 coordinate 3,705,550, forward strand.
CAGCCTGCCACCTTTCCACTGGGTTATTGGAACGGCCTCTGAGGGGGCCCTCCTGCCGGTCTTGGCCCATGGGCTGCCAGCGGGCTCCAGACCAAGCCTCAGGCTGTGTGGCTGACAATGGGATGGCTGGGACAGTGCTTGGGTCCTTCCAGTCTCGCCCCCGCGAGGCCTGGATTGGAGGTGGGGCCCGGAAGCAGCTCCCATCTGACGCGCCACGTCCTCGCTCTTGCTGCCTGCCTGCTGGGAAGGCAGCCTCCAGAAATGTGCTGCTGACCCCATTTCCTGCATCCCCATCTAATGTGACCTCTTTTGAGCACCTTTTGTAAGCCACAGCCCCCACCCTACACCTCTCAGCCCCTTCCTGTTTCATTTTCCTCCGTGGCACAGAGAAGCGTCTACACAATGGCCCTCTTTTCACCACTTGTCCCTCTTGTCTCTACCTGCCCTCTCCACTAGGACAGAGGCCCCAGGTGCGGCAGCTTCCCTCTGTCTGGTGGGCTGCTGTGAACTAGAGCAGTTCCTAGGGCAGCAAGCGGTTCCAAGCGTCCAGCATGAGATTTGAGCCTCCTCACAACCTCGGCCATGTGAGGGCACATTCACCAGCTCAGGGATCAGGATGTGGACACATCTTGTTAAAGCCACCATGTGACCGTGTCCCTGAAGGACGGCCAGCGACCTTCTGTCAGTTCCTCAGCACAGGTGGGCCCCGTGCTGGGCTGGGTGCCTCATAGCCCTGCCCCAAACCCAGGGGCCTCATGGCCACCATGTTCCTCACGCATCTTTCCCTTCCCGAAAAGCTGTGAGCCCTGATTGCCCGTCCCTGACACTGGTGGTGGAGGACCCAGGCCTTCCAGGGGTCAGGGTGGGGCAGGACTGCTGGGGGTGGTCCCCTAACAGCCTCCGGAAACTTTTGTCAAAGGGAAGGAACTTTGACGGTGGCCACTGAGCTGGTTTAGAGAGGCCTCCAGACCCCCGCTTCACACCTGGAAAGCAGTGATGCCTCCCTACCCTGTGAACACAGGGGCCCTGCCATCCGTGCGGGGGTAGACAGGAGTTTCCCTGCCCACCTCACTGGGCCAGATCCCCTCCTGGTGGCTTCTGGAGATGCTCCCGTCCTGGCAGTGGCTCCAGGTAGGAGCCACTCCCCATGCTGGACACCCAAACCTCCCCAGCCCATCTCGGGGTGTGACCAAGCTCTGTTGCTCCCAGCCCATCCCAGGGTGTCACCAAGCTCTGCTGCCCGACAAGTCTGGGGCCATTGCCAGGCCTGGTGGCCTTGATTTATTGGGAAGAAACATAATACTTTGGAAAATTATTTCCTTCTTTCTTTTTTCCTTTTTTTTTTCTCCAAAGAAATTGGAGAAACCTGTGGTTTGCAAATCTGCTGACCCTGCAGGAGGCTTGGATGGCACCAGCCGGTGTTAGGAAAGCCTGGGCCGAGACAGAAAACACCTAGAGGCAGATCCAGCCCATTTCGGGGAGAAAGTGGGTCACTGTGGGGCTGTCCAAGTAAACTGTGGGCTGGGGAGATGGTGAGCACCCACCATGGGGTACAGGAGCAGACACCACGTCCCTCCTTCAGAAAGGGGTCCAGCCTCACCCTCAGTGCCCATCCAGCTCCCAACATGGTGCCCGTGGGCATTCTGGGTCCCACTGTCCGTGCCTATTCTGGAGTGAGGTCGGCGCCACCTGCCCTGGCCTCAGTTTCCTCATCTGTCACATGGAGCTCCTGCCTGGTTAGGAGAGCTCTGGGTGCTGCTGGCTAGGGTGGACCACAGTCCAGGGACGCAGGGTGCGAGGATGTGCTGGACTCAGGGGCTGTGGCAGTGCATTGGTTTTGGCACAAATGGCCCCAGATAGTGATGGGGGGACTGCACCCCACAAGCCATACCCAGCTTCCTCTGCCGCCACTCCTCTGGGCATGGGGCCTTGGATGCCATGAAGATGCAGGACGCTGAGTCGCTGCTGCAGAGCGCTTCCTGGCCACTCCCTCCCTTCCTTCTCCGTCTGTTTTCCAGCACCTCCTCCTCTGTCCATGCTTAGAGGGTCAGTCAGCTGTGTCCCCGGCCTCTGCTCCCTGTGCACCTGCCTCCTTCCATCCCAGCGCTGACCACAGCCTGGAGCTTCAGGCCCAGTGTCTATCCACACCCTGGACATTCCCCGGAGGCTGCAGGACCTGGAAGCTCAGCTACACTCTTACTCACTCATCAGTGTGTTGGGCCGAGGGAGTCCAAGGCTGCAGGACCGCCACATCTGGAATATCCATGGAGGGGGTTCTGGAGGAGGCTGGAGTGTCTGGGAGCAGAATGTGCCAGTGGCGGAGGGTTGTGTCCAGGGTGGTTCTGGTCATACCGGGCAGAATAGCAGAGGGCAGAGAGCTGAGGCTGCGAGTACAGCGTGTCTGGAGATGGGGTGATTAGATCCATCCAACTTAGGTCCTGGCCGATGGTAGTTCCTGCAGGCAGGGGTGGCTGGCAGATGAGTGCCTGGTGTGGGGCCTCAAGTGTGAGCTGTGGCCAGCGTGAGCCAATTTAGGAGCTAAGAGCGAGGCCTACGGGAGGTACTTCTGCCTACTCTCTCAGAGCACACTGAAGCTGTAGGCTTTGTACCCAGGCCTCTGGCTCCCAGTACAGGCTCTCTCCGCCCCACGCCCACGCACCCTCCCTCCTCCAGCCACTGCGCTGGGGGCTCTGCTGGCTACACACTGGCTCCATCTGCTCTGGGCTGCATGGCAGGAATTTTTTGGATGACTCCTGTGAGGCAGCAGTCCCTTGGGGAGCCTGTGGTTCCCCCGCCTCTCTCCATTCTCACTCCCGAAATAGAGCCTGGCCCCGCCCTAGGGGACTGGGGGCTGGTGATGGGGACAGCCAAGCCAAGGGCCATGTGGTTGCCTCCGCGGACGCCCACTTCCTCCTGAAACCATCGTGGAGACAGAACGGGGAGGTGGCCAGGGGGCCGGAGCTGCCTCTGGCCTCTGCAGGGTGGAAGGGCCCCCAGAAGTCTTTCTGCCCTCCTGGGACTTGGTTCCTCTTCTTTAAAGGGGAAGGTGATATTCCCCTGTCCACCCTGAATTTACTGCAGAAGGGGTGAACGAACCCACCAGCACTGAAGGGATGGAGGTCCGCAGGGCTTCACATCAGGGAGGGACCAACAGGCCAGCCCTTGCAGATACCCCAGCCCGCCTTCGCTCTGGAGCACTCGGCCCACTAGAGTTTCCCCTCACCACCTGCATCCCATCCCATTCTGCAAGACTCAGTGCAGGATGTCGCAGGTGCTACCTGGAGCCTCTGACCCTGGGGTCTCAAAACCAGGATGGAGCCTCCAGCATCCCTGTGTGCCCCAGAAGGACACCAAGCCGGCAGAGAGCCATGCCCAACCCTCCTGCTGGGACTGCACCCTCCAAGGACCTCAGCCAGTGCTGGTGGCAGCGGGCTGGGCTGCAGGCCTCTCAGCCCCTTGTTGGGCCCTCCCATCCATCCATCCATCCATCCATCCAATTATTCAACCACAATCCACTCCCCCAGCCTTGCACAATCATTCCCCAGGCTACCTACCCACCCACCCACCTGTACATCCCCTCACCCATCCACTCACACATTCAGGCATATAGGATTTATCAGAAACCCACCTGCTCCACCTCAGACCAGCTCAGGTCCCAGGCATGCCAGCACATCTCCAGGCTGCCCGGACTTCCATGATTCACACATTCAAAGGTGAAAGCAAAGATCCAGGCCTCAGAACTGCTCATCACGTCACACTCTTGGATCCTAATTAATATCCAGACTTTGGCCGTGGGAGCCCTCTGTGAATGTGTGGCATGGGACTCCCACTGGGACATGGATTACAAGGGTTTCGCTGCTGGAATCAGCTACTGGGGATGGGGGGTTATGGTAGCCATTGAATTCTAGGACGGAAATGGAGGGAGCCTAGAGACGCCTGCTCTGACATATACGAGCTGTTGCCACTGACTTCTTAGGGCTTCCTTCCATGATATTTATTCAACAAGGAAGTGCTGAGGCCTGCAGTGCCTGGCTCTGGGCTAGGGGTGATGATTCAGCAGGAGCGACGTGTTCGGGACCACCTCCGTCATGGGGGTTGTTCAGGGAGGGGTGCTGCACTCTTGGCTGATTGTCCACACCACGGTCTAGGAGCAAGGCCGCACCCCAAAATGCTGTTTTGTGCTAAGAGGGACCTGGAGGACTGTGAAAAGGAGGCCCCTTCCCACAACCTCCCCAGGTCTGGATGCATTTTGGGGGTAACAGGAGGTGAGAAGGGCTCAAATTAATAATCGGTCTCTGTTTGGGGTTGTTTTGGCTGTCATGGAGTAGGTGAGGGGAGCTGCAGGTACTGTGAAAACCCACCGAGGACCTGGGCCAGGGCCAATGGAGCCCTCCTGGCAGGGGGACGAGCTTCCTGAAGGTCATGGTCAGGATTTCACGCCCCAGACACAAGGAAGCAGCCAGAATCCTCTACCGAAGGCTTGCGGACTCACAGCCTCGTCCGGAGCACTAGCGTGCTCATCCAGGGGAGGAGGCCCGGAGGCCTCCAGCCTTCCTGACCTGAATTTCATTCAACCAAGTTCCCCGCTCCAGGGTTTGCAGGGTGATGATTTCCTAACCCGGTTGCAGAACTTTGCGCTAATTTCTGGGACGCCTCGGGGCTGTCTGCTGCCTGGAAGTCAGAAGGACCAGGACTACGATCTCTGCTCCGCAGAGTCCAAGCTGTGTGACCTTGGGGGCGTGGCTTCTCCTCTCTGAGCCTGCTTTGGTGCTTTCCTCCAGAGAATTGGAGGAGAGAGCTGAGCGGCCCCACATTGCTGCCCTGTAACCATGTATCCAGCACTTGGGACACCCAGAGGGATCAGACTGGACCCATCCCTGCTTCTAGGAGCCCCACCTAGAACACTCACCCAGGGGGCAGAGAGCCGGGAAGCACCGGCCGGGAAGGCGGCTCGTCCAGACTCTGGAAGCGTCTGATCTTCTGAGGCTTCTGCCACAGTGGCCATCCTCTGACAATCCTGCCCACCCACCCCCCGCAGTGGGCTTGCCAGGCCCTTCCCGGCCCTGCTCCTGCCCTGTCCCGGGGAATCTGAGGTCTGCCAGGTTTCCATGGCCACAGCCTCTCTGCTCTGGAATTTGCTAGTCCAGCACACCGCGGTGGGGGAGTGGGAGAAGGCTGTGCCTCCTGTCAGGAGGCATGGAGGGAGGTCACGCCTGACCACGCTCCGCATTCCAGTGGAATTCTAACTCAGTGTGTGCGGGGAGGCACACAGAAGGTTCTGGTCCTCCTTGCGGGGGGCCTTCAGACACAGAGTGGCAGTGGGGACCCTGGAGTGAAGGGGGTCCTGCTGCGGGTTCGCTGTGTTGGTGGCGATGGCCACCCACCCTGATTTTGCAGGTGTGGGGCCTGGCTTGGAGGGGGCATGTGTCCAGGGTCACTCGAGGCCAGCCTGGCCTGTTCTTGCTCCTGCTCTGTGTCACTTATGGCATACCCAACCCCCCTTGCCAGCTCCTCAGCTGCAGCTCCTGGGGTGGCCAGGAAGCTTCCAGATCCACATCCCCTAGGGGTCCCACCAGGGTCTTCGTCGAGCTCCCTGTCTTCCTAGCACCACCCTCCACCGTGCTTCTCCCACGGCCCTGTCAGGCCTCTATCAGGAGCACGCAGCAGAGCAATTTGACATTTTGGGCAAAAAAAAACCGAGAAAATGAGCATCAGCAACATACTTGGTGATGGAGCCGGCTGCTCTGTCTCCCACATGCAAAGCCTGTGCTGTCTGCAGAGTTTGACTGGCCCGTGTGGAGCTGCTCCCTTCCACGTGGTCAGGAGCAGGCTTGAGCTTATCAAGGTCTGGGCATGCTTTGCTCGGTAAGAAAGAGGGTGGGAGCAGACCCCTCGGGCAGAGGAGAAGGAGACCCGCACAGACGCCCCGTCCCGTCCCCAGTGCGGCCGTCTTCGCCCTCTGTGGACCTTCTTGGCCGTGGATTGACTATTCAGAGGCTGCCTGCTCCTCCGCCCAAGGTCTGCTACACGGCGGGCAGGGATGTGTGAGGCTGGCTGTTTGTTCCGGTTTCCCCAGAGTCCAGGCAGGGCCAGGCCCACAGCAGGAGTTCTGACCTATTTGTTCAATGAATGAATGCAGGAATGAATGAGTGAGACCTTGTGCCAGCCCCCGGTGTTGGTGCTTTCAGACCACTCCCTCTCACGGCCCTTGGATGGGGCGTCGTTACCTGGCTCTCGACGTCACCAGTGGTGGAAGTGAGGTGGGCGTACCATGAGGAGTATCACAAAGTTGCCCCAAACCTGCTTTGAGCTATGACGGCAACACCGAGGCTTTTGCTTTAGGGGACACCCCAGAACTCAAGCATCCAACTGTGGTCATCCTGGGGCCACCAGGGGCGGGGCTGTCCAGGGCTGGCCCTGTCTACCCCGTCCCTACCCTGTGGGTCCTCGTCCCAGCTGGCCTCAGCCCAGTGCGCTCCCCTAACCAACGCAGCCCAGAAATCATACTGGGGTCTTCGGATGTTGTCTGTATAGGCAGTCCCTGAGCTGGGAAATGACGGGGTCATATTTGTGGACAACAAACTTCTTCCTCCTCACCCCAAACCAGAGCCTGTGGCAGGGAGAAGGACAGAGCCAGCCCACCCTGCCTCCACCTCCCCAACACCCTCTGCTTCTCCCCATGACCCGGCCACCTGGGGCACATCCTTGCCCTGGGGTGCCTAGCAAACTCCTACACAGACATCAAAATCCAGCAGGCCCCCCTCGACTCAGGGCAGGGACTAGGTCTTCTCTCCTCTGCTCTCTATAGCACAGGGAGGATGGAATATACTGAGGGACAGGATCCCCCCTTTACTGATGGGGAAACTGAGGCCACACCTAGCGCAACAATCTCCAAGTTGCAGAAACCTTGGTAGCTGGTGCTGGAATTTGGAGCCCCTAATTCCAAGCCTGCTGTGGTCCCTTCCCAACCATGCTGCTCGGTTGTATGTGCCAACCTGGCCAGGCCGTGGTCCCCCATGATCCCAACACATGTCTAGAGGTTGCTGTGCCAGTGTTTTGCGATGTGACGCACATTGGCAGTCAGCTGACTTTAAGGAAAGGAGATGGCCCCGCATAGCCTGCGGCAGCCTCATCCAATCCACTGGGGCCCTCGGAGCAAACTCTGAGCCTACGTGGAGGAAGCAGGAATTCTGCCTGGAGACTGTGGTGGAGAAGCCCTGCCTGGGTCTGCAGCCTGATCCGCAGGGGGATCTTGCCAGCCCCCACAACTGCGTGGGCTGATTCCCTAAAATACATGTCTCAACATGGACCTCTCTCCCATCAGCTGTTTCTCAGTGGAGAATGCTGACTGGCACATCAGCCGGGACCTCTCACAGTTGTGGGCCCTGTGACCCTCACCTTGCTCCCATCATCCTGTCCAGCCGCCCACTCCTCCCCCTCTGCCCCGGCCAGTCCCCACACCCAAGCGGAGTTCCAAGACGGTCCCAGCAGCACTGCCCGCTGCTGCCTCTGAGAGCACAGCCACTGCGGGGCCAGCGCAGCCACTGAGGCGATTAGAGTAGGGCAGGCCCAGAAGGCCAGAGTCGCCTGGTCACGGGGGCCACAAGACTTGGGGCAGAGGTCGAGAGTACAGGCCTTGGAGCTGGCCCCCGCCCAGGTTCAAACCCCGGCTCGGTCGCTTGCTATCTGCATGGCTTCCAGCACGTTCCCTCAGTCCTCTGTGTGCCCCTATAAACTACAGACGAGTGTCGCGGCGGCTACAAGCCAAGTGCCCAGAGCTGTGGCTGGTGTGTGGTATGTGTGTCCCAGGAATCTCAGGGCTGCAATGATCACTGTGCAAAGTCCCACTGAGCCGGGTTCAAAGCCCACACGCCCCTCACTCCCTGTATTCAGGGCTCTCAGGAAATAGAACCAATAGGACGGATATGTATAGAGAGATAGCAAGAGATTGATTGTCAGGAATGGGCTCACTGGACCCTGGAGGTGGACAAGCCCTGAGATCTGCAGGTGGCAAGCTGGAGACCCGGGAGAGCCAACGGTGCAGTTCTAGCCTGGAAGCTGGCAGGCTGGAGACTTAAACCCAGGAGGGGCTAATGGTTCAGTGCAGGCTGGAAGGCCAGCGAAAAACCAGCTCAGCCGTCAGGCAGCAGGAGCTCCCCTTACTCAGCCTTTCTGCTCTATTTGGGCCTTCAACTGATTGGCCGAGGCCAATCTGCTCTCCCACACTGGCGAGGGCCATCTGCTTGACTCAGTTTGCCCATTCAAATGTGAATCCCGTCCAGGGGCACCTCACAGACACCGCCAGAGTCATGTTGGACCAAATATCTGGACACATTGTGGCTCAATCAAGTTGACACGTAAAATTCACCACCACGTTCACAAACCCAAATTGAGAGCCGCTGCCGCCGCTGTGGGCCTCACTCTGCAGTGTTGCCTCAGTTTCCCTGGCTGCACAGTGAAGGGCACGCTGTGTGACTCCAGCACAAACCCCAGCACCCCTGGGATCAGCAAATGGCAGGAATGACTGCTCCAGCAGTGAGAGCTGAGGCCGGGGTCACAGCAAACCATGGACACAGACCCTGCTTGGACTGCCATGGCACTACCCCAGGCTCTGCCCAGCTCCTTCCCTATTCTGTGCTGCCTGGGCCTGTCCAGCAGTCTCGGTGTGTGTCGTGTCTGTGGGGTGTATGTGTGTGTCTGTGTGTGTGTGCATGTGTGTTTGCATGTGTCATGTCTGTGGAGGGTATGTGTGTGTGCATATGTGCGATGTGTGGATGTGTGGATGTGTGTGTGTGTCTGCATGTGTCTCTCTGTGTGTGTGCATGTGTGTTTGTGAGTGTGTGCCATGTCTGTGGAGGGTGTGTGTGCATGTGTGTGATGCATGGGTGTGTGTGTGTCTCTGTGTGTATCTGCATGTGTCTGTGTGTGTGTGTGCATGTGTGTTCGTGTGTGTCATGTCTGTGGAGGGTGTGTGTGTGCATGTGTGTGATGTGTGGGTGTGTGTGTATCTCTGCATGTGTCTCTGTGTGTGTGTGCATGTGTGTGGGTGTATGTTATGTCTGTGAAGGGTGTGTGTGTGCATGTGTGTGATGCGTGGATGTGTGTATGTCTCTGTATCTCTGTATGTGTCTCTGTATGTGTGTGTGCATGTGTGTTTGTGAGTGTATGTCATGTCTGTGGAGGGTGTGTGTGTGTGTGTATGTGTGATGTGTGGATGTGTGTGTCTCTGTGTGTGTGTGTGCATGTGTGTGTGTCGTGTCTGTGGAGGGTGTGTGTGTACGTGTGATGTGTGGATGTGTATGTGTCTCTGTGTGTGTGTGCCTGTGTGTGTGTCATGTCTGTGGAGGGTGTGTGTGTGTGTATGTGTCTCTGTGTGTGTGTGTGCATGTGTGTGTGTCGTGTCTGTGGAGGGTGTGTGTGTGAGCATGTGCATGTGTGATGTGTGTATGTGTGTGTGTCTCTGTGTGTCAGTGTGTGAATGCACACAGCTGTGATCAGGTTGGAACTAATTGCTTGGAGCCATAAGCTTACCTTGAATTCAGAGTTGGTTATTTTGACCCAAACTTGAACTCCACATTTTCCAGTTCACTAGCCTTGTTTTTTTTTTAAGTAGTTTCCTGACTTTGATCAAAAACAAGCCAACAAACAACTGGAAAGAACGAGGAAAGGCTCCGGGCAGCCTTGGCAGGTGCAAATGAGAAACGAATGCCGCACGAGGCTCTCCAGTTACACATGGGCTTTCAAATAGAAGCTGGAGGAAGTATTGGGAAAGGTGGGTGCGCCGGGGCTTCTCACCTTGGAGGCCGCCCTTCCTGGGGTCAGTGGGGGGCATCCCTGTGCTGTAGTTCCTGGGTCTGGGGGCCGGTGGGGGCAAGGCCCAGGAGCCAGGCCTCCCCACGAGCCACGCTGCTGACAGATCCACCCACTCCAGCAGCCCAGCAACCGCGTACCGTGGTGACACTGCATCACTGCCCCTCCTGTACAGAGCGGGCTGGGGCTCGGGAGACTTGGGAGCCTGTCACGGTGAGCTTGGAAATGGCAAAGCCAGGAATTCACTAGGATAGCTGATCCCATGCCTGGGCCTGCTACCGTATCGCATGAGGGCGTCTCCCCACCGGGCGCACAGCCTGTTCCCTCTGACTGAAATACTCCTCCCTGCCCTTGCCACTCATCTTTGCTAAGAGTTCTAGAAAGCAGAGCCTGAGGCATGGATTAAGCGCTAAGGGTTTATTTGGGGAGGGAAGGGTGCAATTTCAGGGCAGCAAGAGGGAGGAAAAGGGAGGGGAGTCAGGGAAAGGCAGAAACGACGCAGGTGACTAACGGGCGAGCCGTGGTCCCCGGGAGCAGCCAGACGTCCTCATGGGATGAGGACGTGCCATGCCTGGCACAATCCCCTCAGAAGGAGGACGGGGAGGACGCCCTCCAGCTCCCGTTGCCCATGGGGCTGTCTTCCTGGGGAGTTGATGCCAGGCTACCTCTTGTAGATGCTGGGAAAGGCACTCCTGTGCCTGGTGGCTGGGCCCTTGGACAGAGTCTGGTAGTAGAGGAAGGATCTGGAGATTCTGGGACGGGAGATGGTCAGCCCCAGGCCAAGAGGCCACAGTTTCCTGCTCAGCAGTGTTAGAAGCAGGGATGGAGCAGAGTGGCCGGGGGTTCACGAGACAGGGGTGTCCCCCGCAGGCTAATTTTGGCTCAGCCTCTCTGGCCTGGCTATCCTGGAGCTAACCTTGCACTAACCCAGAACCCCACAGGGTGACCTTATTTGGAAATAGGGTCTTTGCAGAATTGAGGTTGTACTGGACGAGGACCAGCCCTTGCCCCGATGACAGGTGTCCCTAGAAGAAGAAGAGGTGGCACCGACACAGACAGGGAGGCCCCGGGACCACAGAGGCAGAGACGGAACCGTGCAGCTGGGAACCCAGGACAGGCAGGAAAGATCCTCCCTGGGGGCTTCCAAACTTGTAGCCCCCAGAGCCGTGCGGGAGAGAATTGCTGCTGTTCGAGCCCCCTCTCCCTCCCCTAGCTTGAGGGTCTCTGTCATGTGTGGCTTTCTTTGGTCTGAGATTGCCCCAAACAGGGCTTCGTTCCCAGGAGCGGCCATTGTCCCTGTGGGCCCTTCTTCAGGCTGTCAGATGTGTCTACCTTTCCTTCTGTTCCTGACCGGGGCCTGGTGGCTGGCCCTGGAGATGAGGGGGTTCCAGGTCCCCCCGGGCTCTGGTTCCTGGGTAGGTCTGTTTAGGGGAGCAGTCGGTGGGGGCCCTCCAGGGACATCTAGGGCTGAACCTGGCCCACTGTTCTCTGTCTTCCTACCCTGGGCCAGGCCCTGTGAGTTGCAATCATGGACTGGGGGAGACAGAAGCCAGGCAGGGAACATTCCAGGAGTGTGTCTCCAAACAGATATGTATCCTGCTGGGGGACCTTGGCCCTGGGGCTTGAGCTCTGACACTGAAGGTAGTTGCAGCAGCTGCCGCCGTTACCGACATCTCCTGGGGAGGGTTTGTGAGCCAGAAGCAAGGCTTGTTCTGCAAACACCTGTCAAGCGCCTCCTGTGTCCTGGGGACCCTGGCGGGATGAGTAGGGACACCATGAGGCCACTGCTCTGAATGAGGGGTGCCCAAGGCCAGTAACATGTAGGGGCACCTGGTCCAGTCATGGGGTCAGAAAAGGCCTTCCCAAGGGGATGCTGGAACTTGGTCTTGAAGTTGAAGTGGAAATTTGCTGTATGAAGCAGGAGGAAGGGTGTTACAGGCGAGAGAACAGCACGAACAATGCCTTAGAGGACTTCCTGGCCCTCCTGGGACCCCACCATGTCATTGTGATGGGTGATGTTAGGGGTCAACTTGACTGGGTCACTGGACCTGGGCCCAGACAGCACCTCTGCCCCATCTGGCTAGACTGCCCGGGCCTCCCTCCACCAGCCCTGGACCAGGCAGGGCTCTGATGACTTCCTCCTCCGCTCTTGCTGAGCAGGTCTGGCCCTGCACCAACTAGAGTGGGGTCCCAGCATCCACCTCCAGCGGTGGGTGGAGGCCTGAGTGCAGGGCGGTGGGGGCTCTGGGGAGGCCCTGCCCTAAATGCTTTGCTCTTTCCAGACAGAAAGCACATGACCAATTTCTAAATCAGCAGCTTCCTGCTTATAGTTTTTTATTTTATGGAAACATTATGTTAAGTACATAATTTAAAAAGCCAACTCATTCTCACAGGTTTATCCTAAAAAGCAACCATCTCTCACCCTCCCCCTCTCCCGCCATGAGTTCACTCCCCTGGGAGCCACTCCTTTCAACTTTTCATCTGTTTTTGTTTTTGTTTGGTTCCACTAGTTTGGTATTTTTCTCTATATTTCCAAATGGCATGTTTAATCTGCTGTTGATTTTCAGATTTTAGATACCGCCTCTTGACTTCTGACTATGGCAGACGGCCTCATCCCCGCTTCCTCCCCACCTCCCCATCCAGGAAAACCATGTTTGGGATCTAATTACTGTTCAAATACTAATCAATACATCAACGTGTTGATTAAATCTTTTAAATTTGGTTGAAGCAACAAAGCAATTCGTTAGTTAAACCATTGCCGTGACCCATCACATTTTCCACCCTCTCCCCATGGCCGACCGCAGTCCCTACCCCGTGTGTTCCCTTCCGTGCGTCTCCTCATATTGTGCCCTGCACTTCTCCTCGCTCGGTTCTCCGTGTTCCCCTTACTAATTCTAGCCCTGAACTTTTCAACAAAGCAGCGACCTTATTCTCTTTCACGTCAGGTACAGCAGGTGGCTAGTCCCACAGCAGGTGGCTTGTTCTGCCCGCTTCTCTCTCTGGGAACCCCTGTCTTGGACATCTCTTCTTTCTCCTGCTCTAAGCTGCTCCACTGTCACCCTGAGAGAACATCCTGTCTCTTCCCTATGAGGAACCCCGTTTCCTAGGTCTTGTGTCTTCCTTTATATTGTTTTGTTCCTCTGTGTGGTGGTGCATATCACAGGAGAAACATGGAGGAGGTCCTGACCCAGGGGCATGGGCAGTAAACTCTGAGTAAATGGAGAATCTTTGTCCATAGCTGGTGCCTTGTGGATAGCAGGGCTGGGTATAGAATTCCAGGAGGGGGTGGGCCTGAACCTTCTCAGCTCCACTCTCTCCCAGCCACAGAGGGTGGCTACTGAGAAGCTGGAATCCATTCTCACTCCTCATCCTGTTTGTGACCTGTTTCCACTTTTCCCCTGAAAACTGTATTCTTGGTGCTGTAAAATTGCACACGAATGCACCTTTGTGGCTCTGTATTTGTGCCTCGTACTGGACTCTGGAGGTCCTGGGGCTCTTATTCGTGGTCTTTGTTCTGGGACAGGTGTGAGTTATTGCTGTGAACACTCCTCCTTCCACAGTCACCATCCTCTCCTTCAGAAATGCTTTTGCTCACTGCTGGCTCTTCTGGGTTCTTCCTCCAATTCCCACACCTCCCCCATCCTTCACCACATTTGTCTCTTTGTTCTCTTGCTCTCCTGTGGTGTGTCCTCACTTTCCCTGCTCTGCTGTCTGTGGTCATTTATTAATATGCAGGCATCGGGGCTGAATGTTCATTTTCTATGGGACTCTGTTGTGTCTTATTTTCTGAATGTATGGTCTTCTCTCAGGTCTCTGAGGCTCTCTCTTTTTCTTGGGCGAGGGAGTCTCTCTGCTCCCAGTTCCTCTCTCATTTGGATGTGTCTTTCATGTCAGTGGTCTTCTCTAATGTTGGTGATCTGTGACTGTATTGTATGTAAGAGTCAGGCTCCGTGACACATTTGCCTAATAATCTGGCTCTGAGCTGCCCCCAACCCCGAACCCACCCAGCGGGGCCTGGCACCAAGCAGGCTGTGTGTGGACCGACTTGGACCTCCTCCCACGGTCAGGGCTCCATGCAGGGGGCGAATGCTCTTTGCAGTGGTGTTTATGATGTTGAAAAGCTGGACCAGCCTAAATGTGCTTCAACAGGGGACCCATCTCATGGGTTTGGGTCCATCCTGAACAGGAATTCCATCCAACTGAAAGTGATGGGCCAGGTCTAAGTCCATTGCCAGAAAAAGCCATTCAGAACCTATTACTGAGCAGCAAAAGCGAGTCACAGAGCATGGAGCAGGTCCAGCTGCACCGAGGGATGAATGTGCGTGTTCAGACACTGGTGTTCGGAAGGGTCTTCATCAAAACTTGACCTGTGACTGTGATTTCAGGGTGGGAGCCTTGGGATGATTTCTATTCTTTTCTTTATAGCTTTCTATACTATCTATTTTTTTTTAACTGCAAACAGATATTGGCTTTATAAAGCCATTTTCATCTTGGATTTAAAAAAAATCATTCTCTTAAAAGTCTCCTCACTGCTTAAAAACCCATGCTGGTTGCCCCCTACCTGCCACCACCAGCTCACAAAAACACACCCTGGCAGGGTGACAAGACCCCTCGGGCCTTCCTGAGCTCCCAGGCCGCCTGCCCTCATGCTGTGTGCAACTGTCCCTGAAGTCACCACGAGGCTGTGCCCTGCGCCCCTGCAGTGCTGTCGACTCCCTCCCTCACTCTGCCATGTCGCGGCACTGGTGGCTGGTGGCCTATCCTGCCCCGGGCCCTCCCCAGCTTCATCCCGGGGGCACTAAGTGATCCAGGGTCTCCCAAAGTCACGCTTTCCAGTGCTGTGAGCATTGCCACGGTTTCCATTTTTCTGGTCTTTTCGATGGGGTTGGAACAGGCCAATACATTTAGACAGGAGACAGGTGACGTGTTCCAAGTGTCTGTCCCCAGGGCTACATGTGGTTGCAGATCCACAGGAGACACATGCCAGGCCTCCCAGGGCCACACGTGGCCGCAGATCCTCAGGAGATACATGCCGGGCCTCCCAGGAGGAGTGAACAGAGGGAAGGGGACCTGTGAAGGCGGGAACGGGAAAATCAAAGTGTGAGGTCCAATTTGTGCTTATTTTCTGTGTAACAGGTGGAATAAGCAGGTACTGGAATCACCATAGTCCATTTAAGTAAACATAGAAATCAGTTTACAGCCGCCTTAAAAATGGTTTATTTATCTGATAAATTGGTGCCTTCCTTAACAAGTCAGTACACGGTTGCCTTGGAAAGCCGAGACTAATTGTTCAGCCCTCTGGGATTGTAATGTGTATTTGAGTAAACATCTCTGCACCATGTTGAAAGCAATGTTTAAATAGGTGGAGGAAATCCACTGAGTGCTCTTTCTTTGTTGTTTTGAGATGCTCTGGCTAATTGGGAGTTAATTTGTTGTGGAATGATTCAGGCCTTTTCTGCCTGAGCCCCGGGAGTAAAAGGTCTCACTTCCAAGACATAAAATTTCCACTCACAGTGTTGAGAGCTGCAGGACGGCTGAATAACAAATGCTATTCAGAACTGGATTTGATTTTGAGGTACCAAGTTTTGTTCTTCAGTGCTATCTGTATCTCCTTCCTCTGTGTTGAAAACCCAGGAGAAGGAAACGTTGACCCTGTTTGCAGCCATGAACCCCCCTCCTACCTGGCTCCGAGGAAAAGTGTGCTCTGTGGTCATGCAGTCTCGGGGTGGGCCCTGTGCCCTGGTCTTGGGGGGTTCCTCTGCCTGTGCCCCATGGCCCAGCCCAAGCTCTGGTGGGAGTGGGGGCCCGGGGAAGAGAAAGTAAGCTCACATTCAGTGATCGCCCCAGGAGACTCTGGTCCTGAGGGCCACCCAGCACTCTTGTGACAGCTTAGGGTCTGAGGAGCTAAGAGGAGGTACCTGGTCTGAGGGAAGGACAGCTGTGGAGGGGGAGGCCCGTGTCTGCTGTCTGTCATTCCCGTGGGGCTGGGACAGCTGTGGAGGCGGAGGCCCGTGCCTGCCGTCTGTCATTCCCGTGGGGCTGGGACCTGGGGGCTGGGGGTGGGAGGGAACTGGGAGAGGTCTCCTTTCAGGTTTGTCAAAGTGGAGGGGCCCTGAAGCCTCTGGGTCCAACCTCCTGAAGGAATGCCAGTGCCCCAGGGCCAGAGCAGGGTGGTGTGTGGTGTCGGGGAGAGATGGGCTGACCACCATCTGCCAGAGTTGCAGGAGTGCAGGGACGGGGCTGTGGTCTCTACTCGCCTGGGTCCCAGGCAGGGGTCCAAGATGGTGGAGCCCATTCTCCAAATGAGGAAGCCAAAATGGAGTGTTTCTTCCAGAGGGGGGAACCAGGCCATTTTTCTTCATCTCCAAGGCTGACAGCTTGGAATGTCCTCTGGGCACAGAGCTCTGGCGGTGGAGGAGACCAGCTTCCTGGGACAAATGCCTGCTCTCCACGCCCGGGAGGAGAGGGGGCAGGGTGGTGCGTCAGACCCAGGCCCTGTGGCTGGCAGGGGTAATGCTTCTCGATGTGGCCCAAGGAGTACAGATTCCAGGGTCCCACCTCTGAGTCAAATGCAGTTGATTCTCTGGAGGCATGGCCTGGGAATCTGCATCCTAGCAACTGCAGGAGTCCAGGTGCATACCTGTCCGAGGGCCCCTGTGGCTTCAGTGCTCACTGCCATGCACAGGTACATGAACCAATACCAAGCTGCCACATGCAGAAAGTGCCCAGGGCCATCAGATGCAGGTGGAGTGCTGCCTACCAGAGTGGCAGACATGGTCCTGAGGATGGGCAGTGGCCACGGCGGGGGGCGGGGGGAATCATGGGCAGAGATGACTCTCCTAGGCAGAGGAAAGGCCAGGAGCTCAGGTCCAGAGGTGGGTGCTGGGTAGAGAGTCAGGTGGGGGCTGGGTGGAGGGTCAGGAGGGGGCGGGGTGGAGGGTCAGGTGGGGCCGGGTGGAGGGTCAGGTGGTGGCTGGGTGGAGGGTCAGGTGGTGGCTGGGTGGAGGGTCAGGTGGGGGCTGGGTGGAGGGTGGGGGGGTATGGACCGTTAAGTGGGGGCAGGTGAAGCCTGGGGTTAGTCCATTGGTGCAACTGGCTTCTCTTGCAGGAACTGGGGGAGAAGAGGGTTCCTGAAAGGAAGGTGCAGGTGAGAGATGGGCTCTGGGGTGTGGCCACAGCAGAGCCCATGGTGAGGGGCCCGTGGGAGGGTCTCCCTGGTCTTGCTGCAACTCCAGTCTGGCTTAGCTGACTCTGCAGATGACCCTGCCCCTTGGGCCCACAGATAAACTCGTCCCTGGGCCTCTGGATTCCAGCCGCAAAGGGCGTCCTTCTGGGTCTGGCTGGGTGGGGAGGAGTGTGCAGGGTGGGCAGAGCCAGGGGTGGGCTCAGAGTCCTGGTTCCAGGCTCAGCACCCCTTCCTGGGTCACCATTCCCTTTGTCCAGGCTGCTCATCCCCCAAAGCCCAGGCCTACTGGCTGAAAGTTCCAGAATTAGAGTCACCTTGCATGGGTCAGTTCTATCCACAGGAAAGCTGCGTAACAAACCATCCAGCACAATGGCTTGCAGCAGAAAGTGTTTCTTTCTTGCTCTTGAGTCTGTGAGCTGGCAGGGGCTAGGCAGGGCTCCAGGCGGAGGGTTCTCCTCTGCTCTGTGCTTCGTCCCTGCTGCTGGGAGCAGGGGACCAGCCAGTCATGCCCTTTTCATGGTGGAGGCTGGGCACTTGTAGAGGGACTGGCAGAGGCAGGAGATGCTTGTGGTGTGGGCCCAGAATACTCACGCTGGCAACCCTCCGGCCCTACTGCCAAGACAGCTTCCCAGTGGTGCTGTGGGGGCCGGGGGTGACCTTTGCTGAGTGGTCATCTTACATTCCGCCTCCTTGCTTTATGAAGCACCCCTGGTTCCCCGGACCGTGCAGGCACCCACTTCGAGTCCTGTGCCCATCCCCTGTAATCCTACCCTGCTGTCTGCCAGCTCAGGACTGGAGGCTCCCCAAGGTCGGGGCTGCCTGGAATCACTGCTGCCCTGTGGTGTTGGCACACAACAGTGTTTCATGAGGAATCAAGGAAGGGAGGGAGGGCGAGGGCGAGACAGAGAGGAAGACAGGGAGGGAGGAAGAACGGAAGATGCAGATGCCAGACTCACACTCAGAGAGAGAGGAGGGAGGAATGACTCCCAAAAGCGCTTCTGGGCCCAGGGGTGGGCGGGCCCCTAGGACCTGCACCTCTCAGCTGTTCTGCCCCTCCCTGCAGAGGACAGCCTAGGTGGTCAAGAGGGGCAGGAGCTGGCCCTGCCAGCCAGGCCTTGCTTTGGGAGGCAGCCACTTCTCCAAAATGCCTTGTGCAGAATTGCTCTTTCTTCTGCTGGGAATCTGAAAGCACTGACGCTCCCCCTTCCTGGCCTTCCCGGCTCATCCTCAGGCTCCCTGCCCTGGCCTGGAGGTGTGCAGGCTGGCAGGAGGAGGGGCGTCATCACAAAAGGCTGCACTGCACCCTGCACCCCCACGAATCCTGAATCTGAATCCGGGAGCAGCTGTTGAACAGAGAGGATCAGCCCCCAAAGCAATCCCACCCCAGGCGTGGCACGAAATGACTTGCTTTGGTCTTGAAATACATGAGCCTGGATCCTAGCACCTCTGAAGGCCCTTAAAAGATGTAATTGCTTGACTGCAATTATTTTAGGAGGTTTAACTAACCGCATGGGTACTTTTTAAGAATATTCTTGAGCTTAAAATTCCACCCACGGCCCCCGAGGGTGGGGCTCTGAGCGTCGCCCAGGGGCCTTCGTCCCTCCCACAGTTGGTGCAGCTGTGCCCCAAGAAGGGGGTCTCAGGAGGGGGCTCTGGCGAGGCAGCCAGCCCTGCCCAGGAGGTGCTGCCCCCACTGCCAAGGAGACAGAGTGAGGAGAGCCAGGGACCCCCTCCTGCAGCTCCAGCCGAGGAGAGCTGGGGGGATGAGGAAGAGGGAGGGCCGGGAGGGAGAAAAAGTGATTTTCTTAGTGACAGGCACTTTTCTGAGCCCTGACTTCCTGGGTGATTAAATGCGGAACGACGCTTCCTCATCAGGTTCTTGTGAGGATTAACGCAGAGAATGCAGGTAAAATGAGGTAAAACGCCCAGCGCAGGAGCTCGCACCCAATTAATCCTCTGGAGATGGCCGCGGCTGTTGTTACCGGGCAGTTCATCTCCGGCTCTGGGATGAGGCTGGGACGCCAGCTTCCAACTTCCAGAGGAAATTTTAGCATCCGTCCAGGTGCTATCAAAGCACCAAAGCCAAGACAAAAACCAAATACCCACCTGCCCAAACCACCGAGAGTGGCCCGCCCCACACTGTGCCCTGCCCCACGCTGTGCCCCGCCCCACACTGGCGTGGGCAGACACTTTGAGGAGCTGAGTTAACAATGGGTTTCTAAAGGATTAGCCGAAAACAATTACATGTGATTTATGAGGATGGTAGGAAGGGATGAGCAATGAGCACAATTAGTAGAGGAGTAATAGTGATTTTAAAAGTTGTTTTAAGTGTGGCGCAATCACAGCGTGCGTGCGAGGGCTGGCACCTGCCGGCCTTCCTGGGAGACTGCCTGGCCCTCTTCCTGTGGAGGGTGGTACTCAGGGTCCGCGGGGAAGGGACACTTTCCAAGCATCAAGGAGGCGCCAACCCGTGCTACGGTCGGCTTCTAGTGGAGGGAACTGAGGCGGGGAGAGCTTGAGGTATTTGCCTGGGGACGTACGGGAGCAGGAGGTGGGACCCGGACGTCCTGGCTCAGCGCAGCCTTTTCCAGTACCCGGGACCACGGGCCAGCCTGTGTCCCCCGGCGCCAGGCAGAGCGGTCCCAGGCACGCGCCCCAGGGGGCTTATTGAACTGCATATCCCACAAAAACCCTCACTGACATAAACGTGCCCTGGCTGGTGGCCCCTGCCTGGGAACTGGAAGTCAGGGCTGATGTGCCTGGCCGGCCGTGGTTGCGGTGGTCAGGGCCAAGCGCCGGGGCTGGGGGGCCACTTCCACCCTTTCCCACACGCTGCTGCCTCAGGGGGCACATTCCGGGGCTGGCTCTCTGTGGGTAGAACCAAGCTGCTTCTGAGGGGCTGAACTCAGCACCCAAGTCCTCCCCTCGCCTTCTCTTTCCACCAAACCAAAGGCTCGCCCAGCCTCGGCTGCAGCAAGGAAGAGGTGGCCGATGTGTGCAACGGGGGCCAGGACATGGGGGAATAATGTGCCCTTGTGCCTGCTCTCCAGGGCGCTTCATGTTCCATCCCATGAAATAAGCGTCATTCTCAGCCCTGTTTTATAGAGGGGGAAACTGAGGCATGGGAGGTTCAGCAACTTCCCACGATGGGCACCTAACCCATGTTAGGCGGCAGAGCTTCATGGCTCAGGCCGCCAGGGTCAGGGGCCACAGTCCTAACCATGAAGCCATCCTGCCTTGATGAATGTGGCGTCAATGGGCACCCCGGAGCCAGCCCCCGGCCCTCCCCTGGCTGTTCTGTCGTGGGGAGAGTTGGGTCTCAGGCTATCTCTGAGCATCTCGGCTGGCCCCCACCTGCCCTTCCCTGAGCTGGCTCCTTATGGCCCTGAGAAGTAAAAAATATCCCTTTCCTTAGCAACTTGACCCCAGGACATAATGAAGGGGGCGGGGGAAGGGAGAAAGAGAGGGAGGGAAAGGGGAGAGGAAGGGAGAGGAGAGAGAGAGGGAGGGAGGGAGGGAGAGAGACAGGGTGGGAGATGAGAGAGGGAGGGAGGGAGGGAGAGAGACAGGGTGGGAGATGAGAGAGGGAGGGAGGGAGAGGACAGAAAGAGGAAGGGAGGGAGAGAGAGAGGGAGGGAGAGGAGAGAGAGAAAGGGAGGGAGGGAGAGAGGACAGAGGGAGAGGAGAGAGAGAGGGAGGTAGAGAGGGAGAGGAGAGAGAGAGAAAGCGAGGGAGGGAGAGAGAGAGGGAGGGATGGAGGGAGAGAGAGAGGAAGGGATGGAGGGAGAGAGAGAGGAAGGGATGGAGGGAGAGAGAGAGGAAGGGAGGGAAGGAGAGAGAGAGAGGGAGAGGAGAGAGGAAGGGAGGGAGGGAGAGGGAGAGGAGAGAGAGAGGAAGGGAGGGAGAGAGAGAGGGAGAGGAGAGAGAGGAAGGGAGAGAGAGAGGAAGGGAGGGAGGGAGAGAGAGAGAGGGAGAGACAGAGGGAGGGATGGAGAGAGAGAGAAGGAGGGAGAGAGAGAGGGAGGGAGGGCTGAATTCTTCCAGGCTCAAGGCTTTGAATTAGGTATCTTGGGCTCAGATACTTGCGAGTACAGTTCAGGGACGTCAACTCCTGCCTCAGGGCAGTTGTGTTGACCTCTGCAAACTCCTCAAAACATGCCCCACCCACCGCCCCACTGCCCTGAGCCCTAACCCAGCTGCTTTGCTTCTCATCGCTTTTCCCAGGGAATTAAAAACCCCACAGCCTTCCCCACGGCCATGTGACTCCAGCGGTTCTTCCTCCCCATCCACCGTGAGCCCCTCAGTGTGGGGACCCTGCGGCAGGGCCCCATTGAGTGGAGTCAGTGGGACGCAGCTGGCGTGGAGGGGTGGGGGCGCTGAGCGGCTCTGGGGGCCACCTCCAGGTAGCAGGTTGCCAAGTGCATCAGGCAGGACTGTCCCCCTCTGAGCCTCTGCCCCCCATGTCTCCCCACAACTGAGGGGAGGGTCTCAGGCGGAGACAGACTGTGCTCAGATCTCCCCGGAGCCTCAGCCCACAGTCAGCGCCCGGGATGCTGGTGGGTGTCCCCACGCACACCACCTCTGCTTGCCCCCATACTCACAGGGAGGGGCCCTGGGGAGCGGCAGGGTCGGCGCTGGCCCTCGGCCGGCCATGTGCTCCTCCCACCCTGCACTGGGAGCTGCTGGCTGGGTGGTCTCAGGCTGGCACAGCAGCAGAAAGCCGTCCTCATCACCCCCCAGGATGGTTGTGGCCCACCCTGGAGCGCCCCAGCTTTGTATGAGTCTGGGAGTCGGTTTCTGGGACACACCACTTAGACACTCATGTCTCACCACCCGACTTCAAGGCCACACGACCATGTGGACAGCGCGGGGACCTTCAGTTCCTGTGTTCTATAAGCAGCACTGACGGAAGGCGCCATGACCCTGCGGTTCAGGCCCCAGGCCCCTGAGACCCCTGATCTCTGCTGCGCCCCTATAATTACTCAGCAGGGGTGGGGTGATCCGCAGCAAATGATTTTTTTTGTTTTTTTGAGCCGGAGTCTCGCTCTGTGGCCCAGGCTGGAGGGCAGTGGCGCGACCTCGGCTCACTGCAAGCTCCGCCTCCCGGGTTCACACCATTCTCCTGCCTCAGCCTCCCGAGTAGCTGGGACTACAGGCGCCCGCTACCACGCCCGGCTAATTTTTTGTATTTTTAGTAGAGACGGGGTTTCACCGTGTTAGCCGGGATGGTCTAGATCTCCTGACCTCGTGATCCGCCCGCCTCGGCCTCCCAAAGTGCTGGGATTACAGGCGTGAGCCACCGCGCCCGGCCAGCAAATGATTTTTATTTGCTTTGCCTTTTCTTACATTCTCCCAAATGTCCATGGTGGAAATGGTCAAATTCTGTCATCAGAAAAGCAAGAAGCAACACGAAGAGGTCTCCCTGCAGATGGCCCCCGCACAGCCCAGCGGGGAGCCCCACGTCCCCCAGCCTCTCCCTGCACAGGGACTGGGGCTCCCCAGGTCTCAGGGCCCAGTCCCTCCCCACCGTGGGGGCCACCGCTCCTGCCTCAGCACTGGCTACCAGCTGTGGCCGTCTGCAGGCCTGGAGGAGGGCCCTGAATCCTGCCATCCCCACAAGAAGGCCAGTGGGGGTGGGGCTCCCACAGGTTTACCCCCAAGTCTGGCTGTCCAAGTATCCCTTCCTCTGCAATGCCCCCATGCTGAGCGGTGCCCCCTGCGGGGAGCCTTGGAGCCCAGCCAGCCTCCCGGGACACAGCAGGACAGAGTCCAGGCCCCTCCCCCTGCCAGTCACCCCCGGATCCCACTGCTGGACTCCCCCCGTGTGTGGTGGCCAAGCGTCTCTCACCCTCTGTCTCCACTGTCCTCCTTGGACTCCCAGAGATGGGGCCACCCCCTCACTCCCCAAAGGGGAGCCCCGCAGCTCACGGCGGGCAGCGGCTTTCCCAGGGCCTTCCAATGAGTGGTGGCATCAGAATCCACACTGGTCAGACACGAAGGCTAGGGTCCTGACCACCTCGAAGAAGCTCCCCTCACCTGGCCCCACCTCTGGCCCAGCTTCGGAAACCCAGCCCAGGGCACCTGGTCGGGCCTGGGCCGTCATTCCTGTCCCCAGGGAGAGGGTGTGAGGATCAGGAAAACACCGGAAGAGTTTCCTGATGCCTGAAAAAAAATCGTCCGGGCAGCAGCTTTCCCCTGGGAACCTCTCAGGGCACGGGGCCTGCTCCCCTCCCGTGGGTGTCACTGCGGCTTGCCCTGCAAGGGGCCGTCTGTGCACACGGGCACCCCCAGGGCTGAGCTTCCCCAGGACAGGGACAGGACCCGCTGCTGGGCTCTGCCTGACTCGCCATCTTGGCCATTGCATCCTGTCTGTCTCCTGGGGGGTTCTTGGGTTTGAGCTGGTGCAGGGAGCATGAGAGGGGGTCTGCGTGGAAGATGAGTGGGGCAGCACGCCCCCGGACCCCGCCCTCCAGAATAGAAGGGCGAGCAGATGTGGCCCCAGGATCCAACACCACCCGGGGCGGTCCCTGGGCCAGCATGGGAAACAACACCCAACTGGGTTCAGAATCCCCGATGGTGACCCAGAGGGCTGTGGGGGCTGAGCTGGGGAACTCTGGCATCACTTCATCCTCACTTTGTGTCTCTGAGGCAGGCAAGCAATTGCTGTCACTGTCATGGTCACTGCCACACCCATGATCGGGTGAACAAGCTCACTTCCTGCACACTCTCAGTCATTCATCCATCCGCTCACTCACAGGTGCGCACAGGCAATTACTAGCATTTTCTCACCACCCTTCTGTCAAGGATTGATGAATAACTCATGGGCCCTGCTCTCTCCTGAGACCATAGAACCATCCATGGCTCCCCAGTTCTTTGACATCTGCCCTGTTCTCCCACTTCAGTTCTGAGAAAGCTTGTTGGTTGATTCTGTCTCCTGCATTTCAATAGCTATTTAACCTAACCAGAGCTTTGGCCTTGGTGAAATTGATTTCAAAGGAGAAGGAGATAATATTCCATTAAAGTCACTGAAAAATTGATCATCCAGTCTCTGTGCGATCTCAGGGGTAGAGATGCTAACGACTGTTTAGACTGAATTTCCGTCCTTGCACGGCTCCAGGTTTCACATCAATCCCAGGCGAACAGCCACTGCAGGGCTGGATGCCGGGAGACCTGGCAGCAGATGACTATTTGGAGCTCTGGGATTCCTGTGTGCTTAGTCTCTCATTTCCAGAGTGTTCAGCTGACGTGCTTCTTGCCCCGTTCCTCCTTGTATAGCAAAAAGCTCAATTACTGATGCCCCAAATTCAGCCCCCACTGGGCCTGGCCCCCAGGAAGCTCAGAGGATGGTGGGGGGCCCCACAGGGCCTCAGATTGGGTGGCCTCATTTCCACCTTGTTTCAAACTGCCATCACCTGTTTGAAAGTTGAAGTTCTTACCCTGACCTCAAGGGGAGATGCGGTGGCCCCACCCCAAGGTGTGGTCCTGGAGGACGAGCACACACCCAGACCCTCCCCCTATCCAGAGACAAATGGGGAGGAGCAGAGTGGCCCTAGCTCTGGTGAGTTTCCAGTCTGGCCCCCGACTCTGACCCTGACTCCAGGGTGGTGTTGGTTCCTGGGGCCACATCTGCTCGCCCTTCTATTCATGAGGGTGGGGACCAAGGGCGTGCTGCCCTACTCATCTTCCGGCCAGACCCCCTCTCATGCTCCCCTGCACCACCTCAAACCTAGGAAACCCCCAGTGTGTCCTGCAGGGAGGTCCTCCCCTTGGCTCCCAGGAATTCGGGGCACAGCTGGTCGGGTTTACATTCCACGGATGCTGAGTGCCATGGACATGCAGGGCATTTAGGGTGCCGGTGGGGGCTGGGGGTGCCCAGGGCGGGTGCTGGTGGGGGCTGGGGGCACAGGGCAGGGACCAGTGGGGGCTGGGGGCACAGGGTGGGGGCTGGGGGCGTGGGGGGTGCTGGTGGGGGCTGGGGACGCAGGACAGAGGCCCGTGGGGGCTGGGGGTGCAGGGTGGGTGCCGGTGGGGGCTGGGGGTGCAGGGTGGGTGCCGGTGGGGATTGGGGGCACAGGGCGGGTGCCAGTGGGGGCTGGGGGTGCAGGGCAGGGGCCAGTGGGGGCTGGGGGTGCAGGGCAGGGGCCAGTGGGGGCTGGGGCCCCAGGGCGGGGGTGCCGGTGGGGGCAGGGGGCGCAGGGCAGGTGCTGGTGGGGGCAGGGGGCACGAGAGGTTTGGGAACTCTGTACCTTCTGCTCATTTTTCCTATGAACTTAAAACTGCTCTAAAGACATTTGAAAATAAATAACTGTATACATGTGCATAGATACATAGCAGTGCCGTCCCGCCCTCAGTCCATGGCCCTGTAGCACCCTGAGTTGTCACCAATGTTCCCTGTGACATTGTTCTTTTCCCATGACAGCTAACAGTCTGGCAGGGTGCCATAGGCTTTGTGCACAGACCACCTGCCACAGAACCTCCCGGGCCTGCCCTGAGGTGGGAGGTGGCAGGATGAGCTGGCAGAGAGGAGCTGGGGGGCCTGCAATTCCCTGGGGGCCAGGCCCTGGCCCTGGAGTAGGGGGTCCGTCAGCCCCTTCACTCTTAAGGAAGCTGCTGGTTCAGGGCCATCATGGCCATGTCCGCCGGGATCTCCAGGCCAGCTCTTCTGCCCAGGGCTGGGAGCTCACAAGGGCCCATCTCATCACCCCTAGGCCCCTTCTGGGTTTAACCCATTTATGCTTGAGGTTGCAATTTTTAAAATGTTTACATGAGTAAAAAATCAGACCTTGGTGATGACATTGAGCAGTTGGATATAAATAACTCCCACAGGCTTAGCGTTCCAATAATGAAACACTAGGCATAAATGTTATCAAGCGGCAAGTTCTCATGGCCAGTGCTGTCTCCTTCCACTTTGACTGGAGAGCCAGTGGCCGTGGAGAGTCCAGACACAGGCAGAATGGCTCTCATGGCCCCCATGGCTCCTGGCCACGTCATTCGAAGTGTAGATGCTGGGCCTAGGCTGGCCCTGTGACCTCTGCCTGGCCTGACAGAGACAGAGGTGGGCTCCACGGGAATCCAGGAGCCTCCGGTGAAGTCCAGAGGCAAGCTGGAGGTGGGGAAGGATGCTTGCTAAGCCCGGTGCCTGCCTCCCGGCTCTTGGCCCTGCTGTTGAGCGGGTTTTTCTAGTCTTCTGAGATAAACACACTCAGGAGTTTGTAGGGTTTGAGCCTCCAGTATCCTCACATTCTGAGACTAACAGCTCATGCTTCCAGGGTGCCCTGGCCTCAGGTGCTCAGATTCTGCGATTCCGGAGTGCAGGCTGGGGTGGAGGAAGTCCATTCTCTTGCATTCTGAGATTCGGCCTCCAGCGTCTGCTTTGCTGGGATGCCCTGCTGGGCTGCAGGCTCCCCAGGGGAAGGGACCAAGCCTCGCTCCTCTGGATCCCCTTCCCAGGGCCCACATGATTTTCTGAGAGCAGTGCTTATGATCGATTTCTTGTTTTATCAAATAAGGGAAAGCCATGAGCTTCTTCAAGCTGCATTTAGCAGTAATGAGGACATGCCCTTATTTCTCGTTGAGCTGTGGCTGCCAGTTACAGACGGGGGCTTAGATAAACACTCGCCAGCAACCTGGGGCTGGGGCCAGGCCCCAACAGGAGCCCTGTTTGCACTGGTGCTCGGGGGAGCCTGGCGAGGAGGTGCATCTCCATGCCGGAGAAAAGCAGGTGTCGTTTCCAAGGAAACTTCGCCTGCACTTTTCTAAACATGAGCCGGCGGGGCTGTTTTTTTATCATCCCCACTGCACAAGGAGGAAGCCTCTTCTCCCTGGGCTTACAGAGGATGGAGAGGCAGAAACAGAAAAGAGAGCCGGGCCAGGCCTGTTGCCTGCCACCCAAGGGAATGTTCACCCCAGGAGTGGCCACCCCCAGGCCTGTGGCAACGACTCAGCGTGCTGCCCATGTGTGGGTCCGAGGCCCGGTGGCGGGCAGCGCTGCAGACACCGCACAGGTGATGTGGCCGCACCCTGTCCGGGGGAGCTTGAAAGCTCAGACCCTGCCAGAGACGGTGTCCTCACCAAAGGGCAGCACGGCCCGGGGCTGAACGTGTGGCTCCCCACTCACCCCTGAGGACCCGATCTGTGAAATGGGAGGAACTCCTCATTTCTCCATGCAGCATGGGGAACAGTGAGATAATAAGAAGGGCCTCCTGCACTGATGCTCCCGGATTAAAATGGGAGCCACCTCATCCCCACTAATCAGCAAGGAGCTTTCAGGAGACAGCACAGCATGAGACAGAGTAGGCCCGGGAGGTGGGCTGTCTGTGTCAGCGTGGGCTCTGATGCTTCCTCGCTGTGTGTCCTCAGGCAAGTTTCTGAACCTCGCTGGGCCTCTGCTCCTTCTCAGTAAAATTGGGATGATCATAATCTCTCCCTGAGAGGGCTGGTTTGAAGGCCGAATGAGTTAATGAATGCAAACAACAGCCTCCCCCCAACACACACACACCCCACCAGGGTAAAATGCTCAGTAGACATTAGCCGTGTCCCGTGAGATGTTCGCCATCTGTGGGAGAGACAGAAGCGGTGAAATTCACAAGGAACATACCTGTATGTACAGCGAACAGTGGGCATGCAGTAAATATGTTTAGTATGGAGGGACACCTGCTTACTCCAGAGGACACCCGCCCTCCTGGGAAGGTGCCTCCACAGGGCTTCTGGGCAGAGATGCTGCTTCAGGTCTAGGGCTGGCGGGTGGGCTCCTGCATGGTCTGCAGTGGAGCTTGAGGGAGCAGGGCTGCCGGTGGCTGCTGTCCTGGGGAAGGGGGGCGAGACTGGAGCCAGGCCCCAGCAGCTGACCCCTGAGGCCCTACCCGCCTGCCTGGGGGATGGAACTCCAGGTGTGGACACAGGAGTGCTCAGGATTGGCTAGAAGCTTCAGAAACACTGCCGCCCAGAGCCAGGCAGGGACTTGTCCCAAAGATAGAGGGGGAGGTGAGCTACGGGCCACCTGCAGCCTGCCCCCCACCTGCCTTCTCTCCCCTGAATCGCGCTGGAACCGTGATTGACAAGTGTCTGCATCTCCTGAGCGCCTCTCCAGAGCGGAGCCCGGAGCTCTGTGAGAAGAGCTTTTCCCTCCACTGACTTCTCTGCACACCCTTCCCTTGAAGAATGTAGAGAAGATCGCATTTTGTAAAGTAAAATATTTGCTTTTTCTAAAAGCTTCAAAATCATCTTTTTTTTTTCTTTCTTTCTGGGGGAAATTTGGCAGCTCAAGCAGTTCGTCTGCCTCTGGAGGATCACTCCAAATAACAAAATGCTGTCAGGAGCCTGGAGCCACCGGGCAGTGCTGGCCATGAGTGGCCTCTTGAGGGAAACTGAGACACCGGCCCCATGTTCCTGGTGCTCGGAGGCGCTGCCTGTGGCAGGCAGGTGTGAGCTCAGGTGCCCAGAACTGCCTCACCAAAGCCGAGCGGTTCTGAAAGATGCCTCTCAAGTCTTGTCACTCAATATGCAGGTAAAAGTCAACCCTGACCTCGGCCTTGCAGCCTTGAGATCTGGAAACAAGCCCAATGCCATAGGCGCTGGCCCCTGGGGAAGGTGAGGCAGCATGGGCCCAGAGTCCCAGCGGCCTGGGTTCGAAGCCCAGTGCTGCACCCACATGAGTTACTCTCGGAGCCTGTAAGGCGAGATGGCGTGAAGGACGATGTCGCTAACCTGCCCACGACAGAGTAGGTCCCCACACCAGGGAGGCCACACTCCTCATTCATCTTCACATCCCGAGATCTCCACTGGGCAGGCAACCGGCCCGCCGTGTATGAGGCCCTGCTGGCGGGGATGGGAAGCGGGGACCCAAAGACCTGGGCAGTCACAGGCAAAACGGGGGCTCCTGTGCAAGAGGGAGGACACGGGGGGTTCCCCGTGGGAAAGGGGCAGCCCCAGAAGATGTAGCCTTCTTGGCAGCAGGGACCACACACGGCCTGACTCAAGCCAGTCAAGATTTTGTAACGGGGTCTGGGGACCAGGATGGGCCCAGGCACAGCAGGACCCAACGACATGAGAAGGGGCCCGTATCTCTGTCCAAGTCCAGGCTGGAGGCTGCTGCCAGGCACGTCTTACAGTCGCTGCGTCTGCCCAGCTTAGCAGTCCAGGGGAGAGGAAAGTGCCCAGCCCTGTGGCCCTAGAAATGTGTCCCGGGGAAGCGTCTGATGGGCTCCTCTGGGGCAATCCCCGTGGCTGGGGAGTGGGCTCACCTAGGTCAGGTGCCCACCCAGAGACCTGGGCAGACTGGACCGTGGGATCAGGCATAGTCAGATGACAGCAAAAGCAGAGGTCTGTTGCCAGAAAGGAGGGAAGGGCATAAAGTGGGATGGCCCCAAGGAAGGTGCCCCTGAGGTCCCATCAGCCACCCCGGAGACGAGAGACGCTCATTCCCCGTGTGTGTGTGAAGGCGCGTGGTGTGGGGTGCGGGAGACTGTGTAACAGGCATTGCAGTGTGGAGGTTTCACCCAGTCGTTTTCATAAAACTTGGCTTAAACCCTTGGCCCCAATTCCCACCCCCTTGATGGAGGCAAAGGCTGTGGCTTGGAAAGACGACATCACCATGGTGCTTAGTGGGGCAAACCCAGTTTTATAGACAGTATTGAGGTGGCCTTGAGCACCCTATGTACCAGGCAGTGCCCTCTCACCCTGGAGGACGCAGCTAGACCCCCAGGCTCTAGGGGAGAAGGCCCATCCCATGGGCCAGGTGGGGCAGAGGCGAGGCTGTCAGGAGACGCGGCACAGGGATGGGCCTGGAGCTCTGGAGGAGTGCGAGGGCCTAGCAGCGGCTGTGACCTGGGGACGAGGTTGTGACTGTGGCAGCTGGCTCTTCCCAGGGGCTGGGTGGCCCAGGAGCTCAGTCGGTTGCCCGTGAATGTGGCCCAGTGCACACCTGGCCCCAGGTTCCATGTGAGGAGGCCCCAGCAGGAGGGGACAAGACGGTCTTGGGCTCAGCCCCATGAAGCTTACGTTCTAGTGCAGGAGAGCGATGGAAGCCAGAGGAGCCGGTGGGCAAACGAACAGAATCCCAAAAAGCTGTGGGTCCAACCACAGACCCAGCTCCACCTCCCACGTCCCTCCACAGCGTCCAGGCTGGGGGTGTCCTCGGTCCTGGGACCATGCCTGGCCCTACTAGGCCTGGCCCTGAGATGCCTTGACATTCAAAAATCAGCCAGGAGTGTGTGGATGGTGATGACTGTGTAAGTATCACTCAGGGTGAGGCCAGGCCTGCCGTGACGTCTTCTCCCACAATCCCTGGGAATTTGAGGGTAACTGCAGAGCAAGTGGGTTATTTTTTTGTTTGTTTGAGACAAGGTCTCGCTCTGTCGCCCAGGCTGGAGTGCAGTGGCATGATCTTGGCTCACTGCAGCCTCAAGCTCCTGGGCTCAAGCAATCCTCCTGCCTCAGCCTCCTGAGTAGCTAGGACCACAGGCATGGTCCAGGGTTTCGCCATGTTGCCCAAGCTGGTCTCAAACTCCTGGGCTCAAAAGATCTGCCTGCCTCTGCCTCCCAAAGTGCTGGGATTCCAGGCGTGAGCCACCGCCCCCAGCCAAATGGGTTCTTTACTCATTCTCCACTCATTGTTCCAGATCATATCACATTTCAGTCTTTCCCCAAGTCTCCTGTGTGATTTCTTGTTTTCGTGGAGATTTAATGACCCAATTTTTATATGTATGCCTTTATTTATCATTATTTTTCTCCCTCAAAATCGTTGTTTCTCCATCATAACATCCATTCTGTCCCACCCCCTGCTGCCCAGAAGCCTCCCCGCATCCCCTGGTGTCTGTTCCAGTGTGGACTGGTTGTCCCCAGGTCTGCTCCACTATTCCCGACCTTCCCTTCCCTCCACACAGAGCTGGATCTACAGAGTCATAGTGCCTGTGTTTCCCTTTCTTTGTTTTGCCACCTGCTCCTGCTGGAGCACATCCTCAAGTAACTTCCTAGCAACAAGGGTATGAAAAACAAATACGTGTGCTCTGGCATTTGTGAAAATGTTTTTATTCTGTCCTCTCACTTGATAAACCATTTGACTGTGTATAGAATGCCAGGTCGAACATTACTTGCCTCAGAACCGAGAAAGCATCTTCTCCCCAGACTCCAGTGTTGCCAGTGAGATCTAGAAAGTCAATTAGTTGGGTGTGGTGGTGCGTGCCTGTAGTCCCAGCTACTCTGGAGGCTGAGGCAGGAAGATGGCTTGAACCCGGGAGGCAGAGGTTGCAGTGAGCCGAGATCGAGCCACTGCACTCCAGCCTGGTGACAGTGAGACTCTGTCTCAAAAAAAAAAAGTCCTTCTGATTCTGCTCCCTTTGTGGCTCACCTGTTTTCTTTTCCTGGAAATTTGGAAGCCATCCATGGAGATTGGAAATTCAGCAACGATGCCTCTGGCTATGGGCTATTTTCCTCCCACCATCCAGGGAAGGCCACAGGAAATGGAAGAAATCGTGACACTGGTGCTGTACCATCTGTTCTGTGAATTCCCTGGCCATCGTCTCCCTCTGTTTCCTGTGTTTCTTATTGGGACTCTGTCTGTCCGATATTAGGTCCTCTGGTTTGGTCCTTTACTTTTGTTTTAATCTAAATTCTGGTGGATGTTCTCGACTTTATTTTCCATATTCTCTGCTGAAGTTTGTATTTTGGCAATTGTATTTCAACCTCCCAGTGTTCTTTCTTGTTCTCTCATTGTTTCTATTTGTGTCTTCCTATGATTGTGATATTTTCATGAGTCCTCTGAGCACTTTCATTAGAAGTTCTTGTTTTTAAGCTTAATGTGCTGGGACTTGTTTCAAGAGCCCCTGCTTCCCCTGAGGTCCATGCTGCCGTTTCAGGCTGTTGGAGGGATGCTGGGCAGGGGCAGGCGGGAGCAACCTCTGCTCTTGTCTGAGTAGCTCTTCTTTCCCCTGGGGTAGGACAAGGTGTCACCTGGAAGCTCCGCTTTGAGGGAATGGCAAAGCGGCCACCTCTCCCGCTTGGTGTCCCAGGAGCTGGAAGGAGACAGGCCTTTGGGGGGCCTGCTGGTATCCACAGGCAGTTCTTTTGAGTTGCTTGGAGAATAATCTAATTTACTTCCTGGGGTATAAGCTTCCTGTCTTCACTCCAAGTGAGGAATTGGGGGTGAGGGGCAGTTGTCCCCTCCAGCCCCTCCTCTCACACCTGCCTTTGGCTGTCCCTGGGCTCTGAGTCCGGAGCCCACCCTGCTTCACCCCTGCGGCCACTCGTGGAGACGCCAGGCTGTGGGTTTCTCTTCCGTTCACCGA
Source organism: Homo sapiens (assembly GCF_000001405.40). Lineage (NCBI taxonomy): Eukaryota > Metazoa > Chordata > Mammalia > Primates > Hominidae > Homo > Homo sapiens. The sequence continues at coordinate 3,737,830 of NC_000004.12, forward strand.
GAGTCCACTCCCATTCCTTTCCATGGTCCAGAAACTGGTTGGCGTCTCTCACTGCTTGGCACCTGTATCCCTCCCAAGCTCCTTCCTGGCATGAACCAGTTCTCACTTGTTCTTCTGTGGGGTCTCAGGAGGGGTGAGATGGGCACAGAGCCTGGTAATTCCACTGGGGTTTGGATAAGCCAGGAAGGGATACGATGAGACAGGCATTTTAGGGGGGCCTTTGGAGGCCGCTCAGAGGATGGGCTGGATAGGGGAGGCGCTCACAGTAAGGAGGGCAGGTAGGAGGTCACCACCGGCCCCAGGGCAGTGAGGATGAGGCTGACTGCGGCTTGAGAGGGCTGTCCCACGTGACACAGTGGAGGGGTGGACTGTGGCTTATTCATCTCCACTGAGGCAAGGCTGGGCATAGGACAGGCTGTGAGGACAGTGAGCGGAAAGGAGACAGGAAGGTGGGGCGTTTCTGGTGGGGTGAGGGTGGCACTCCTGCAGACCCTCAGTGGCTGCTACAGCAGAGAGCCGGGGAGGTGAGGTGGCCTGCTCCCTCGCCACCCACGGAGGAGTGGGCCCTGCTCATCCCTGGCTTTGCCCGTCCACTGGTGTGATTCACTGTCGCTTACCCTGGAGAGACGGCTGCCCCAGGTTTATTTATTTATTTATTTTTAAATTTTTTTATTTTATTTTATTTTTTGAGACAGAGTCTCGCTCTGTTGCCCAGACTGGAGTGCAGTGGCGTGATCTCGGCTCACTGCAAGCTCCGCCTCCTGGGTTCATGCCATTCTCCTGCCTCAGCCTTCCCAGTAGCTGGGACTACAGGTGCCCACCACCGCGCCCGGCTAATTATTTTTTATTTTTTAGTAGAGACGGGGTTTCACCATGTTAGCCAGGATGGTCTCGATCTCCTGACCTTGTGATCCGCTCACCTTGGCCTCCCAAAGTGCTGGGATTACAGGCATGAGCCACCGCGCCTGGCTAGGTTTAAACTGGACAGCTTCCCGGGGCCAGCCTACAAGCGGCGCCCACAGGGCCGGAGAGGCCATGAGATGATAAGATGCAACCTCTGCGTTTGTCAAAGAGAGCTCCGGGTGGGGTTGGAGAGGGACCTGGGTGAGCTGCTTGGCCTGGAGGTCAGGTCTTCCCTGGGGGAGGCCAGGGAGCTCTGCATGGCCTTGACCCCCTGCAAAGAGGGTAGGGGCGGCGTGGGGCTTTAGTTCTGCCCCGTGCAGTGGGCAAATTGGGCCCATGCTTGGGGTTATGGGGGAACTGTGTTATCCCAAAATTCATATTGAAGTCCCAACCCCAGGACCTCAGAGTGGGCCCTTATTTGGAAATAAGGTCGTTGGAGATGTCATGAGTTAAGATGAGGTCATGCTGGGATAGGGAAGCCCCTAATTCAATCTGGCTGATGTCCTTATAAAGGGGGAGATTTGGACACAGGCACGGAGGGAGAGTGCCGTGGGAGGAAGAAGGCAGGGGTCGGGGTGTCACTTCCTCAAGCCAAGGAGCGGCCGCGGCTGCTGGCGCCACCAGGAGCTGGGTAGAGGATGGGACCATTCTTCCCTCGCAGCCTCGAGGGGAGCCAGACCTGCCCACACCCTGACCCGGACTCCCGGCCTCCAGAGCTGGGAGAGGAGATCTTTCTGTTTCTGTTGTTTAGGCCCCAGTCTGTGGCACTCTTTATGGCAGCCCTGGGGATCTCATATGTTCGGGGTACAGAGAGGAGGCTTGGCTGCCTGGGGCTCCCTCTCTCCACCTGGCCCCACCAACAGCTGCAGTTCTGGGTCCAGCACAGCCTCATGCTCCCACCCTGGAGGCCTGACACCGAGGGTCGGGGGAATGAGGCCAGTCCTGACCTGGCCTGTGGCAGGTGCAGCTGTCCCGGGGCTGCGATGTGAGGTCCCAGGGACATGAGGCGAGGGCGTGGCCTGCAGCTGGCAGAGGCCCCTCCACAGCGCAGAGCTGAGATGACCTCGTCCAGCGCCACAAGGCCTTGGCGCCATCCCACCGGGCTGAGGTGCGTGGGCAGCACTCACCATGCTCCCCCTGAAACCACAGTCACAGACCAACTGTGGTGGCCCAGCTGCCTGGCCTCCTCCAGGGAGTCTTTGGGATTCCCTGGGCGGGGTGAGGCACCCCTGGGACTCCCATGGGCCTCTGTGGCCCTCTAGTCCCCGCCAGCTTGTCAGTTTCCCGTTAGTTGAGGATTCCCCTCTGGGAGCCACCTGTACCCCAGACCTGGGCACAGGTGGGCTCTGCAGGATCCCTGGATCCCAGGCTCCCTCAAGCTTCAGCAAAGAGACCTCCCTCCCTCAGCCTGGTCCTTGGGCCCTCCAGGACCTGGGGGAGTGGCCAGTCCCCAGTAGGGAGAGGAGGAGAACACAGCTATCTGGGCGAATGTGACAGCGGTTTGCCAGCAAGCCCACCCTGCCCACAGCACCCCTGCCCCGCTTTGCTGGAAGAAGGTGTGGCCTGGGTGTGGGAGGAACCTCCACCCCCAGAAACCCAGCACAGCAGCACTGCCAGACTGTGAAGGGCCCCACGCGCGTCCGGGGCCCTCTCCGTGAGAATCAGAGGTCACACAAGCCACAGCTGTAAACGCTCATCAAAGAGCACGATAGGCCACTCGACGAGTTCTGCCGCTAGTGACAGGGAGAGAGGCCAGTTCCGCCCCGATCAACCACGCTGGCCTACACCACTTCCGCCCTGATCAACCACGCTGGCCGAGGCCAGTTCCGCCGCCGATCAACCATGCTGGCCGAGGCCAGTTCAGCTGCCGATTAACCATGCTGGCCGGGGCCAGTTCCGCTGCTGATTAACCATGCTGGCCGTAATTTCATGACCTGTCACTTAGGATTTTTGTCCCTCAAAATGATCAAAGTGCCACGAACACGTGGGATGACAGCATCATCTGCACCACCCCATGCCGTGGAGGAAGAGCTGGGTTTGGGCATCAGGAGGTCCAAGTCTCTGCTATCATCCCTGTGCTGGGGTGGTCACCCATCCCCCAGGGCCATGTCACCTCACTCAGGAAATTGAGGTGATCAATGACTTTAGCAGAAGCTGGTTTTAGAGCAAAGTCCTTTGCAGGGTCCTGAGGGATGAAGCAGGGGAGGAGGGAACAGCTCCTGTTCTGTGGCTGGAGGTCCCAGGAGCACCACACACCTGGGCTCCCAGCCACTTGGAGGACAGGCTGGAGGGGGAGGCACCCGGGGTGAGAAGGGCAGGTGAGGGGTGGCAGGCCACTAATGACCCCAGGGCAATCAGGATAAGGCTGACCATGGCTTAAGAGGTGCTGTCCCATGTGACAGTGTGGAGGGGTGGACTGTGGCTTATTCACTGGAGGCTTTGAGAAACAGCCAGCACATCCCTGATGTGAGGCCGGTGGGTCTCCCTCAGCCGCAGTGTCACAGAGATCTCCCTGCTCTGCTGGCTAAGAGATTTCACGCCAGCTCACCTTGGAACTTGGCAAAAGGCCCAAGACAATGCCCAGATTCAGCTGTGTGGCATCTCGATCTCACCCACTTGAGCGCTTCTCCACCCCAGCAGGCCCGCTGCCATCAAGGGCTTACCCTGTGGGCTGCCCACGCTGCTGTAACCAGTGACCACAAGCTCCGTGGTGTTGAGAAGCACATGTTTCTCCTCCCACGGCTGTGTAGGTCCGGAGTCCTACGGGCTCAGCCAGTCCCCCTGCTCCAGGTTTAACCAGGCCGGAATCAAGATGCCAGGGCCTGGCTGTGCTTTGGAGGCTCTTGGTGAGAACCTGCTTCTGGCCTGGTGCAGGGTGTGGCAGAATCCCGATGCTTGAGTTTGAATGGTGAAATTTATGCTCCAGCGTGGCTGGGCCATGGTACTCAGATATTTATTTAGTCAAACCATATTCTAAATGTTGCTGTGAAGGTAATTTTTTTTCTTAAAGATTAAGATTTAAATCAGGCCATCTGCTTCACCTGATTGGATGTGGGAGGGCCTCATCTGATCAGGTGAAGGCTTTCAGAGAAAAGGCCACACTCCCTATGGAGGAAGAGAGGATTTCGGCAGCCGACGGACTCGGACTGGAGCTTCAGCACAACTCTTCCCAGCCTGCCAGCCTGCCAGCCTGCCGTGCGGATTTTGGACTTGACAGCCCCTGCAACCACACACACACACAGACACACACACACACACACACATACACATACACACACACACGACCTCTGGGTTCGGTTTATCTGGAGATAAACCGAATGATACACCATCCTAGGACTGAGGTCCCTATCCCTTGCTGATGGCCAGTGGGGCTGTCCCTAGCCCTGCAAGGCTCCCTGAATCCCCTATCACACTGTCCTTACATCTTCCAACCAGCAGTGGCAGGTGGAGTCTTTCCCACTCTTTGGATCTCTCTGACTTCTCCTACACTGCCCTGACTCCAGCCTGATGGAGTTCCCTGTTTCTAATGCCTTCTGTGCTTAGACCAGGCCCTCCCAGATAATCCAGGACAATCTCCCTGTCTTAACATCTCTGATTAGTAACTGTAATTACATCTACAAAATCCTTCTTGCAAAATTACATTATATGCAATGTGACGTTCACAGGTACCAGGGTATGGATAAATCTGGGGGACCCAATTTGGCTGCCACATTTGCCCTTGGTGAGCTTTATCCCCTTCCTCCCCCTTCACACCCCCAGAGCTCTCAGCTCCTCCAGTGCATCTAAACCTGCTCTGGGGCCCCTCATCCCACCAAGATGTCAATAGCAGAAAATGAGCCCCTAGTGGGACTACCTTCTATCAGGCATCAGAGGCAGGCTTGGAGGGACTCATTCTCTGTGGTGGGACCTCAGGCAGGAGACGCTGGGTCACGGAGCACTGTGTGGATGTGCTCCACACCAGGCTGTGGCACAGGATGCTGCCAGTCCCCAGTGGTGAGGACCCTGCACCATCATGTTCAGCAGAAGACCAGCCATGCAGGCCCTGTAGTCACCACATTCATTTATTTTCCCCCTTCAGTCACCCTGTGTCAGTTAGCTACTGCTGCGTAACAAACAGCCCCAATTTAGCAATTTACAATAACCATTTGTTTAGCTCATTCAAGAGTGAAGGGCTGAGGCCATTTTTGTGATCCACTGTGTTCCTCAAGCCCTAGACCCACCCAGCTCAGCAGCCAAGGAGGCAGAACCTTACAAGTTGCAGAGTCTTACAAGTTGTGGCAGTGTTAGGATTAGTCTTCAGCTGCCTGGTGTTTGAGGCCATCCAAGCCTGGCTCCACTCCACTGCCACCTTCCCCCATCCAACTCCCCACCAAGGTGACATCTCATGGCTGTGCCAGACCACGTTCAAGCTACACCCTGCAGCACTGCCCTGGCCACAAGCAAAAGCCTCGCGCCCCTTCTGCTGGCCAGCCCATCCTGCAAGGCAGACTGGGAGCCTTCTCTGGGTGACCGTGGGCAAATCAATCAGCCTCTCTGAGGCTTGGTTTTGTCAACTGCAAAATCGAGGTGCTGATATGATGTGCCTCCCAGGACCATGTGCAGATAAGTGATGGGAGGGTGACCATATGCATTGCATAGCCTGCCCCAAAGGCACAGCCTCATTCTGGCAGGTTCTGGGGGCTGCTCCTCTGGTCAGCTTGCCCTGGGCCTGCAGAATCTTGACTTGAGCCCCCAGGGGTGGGGTGCGGGTGGGCTTCAGGTGGTGGGCCTGCCCCTGCAATGTTGGAGGGGCTCTTGAACCAAGAATGGTGTGATGCTTAGGTCACCTCTTGTTTGGGGCTGGAAACAGGTCCTGCTGTGGCCTGAGCTGCGGTGCAGGGACTCTCTCTGATGGGTTTCAGCTTGCCCCTCCTCGTGTTTGGGCTCCCCATCATCACCCTGGCTCACACGGTACAAAACTCCTCTGGAAGCCTGTGCAGGTCGGGGGACCCAGGTTGCAAGTGACAGAAACAAAACCAAACTGGCTGAAACAAAAAAGTGACTTTATTGGCTTATGTGATGGAAAAGCCTGGAGGTTAATCCCGGGCTCTGGGCGTGGTGGAATCCAGGAGCCGAACCCCGTTCTTGGGATGGAGTCTCCTCTTCTTGCAGTTCTGCTTTAGTCTGAGGGAGGCTTGTGCTTTCCGGTGGTAAGAACAGCCCGGCTCCTGCCCTCTAGGGTGAGGAGAAATGCCTTCTTTTCGGGAGTTCTGGATAAAGCCCCGCATGGAAGCTCCCCGAGTTGCCTGGGGCCGTGCACCAACCCTAGACCCCTCTGGCCTAGGGGATGGTCTGCTGTGAGTGCCGCTCCTGATGCGGCTGCCTTAAGAGCTGGGGAGGGATCTGTTCCTTGCAAGGCAAGGGACAGTGAGTGGGAAGAGGGTGGGCTCCCAAGGGGCTCTCTCCAAAAAGGTGAGGGTGCCGGGCAGGTGCCTGGGGCAGAGTCCAGGCAGGAGCAGAGGGCACACACCAGCAGAGCGAGTTGAGTCCAGGCGGGAGCAGAGGGCGCACACCAGCAGAGCGAGTCGAGTTCAGGTGGGAGCAGAGGGCGCCCACCAGCAGAGCGAGTCGAGTCCAGGCGGGAGCAGAGGGCGCACACCAGCAGAGTGAGCCCAGAGGGTTTAAAGAAGGGGCGGTCTCTACGGTATGGGTAGAGTCAGGGGAACTAGGAAAGGACAGAGCAGAACCTGGGGTAGGTAGCCGGGGAGCCAGGGCTGACCCACGCCTGAGGACAGGAGGGACGCAGGCAGACCCCAGAGGAGGGCCCGGGCCGCCCAGCAGTCCATGGCAGGGAGACGCAGGCGCTCCTGCCCAGGACCGGGAGAAGGGGTCTGGGGATAAAACCCCGATCTCTCTCGCCCCACCCCATTATTTTCTGTGAGCTTCCTCTTAGCCATACACGATGAGCAGCTGGTGGGCAGGGGCGCCCCTTGACACAGCCATACGGGATACGGGTAAGGCTGGGTGGGGGTGTCTGGGGGGCACACAGAGAATAACCAGCACACAGCCAAACCCGTGCTCTCTAACCCGTCAACAGAAACTTAACAATAAGTGTTCATAACCTATACGAAGGCAATCATAAAACACTCCTGAAGACACAAAAAAAACCCGAAATAGAACAGTTAGGATGTTCCAGCATCACCGAGATGTCAGCTCTCCCTAATTTAGGGTATAAATTTAATGCGATTCTAATAACAACCCCATGCGTTTCTCTTTCAAAGAGAGCTAGAACTGATACTAACGTTCACATGGAAAAATAAACAAGCCTTGCCAGGGAAGGGCGGGGTGAACGGGGCCAGCCCTATCAGACGCTAAAGCACGCAGTGGGGCCTCTTTAATGAGAACAGTGCCAAATGACACAAAAATACACAGGGCCGTGGGAGAGGAGGGACAGAGACAGGCCCCCCGCTGACGCCGTGTGTGAGGAGGGGGCGCTCCAGTCACTAGAACGGTCTTGGTATTTCACATAAAATGGTACTGGGACAAGTGGAAAACCATTTGCAAAAAAGATAAAATTAGATCCATTTCTCACACCATGCCCAAGAATAAACTCCAAGTAGATGGGAGTCCTAAATGCAAAAAACTGAAATATACAAATGCTAGAAGCAAACATTTGTGAATTCCTCTATAAGAGCAATGAAGAAGGGCTTTCTGTGACTACAAATCCAGGTGTAATCAAAGAAAATATTCATACAATTGCCAATGAAAGCAGCTTATGCAAGGAAAAAACTAAGCAAAACGAAACGACAAATGAACCAGGAGAAAATATTTGGAACTCGCTTCCTAGAGAAAAGGCTCATGTCTCATGTCTCTACTACACAAAGAACTTTTCAAAGTTAAGAAGCACAAATGCAAAGTGTAAGAGCTGCTCTGCTCTAATCCCACGACCTTCCCCACAGCGTCGCCGGCAGGGTGTGTCCTCAGACGTTTGATTTTTGCCAATGTGATGGCAGAGAAGTGTTTCCTTGGTGTGGCTTCAATTTGCATTTCTCTTCTGTGAGGAAGTTGAACACCTTTTCAGGCAGCTAAGGGCCGTTTTTACATCCCTGCTTGGGAACTGTGTGTTCACGCAGTTTGCTGATTTTTTCTATAAGACTTCTAGAAGATATTGATAAGTGAAAGAAAGCACCACGCCAAACAACACAGTAGTACGCTGCCTGTTGCACGGAGTGTAGATACGACTGCCTGTCTTTACAAGCAGCAGCACAGGAAGAATAAACAAGACAACAATTAGATTAGCTTCCTGCAGGGAGTGGGGGAGGGGCGGGGAGGGATTCTCCAGGGAGGCAGCCCAGCACACCTTTTCTGCACTTCTGACTTGCAGAAGCATATTCGTGTTCTACATATTAAATCAGGAGGTATGAGAAAGGGAAAAATAAAATGGACAGAAAACGGGAAAAATGGGCAAATTACATCTCAAATGAAGAACACAGCCACAGTGGAAACCAAAAAGAAATGAAGAACTAATCCAAGAAGCCATGAACACGGTGTCTGTCCGGCAGCCTCAGGCAAGGTCAGAAGGTAAGCGGGGAGTGCGAACGGGCCCAGGGCAGCTTCTCTGGTGCATGAGTTTTACTCTTGTAGTGGAATGAACATGGCCACACTAAAGGCATCACAGGCGCTGGCACAGCCGTGCACACCAGGTCACACATCCACGTCACTGGAAGAAGAGACAGACCATCAGGAACGTGGAGGGCCAGGAAGAACCCCTCAGGCAGGGACTGCACGTCAGCGTGAGTCATGCTCTCAGAAACACGCATGCGTGCGTCATGCTCTCAGAAACACGCATGCGTGCGTCATGCTCTCAGAAACACGCATGCGTGCGTCATGCTCTCAGAAACACGCATGCGTGCGTCATGCTCTCAGAAACACGCATGCGTGAGTCATGCTCTCAGAAACACGCATGCGTGAGTCATGCTCTCAGAAACACGCATGCGTGAGTCATGCTCTCAGAAACACGCATGCGTGAGTCATGCTCTCAGAAACACGCATGCGTGAGTCATGCTCTCAGAAACACGCATGCGTGAGTCATGCTCTCAGAAACACGCATGCGTGCGTGAGCACGTGCAGACGCGTGTCCTCGTGTGCCTGTCTTTATGTCCGTGTGTGTGTGTGTGTGTGTGTGTGTGTCTCTGGGTGATGTGCCTGTGTGCATCTCTTAGGTCTGTCGGCTGAAAGGCTTAAAACCCTTCTATCTTTGACACTGGCACCCAGACCTTGCCACTGGCTCCCAGACCTTGGTTGCTAATATATTACCCATTATATACCCAGACCTTGGTTGCTAATATATTACCCATTATATACCCAGACCTTGGTTGCTAATATATTACCCATTATATTACCAGGGCTCCTCAGAGAAGTGGCTGATTTTAGGGCTGGTGCAAGAAAAGTACAAAAATAGCCTGGAACATCATGTTATGCCAGAAAGTAACGAGGCACACACACAGGCAAACAAAGGTGGCATGTCACAGACTCCAGAGCCAGCACGGAGGGGCGCCTTCTGACCAAATTTGGAACCATTTGAGCACCAAAATATGGAAGTACAGCAATGAATCACAAATCCTTGAAAAAAAAATGGGGATCCAAAAGAACATACTATAGTAGCTGACGGATGATTGATGGCCAGAGAGATAGAGATGATTGATAGGTCGATGATGTGTAGAAGATAGACAGGTAGGTACATGATAGGTAGATAGACAGATGATAGATATGTGACAGGTAGGTAGATAGGTAGGTAGATGGATTACACAGATAGCTGATTGATAGACGACAGATTGAGAAATAGATGGATAGATAGATAGGTAGGTGACTGATGGATGATAGGTGAGATGGAAGGGCTGTTGTTTCAGCGGAAGGCCAGCTGCTGACTGGTGAATGTCGGGGAAGTGCCGGGTTCCAAAGCTGACGTTCTGGCCGGCGTCGTTCACGGGACATTCCTCCAGGGGGAGCTCTGGTGAGGAGCAGACCGTGTCCATGCTGGTAAAGCGTCCCCCGCCCCGACCCCCGAGAGTGCCCCTGAGCTGGAAGGAAACACTGAGCGGTTGTCCAGCAGATCACTCCGCAGCTCCTCCATCAGAAACATCACCAGCATCAGAAACAACACCAGCAGTGAGAGGCGAATGGACATCCTGTGCCCAAGAAAGACACACACTCTTTCTTGTGGCGCTGAAGCCAAAAATGTGCAGGCTCCGTCCAGTCCCAGGAACTGCCAGACGACCCCAAATGAGGACCCATCTATTAAAAAAAAGCCCCGTGTTCTTCCCAAATGTCAGCAGTGTACATGACCAAAACCATGGAAATGTTCCAGATGAAAGAGAACCACAGAGACAAGACGCATCAATGCAACACCTGACCCCAGAGTGGCCCTGTGCTGGAGGACAAGAGCCGTGAAGGACATTCTGGGGTCAGCTGGGAACACGGGAACACAGCTGGGAGAGAGGACTGTGTTAGGATGCGGCTGTGATGGCAAGCTCGCATCCTAACACAGTTAGGGATGATGTGGGAAGAGCTGTCTGTCTCTAGGGTCTCTTTAAAGGCAAGGAGGTGTGATACATGCTTGCAACTTAATACCGAATGGTTCAGAAAAGTCACCCGCAGCGCACCAGCAAGCAAGCCAATGAGAAAATAAATGGGGCAGGCTGGGCGCAGTCATTAAGCCCAGGTGAAAGGTCTATGCTGTTCTTGTACTATTTTTATTTTTGTAGTTTTTCTGTTGTTTGAAATTATGTCCAAACAAAATGTTGAAAAAAACAACACAACGAAAACCCTGCTCTCCACCAAAGTGTCTAAGTGAGGCACACAGACATCGCATGCAAGCAAATCGCTGCTGTTTGCAAAAATCTTGCAAAGCGGCCAACTCATGCCCCCTACCTAGTTACCCCTCCAGGAACCCTTGAGATAAATGATGCAAGAACACCCCACCATCATAATAATAAAGCTTGTACAGTAATAACAATTATAATCTGCTGTAATAACGAACCCCCGTGTGTGCACACCACTTCACAGTTTATAAAGCATTTACCAGACTCCATCAGATCGTCACGGCAGCGAAGTGAAATGTGTGCTCTATAAATGATGCCTCAATAAAGTTGTCAAGTTTTTAAAGGGGAGTCTTGATACCTGTTTTGCCGGGCTGTGGTGAGGATGAAGTGAAATCAGAAAAGGACAAAGCTTTGGGAATTCTGAAGCAGCTTCTCAAACGGTGGTCTCTCGGCCCACCTGGATGGCAGTCCCCCAGGGAGCCTGTTGCTGTGCAGATTCCTGGGGGCTGTCCCCAAAGCTCCAGAGAGTCTGGGACCCTCCCTTGTAGCTCCCCTGGGGAAGCCAGACCAGAGTGCAGCTGCAGAAAGGGCAGGCAGAGGCAGGAGCCCAGCCCTGGTGCCTGGTGCCCTGGGTGGCTGGGCCCAGAGCTCAGAGCACTGCCCAGGGAGCATGGTGCCTCAAACTGAGCCCCGCCCTGGGTAGGGGGAGCTGCCCACACTGACCCTTCGCAGACTTTCTCCAGTGGGCGAGTGGAGTGGGCAGGCTGTGGCCCCTCATATCCCCTGGATGCCCGCCCGGTGGAGCTCGGCTATAGGCGATCCCTAACAAGCGCTCCAGGGCCCTTGCATTCCAGGTCGAGCTGGGCGGGGTGGCTGTGCTATCAGCGAGCCCCCAGAAGCTCGCTCAGAGGGAGTGCATTTGAGCCAGCACCCAGTTGCCACCTGAGATGCAGAAGGCTTTCCTTTTTCAAAATTAAAAACAATTTAATTGCGGTCAAATACACAGAACATAACATTTACCATCTAAACCAGTTCCGGAGTGTTCAGTACATCCACACTGTGTCCCACAGCCACCACCACCAAACCTCTCCAGGATGTTTTCAGTAAACCAGAAGATGTCCCCATTAAACAACTCCCGGGCCTCCCTGGCACCCACCCTTCTATTCTCTGTCTCTATGAATTTGACTGCTCTAGGAATCCCATGTAAGTGGAATTGGATAATGTTTGTCCTTCTGTGACTGGCTGATTTCGCTGAGCATGGTGTCCTCAAGGGTCATCCATGTTGTAGCCTGTGTCAGAATGTCCTTCCTCTTCAAGGCTGAATAATATTCTGTGGTATGGATGGACCACACTGTGTTTATCCATCACCTGATGACGGACATCTGGGTGGCTTCTGCCTTTCAGCTATTGCGTTGCAGTGGGAAAGCAGCCAGGGACAGCATTGTTCCTGAACAAACGTGTGCAGCTGCTTTACCAAACCAAGTGGCGGGCCCAGCAGTACCAGCGGCTTGGGGGTGGGAGATGCACCAGGACCAGGCAGAGGACCCAGAGGGTCTGATCCCCAAAGGCTGTGGCCCTGCATGTGTGCAGGAGGCAGGGAGATGCAAACAACAGACACAGGCTGTGCACTGCTGCCAGCTGCAGCAGCAGGGACAGAAGGGAAAAACCAAGATCTGCAAAGCCATCCGTGTCTCATGAAAAAGGGTGGCCCCTGGCCTTGCCTTTCTGGAGCAACATATGTAGACGTGGGTGCACACCCACACACGCCCCCACATGCAGGGCACGTGAATGAGTCCCCAAAGCTTCCAGAAGCACCAGCCGGGCAGTGCAGAATCAGACCAGGAGAATGAGAGGCTGCCCCCACTCCCCCAGCACCGTGTGCCACTGGGAAGAGCCTCCAGGGACGTTTCCGTGCTCCTGGGTAGCCCCGGGCTCTCCTTGTTCTTTCCAGCTGGAGCTGGCACTGGCTGAGCTCCTACTGTGTGCCAGGCCCTGGGCCAGGCACAGGACACACAGGCCCCTCCAGTTCCACCAGCAACCTGAGGAGGCGTTAGGTTGGGCCCAACCCAGACGGCCCACGAGGGCACAGGGAATTCAAGTGAGCTGCTGGAGGACCCACGGCCATCGAGCGGGGGAACCAAGACACAGAGCTGTCAGCTGCCAGCCCAGGGACCCCAGAGGTGGAAGGGCCATTTGCTGTGTCTCCTGGGCAGACCCTCTGGGCCTCATGTCCTGCTTGGCTCTCCTGAGCCTTCTCTTCCACACCACGGGACAGCAGTGACTGTCTCAAGGGGTCACAGCAAAGATTAATCAGATCATGTAGGTGAAGTTCCTGGGCGTGGTTTGCCCTCTAAAAGGTGGCTCTTGCTCCTGGGAGCCCCCACCATCCAGTCACAGCTGGAGCCAGGTCCGCCTAGCACCCCGGCCCTGCTAATTGAATAAATATTCATTCGTGTTGAGTACCCAAGTACCATGGTTTCCATGGCTACCCACTCCTAATGGCTTAATGAGACAAGGGCCCAGATTTTCCAAAACCCACATGAATGCCGGTCCCGATGGGAAGCGTGCCCATCCCATGGGGCGGGCCTTGCTCAGCTCCCTTTGGAAACATCAGAGACAGAGTGGCCTGTGGTCCAGGAGTGGGGATTCAACAAACAGCCGTCAGCCGTCAGCGTGTGTGGATGGGCAAGGTCTGTGAAACCCCAGCCCGAGGCCGGTGGAGTCGGAGAGCCTGGGCCCTGCATCACCCCGCACGCCACGCTGCCTCCCTTCCACCTGTTGGTTGGTTTCACTACATGCCAAGCGTGTCTCCCGTAGCAAACATGAGCCCAGAGCCCCGGCCCCTGCTGCCACGGCCCTGAGCCCTGCAGAGCCATGTCATGTGCGTGTGTGTGTGTGTGTGTGTGTGTGTGTGTGTGTCACCTGCCCCGCCCTGCCCACTAGGCACTGTTGAAAGGGGTCAGGGCCATGCACCATCTAGCCCTGTCCTGCCTTTCTATTTTACCCATCCTCGCTCCTCTTCCTCACTAGTCTCTGACTTTCTGTCCCCCTCCCAGCTGACACCAGAACGTGCCCCATGGACCTGATGCTCAGGGACTGTCTGGGGGGCCAGCAATGATGATCAGGGTCAGGGGCTGTAGGAAAGGTGGGTCCTGGCCGCCACCTTCGTCACCAGCAAGAGTAGATCTCAGGCAGTCACAGCCGGTGGGACATGCCCACGTGTCTGCCCCCCTCTGGTGAAGAAGCAGTCACAGGACCATGCCCTCAGCTTCCAAACCTCCCGAGTCCCACTTGAGTGCTCCTGGTTGGCAGAACCCAGCAAGAGGCGATGGCGCCCGGGCAGTGCAGGGGAGAGCAGAGGAGAAGCTGCACTGAGTGGCCCGTGGTCCATCTGGCCATGGCCCAGGGCGGCCCTGCACCTGCAGACATAAGGCCTCGGGCAGCCACTCTGGACACAGAGGTGGGAGCAGGAGGGTCGTGCCACACACATTTGTTCATGAATGATCCTGTCCCTTTGCAGCTTTCTCAGGAACCCCAAGAGCAGGTGAGATGCCTGGCCAGGGAGCTTAGCACAGCCGTGGGCTGGCCTGCAGGCAGCCAGCTGCCGTGCCAGTCACCAAGGCGGGGCGGTCAATGGAAATGCTCCACTAAGTCAGGCACAGATGTGGGGAGATAGCACCTGCGACCTTGGACTCCCCATAGGTGGCCCGGAGTGCTGGCCTTCCTCATGCACACTCCACTGTTTATATTTAAACAGCATGAGGTTCCCACCCAGGGAAGCAGCCTGGTCACTTGGGAAGAGTCCTCCACCAGAGAATGCTCCCTGGCAGGACTGATAATGAAATTGAAGCAACGACTGAATGCCGCCACAGCAGCCTCGGGATGTGAGCTGGGGTTGGGCAGCTGGGGCTTCCCTCCTTTCTGGGAGCTGGCCCCGCTTGAGCCTGCAGAGCAGGTCTGCTGGGGACCGGAGGTGGATGGCAGGCCGGCTCAGTTCCCACAGTAAGGGTGTGCGGCAGGAACACAGCCGGGCGCCTGGTGTCTCCAAGAACCCTGCGAGGGGCCTGCACCACTCTCCACTCGGGGTGGGTTCTGCAGGGTCCTGGAAGACGGTGGTAGGTTGTGTAGAGCAAGGGAGAAGGGACCCCATAGGGAAGTCGGCAATGGTGAGGGCCGGCACCACGCCAGGGCCTAGGGGAACCCAGCAGTGCTGGAGGCCTCCCAAGAGGGTGGCAGCCCTGCCTGAGCCTGGCCTGGCAGGGAGGGCTCTGGGGAGACCGTACCCCACCTCTGTCCCACACCTCGAATCTCAGCCAGGGGAACAGTTGGGAAAAAGAGGCCCAGGTAGAGAGATCAGGAGCAAGGTAAGCCAGGCTACCCTGTCCCTGTCCCCTCCCACCAGGCCGGTCACCTCATGCCCCAGCCCAGGGCCCCTCCACCTCTGTCCCCTGGAACCCTGAGGCTCGGCACACCCTGCAGTTTGACCTGGGGGACTCCTGCAGGTTTTACACCCCCTCCCTTGGCACCTTTGGCTGCATCTGCCGGCTGAGGAGAGAGGAGGTTGACCTGGCCACTCTCAGCCCAGAACCTGCCTGAGAGCAAGCAGGACTGAGGATGCCCACTCTCCCCACCTCCGCACCCACCTGCCAGCCATTCCTGAGGATCCCACCCCGGGCTGGTCCCAGGTCCCTCCCCTGAGTAGCCCCGGAGGGCACAAGAGGCAGCCAAAGAATGAGTCCACGTCCCCTCATCCCCATGCTGGGGCCTTGGCAGCCCTCAGGCGTCCTGAGGAGCCCAGGGGGGATCTAACCCTTCCAGGGGTGCAGGAGGGCTTCCTGGAGGAGATGGCTGGGCTGTTCTTGGCGGCTAAAGAAGAGCAGGCCAAGACGGTCAGGGTGGGACAGGCATTCTGTGCTGAGGCACCCTTGTGGGAGGGCACTGGGGGGGCACGGGGACAGAGCAGAGCCTGGTCTCCTGGAGTGGCACCTGTGGGGCAGGAGGCATGAGGAGGGGCACAGGCTCCCAGCCACCCCTGGGGGCTCCTGGCTGGGCTGCACTCCTGCCCAAACAGCGAGGGAGATCCCTGGAAGGTCCCTCCTGGCGAGGCCCAACTGGCCTGGGCTCAGGCAGCTCCCCTGAGGCCGAATGCCCCATGGCCAGCCCCCCCGACACACTGGGGGAGTGCATGGGGCAGGGGCAGAATGGCACCTGAGGCATGCAGTTGTGGTCCCTCTGCCCCCCGAGGCCTGGCGCTTAGGGCTGGCTGGTGGGGGGCAGGGGACGTGGGGGCGGTGGAATTCCCCTCCTGGGCACTGGCGGGCCTTGCCGCCGGTGCTGTAAGTTTCCCAAAGACACCTGCACTTCACCTTCTCCCTTCCCTCCCAGCTACGAAGGCAGGGGCGGACCTCCAAGACCGCGGCAGGCGGGGGTCCTGTGACCTGGAACCAGGAAGGGTGCCTCCTCGGTCATGAAAAGGAGGAATGTGCCTCCTCGCAGGATTTGTATTTTATTTCCTGCAATTGAAACAATATCTGGTGTGAGGCATCTAATTACCGCTCTTTCCTAGAAATTGAGCGATAACACATCCTGTCGATACAAAGCTTTTGTTAGAGTCAAACACAGTTTCCCAGGGCAATTCCAATGAACACTGCACTCAAAAGTACTTTGGTTTTTAAATAGTTTCTCTAAGTATAATACCGAGCCTGATGCAATCTACTTCATCTTTTGTTCTGGCTCTATTTCGAAAGTACCTTTGTACTCCTGTGTTCCTGCATAACAATAGCTGATAGTTCCTGCTCACTTGAAGAAGATCCCACCCAATTAGAATTTTTAGAAGTGGGAGAGCCTTTAGAGAAATCAGAGCCAACCCACTCATTTGTCAGCAAGATAAACTGAGTCCTGGGGTGAGTCCCTCAGCGCGTCAGAAGGTTATAGAGCACCAGACTAAGGTAAGAGCCAGGAGGTCAGGGGCTGGGCAGAGGGAAGTAAGGAAAGGGATGCGGGAGGCTGGTAGCTGGCAGAGGAACAGGTGATGGTCGGCGTTCCAATTCCACTGTGCCTTGATGCCATCAGCACCCCAACCCTGACCCTAATCCTCACCCTACCTAACCCCATCAGCACCCAACCCTACTCCAACCCTAACCCAACCCCATCAACATCCCAACCCTAGCCCTGACCCCAACTCCAACCACCTTCCAACCAGAGAAAAGGCAAATACATCCCTGAAGGACGTCACACTTTGCAGAGAGCGCTCTCACGTCCTTTGTCGTGAGAAATAAAAATGAAATCCTAAGACCCCCAACAGACTGAGCAGAACACCCCTTGGCCAAAGGGACCCCAGAGAAACCTTGGAAGCTGAGTTCCCACCGTGATGTGAGGGAGGTGGGACCCACCTCGTTGTACCCCCTCCCTCCCTTGCTAACCATCACTGGGCTTCCCCTCTAAGGGCTGCAGAGAAACCGGATCTTCCGAAAGATTCCGCCCTGGTTTCAACCAACACCTGACCTGCCCCTCCCTGGTGCGAGTTTGACACAGCAACCAGCCAGCGTTCCTTCCTGATAGGAGACCACGGGCCACAGAGAGCTTCTGGCCAGTCGGCGGGGGATGTACAGCAAGGGTTTCCGTGTCCTCCGCTTCACCTTTCCACATCAGAGGGTGGAAAACTCCACCCTTAGGTCATGCTGCCATTGTCGTGTCTTGAACGTGGGTCCTATGGAGAGGCAGGAAGCTCAAGTGCACGCACGTGTTTCTCCTTTCATGTATATTCATGACTCCTTCCATAGCTTGTTGAATATGTACATTAGGCACCCCCTGCTCAGCAAAGGGAACCTTCCTGTTCCCTTTGCCCCTCCCTCAAAATGTCTGTTTGCAGCTTCTGGCCTGAGGCTACGCTTCTCAGCCATCAGAATGGCTGCTCTGCAGGCTGCAACCCTTTATGAGAAATAAGGCTCTCCTTTCCAAACTTACGAACCTTGTCATTCTTCAGTTGACAACCTTTTAGGCTCTAGGAGTCCATTTTGTTCACTGATGTATCCCTAGGTTTCAGACAGTGCCCAACACAGAGTGAGCACTTCATAAACATTTGTTGGATGAATGGAGAGTGAGCATGTCCATCAGTGGCGGCTGGGCCTGCATACTCGCCTATCAGCACGTGTCTGCGGAGCCTCCTTCTGTCTCCAGCAAATTCAATTAGTGGCTTAAAGCAATAGAAATTTATTCTCACAGCAATGGAAGCCGGAATTCTGAGGTCAAGGTGTTGGCAGCACTGTGCTCCCCATGAGGGCTCCAGGAGTTCTTTGGCTGTGACCCCATCTCTCCAGTCTCCCCCTCCATCTGCACATGGCCTCCCTCCCTGGGTGTCTCCTCTTCTAATAAGGACACCAGTCATAGTGGATTAGGATGGGCTCCAATCCAATAAGATCACATTCACATGTGCTAGGGGTTAGGACGTGGATATATCTTTTTGGGGGGACACAATTCATTCCATAACCATGGCTTTCTTTCTTTTTTTTAATTGTGTGCTATCAGAAAACCATTAGTATATTTCCCATGAAAATCCAGATCTCTGTCCCTCTTCCTGCATGAGAACTTGCAGGGTGGACTTGAGAGGTAGCTGTCTCCTTCTGATAGGGTATGTGCCACGGACCACCCTCCCAGCCCTCCTGTGACCTGGGTGCTGCAGCCCTGAAGTTGCAGGCCCTTGATCTGCCCAGTGGTTTGCAACTGGGGGTGATTTTGCCCCCCAGGGGATATCTGGCAATATCTGAAGACATATTTGGTTGTTGCAACTGAGAAGTGCTCCTGGTGTCTAGTGGATGGAGGCCCGGGATGCTGCCAAACTTCCTACAACACACAGGGCAGCCCCCACGACAAAGACGAGTGCAGCCCAAAATGTCACAAGACACAGGTGGAGAAACTCTGTTCTACGGTGATAGGATATTGATCTGGGAATATGGCTGCCATGTAAAGACTACATTTCCCAGCTTCCCCGACATTAGGGGTGGGCATGTGACCAAGTTCTGGCCAATGGGGCATCAGCGTAAGGGAGGAACACAACTTCCAGGTGAAGTCGCCCTGTGATGGAAGGGCCATGGGCCCCCATCCCACTGTTGTGATGCCATGGATGTGGTGCCGGGGCCCAAGCTGCCCACTAGGGATGGCAGGGAAAAGGCAAAAGGGGCCTGAAACTGGGGCTGCCCACTGGGGATGGCAGGGAAAAGGCAGAAGGGGCCAGGAAGTCCTGCCCAGGCTTCCATGTGGGACAGAAAGGATCTTTTATCTTGCTCAAGCTGCTGTGCTTTGGGGTTTTCTTGTTACAGCAACATCACCTGTACCTTGACTTACTCACAGTTATCTCAGTCCAGTCCCGTTGCCTCCTATGACAAATTTCTGGTTTAAATCAGAGCCTTTCTGGGATGGGAAAACTCGAGAAGAAAACATAGCAGATCTTGCTGAGTGTGGGCCCAAGGTGTCCAGGTTCCAACACAAACATTCCAGGGCTGTGGGCAGTGGCGAGGACGGCTCAGCCCGCATCCCTGCCTTCCACAAATACTTGGGAATCAGGATCGATGCAGGAAGCTGGAGGAAGCTCCCAGGGTCATGGCAAATGTGAGCATTCTTAGTTTATTTTCCCAAACATGTTAAGGACTCTTCTTCATTTTCCTATTAAAGAAAACCTCAAAGCAAACAAAACAAAACAAATCTCTGAACTCCCTCCAGCTCTGAAGCACTTGTCTGCTCTGGTCAGATTCACAAATCGTGGGCATAAATTACTTTTGTTGAATTAACCATTCCTACCCAGAACATTCTCTGGATTCTACCTGGAAGCAGCTGCAATACAAGGTATCAAACCTGAGGATGGCAAGGGTGGCCTTAGGGAGCACGTCACGCCTCACACATGGGCACCCGCCACCTGTGGGCCTGCCCACACTTTCCACGCGGGCACGCCCACACTTTCCACGCGGGCACGAGAGCAGGTGGTGTGTGGCGTCTGTGGTTTCCGTAACCTTTGGCCACAGCTGGGGACAGGAGCTGCACCACTCTGTGGCCCTTTGGAGCTGTGCACATATTCAGGGCTCAGCAAATGAGAGGCAGCAATGCAGGGTGGAGAGTGGCTCAGGTGAGCGCTGGGCACAGGTGCTTGCTGGGTCTCAGTGTCTTCACTGAAGGAAAACTGCCTGCCTCGTGGAGAGAGGGGTTCCTTCATGCATTCACCATGCCGGGTGCTGGGGCGAAGGGTTGATTAGCACTGGGGTGCGCATCCCAAACAGGCTACGTGGTAAACAGCAGCCCCCACAGCAGGAAAGTGTGGTTGACTGGGGTCCCCGTGGAGGTGACCACCTTAGGGAAAGAAGCCCCGGTGTCCATCCAGGGGCCCCTATGTGGTCTTTGTTGGGGTGGGTGGCTACCGCAGAGGTGGTCACTGTGGGTAGAGACTGGATGGGGCAAGGCCTGAGCCCGAGCCCCAATCTACCAGCCACTCCTTGGGGACCTGGGGAGCCGCATCTGCTCCCACGGCCTCCGCTTTCTCATCTGCAAAGTGGGGAAACCATGGCACCCAACCCTCAGGGGCGATATCAAGGTGAAATAAAGCAAAAGGCTTTCAAACTCTGTTGAACACTCTGAGAAGTACTCGGAGGTCTCCAGGGGACAGCCACCCAGGTTAGGGAGGTCTAGGGGTGAGCCTCCATGGGTCAGTAGAGGATGCACTGGCCACAGGTCCTGGACTCTGGCAGCCCGGCTGAGGCGGGGAGGGGCGGCCCATAGAGCAGTGGGGAAATGGCCCAGGAAGCCTTCCCTGTGCTGTGAAGGCCAGGGCAGAAGCCCCCTCCACAAGAAGCCCTTCCTACTGCCCCAAGCCAGCACAGGCACCCTCAGCTCCTGTGGCCAGGCACTGCCCAAGGCTGATTTATCTGTGACCCCAAGCGTGGCATGGAACCTCACACAGCGGAGCACCACAACCGTCTGCTGTGTTGAAAATAATCAGAGCTGTCCTAAGACGGAAGCACGCTGCTCAGAAAGCAGTGAGCTCCCCATCGCCTGGGGTGTGCAAGCAGAGGCTGGGAACGGCCTGAGGCACATCACAAGGCAGACTCAAATGTCAGCTGGGAGCAGATCCAACAGTGATGATGATAATGATGATGAAGATGATGAGGGGGAAGAGGAAGAGGAGGGTCAACTGCGATTTGCCGAGAGCTTGCTACGCGCCAGGGATCCTAAGGTCTTAGTTCTCTTTATTAGAATTGTTTCTATTTGCCAAAGTAACTCAAGCACTTGGAACAAATTAAACAATACAGGGATAGATAAAGAGAAATGTAGCATCAGTCTCCTCCCAGGCCTACTCCTCCCCCAAGCCAGGTACCCAGGGCTGCCCAGTGCAGGGGCGTTGGCAGAGGCAGTTGGTACACAGTACCCTAGTTAGTCCTGAAAGCTACGCATTCGAGGCTCAGAGAGATGAGGCAATTTGCCCAAGGACCCACAGATGGAGACAGGCTGGGGGTGGGGCAGGGTTTCAGTCACCTCTCCAAGCTCTCCTTGGAGTCCAGAGATGCAGCTCAGCCTGGCCCTCCTCTCCTCTCCTGGTGGCACCTGCTGGCCACGCGTCCTCCTTCCGCAGTGGCCTGAGACTCCGGGGCAAGTCTGCCCAGCCCAGGCCTGTACAAGCCACTGTGCCCACACCCCACACTCCATCCCGCCTGGATCTAGCAGGGCTGGCATTTTCATCTCCATCCGCGGGACTCCCGGGCTCCACCTCACACTCCCACAGTGCCCTCCAGGACTTGAGGGCCTGGAAAGACCGAGAAAGACCACTGAGTCCTGTCCCTGAATTCACAGGTGGTGAAGCAGAGGTTCAGACTTGCCCAAGATCACATAATGACTCAACAGCCGAGGCAGGGCTGCCAGCGGGCGTTCCTCGGGACTGTCTGGAATTGGACGGTGCAGTGGCCTCCACCACACGCATGCTTCCACTCATCCATCCCTCAAACACCCACGGGTGTTGCCTCCATCTACTGTGGCTGCGGTGAGAAATGATCACAAATGCCACCGCTTAGAACCACACCAAGCTTCCTCTTCCGGCCCTGGAGGTCGGAAGTCTGAAGTGGTCTGCAGGGCCGGTGCCTTCCGAAGGCTCCAGGCCAGAGTCTGTCTCTTGGCCTCTCCAGCTCCCAGAAGCACTGCATCCTGCAGCCAGGGGTCCCGTCTCCATGTCACTCCGACCTCCACTTCTGTCATCACACCTCCTCTTCTGGGGTCCTCTTGCCTCTTTCACTTACAAGGACCCTGATGACACTGGGTCCACAGGTGTCGTGGGGATCACCTCCCGCATGCAAGGTCCTCAGTCATGTCTGCAAAGTCCTTTTGGCATGCAAGGTTGCACAGGTGTGTGGGACGTCACTCTCCAAAGGAGGCAGAATTGAGCTGGGGACAACTCACGAGCTTGGGGGACAACTCATGGCTTGGACGCATTCAGCCGCAAGTTACAGAACCTTCCTCCCTAAAAGGGTAAAACAGTAAGTCCACTTAGTACGTCCTTCGGCAGGAGGAAGTCTGGACAAAGGGTAGGTCCCGGGTGGGTTCTTGGAGGCTCAAGAACAATGGCACAGGGGACACACCCTCTTTCCTTCCATGGTTTTCATCCTCATCCTCAGCTCCTCCTGGTCACATGACAGCTGCTGCTGCTCCGGGCATCACATCCTCACATGTGCCCAAGCAAGCAGGAAGGCAGGCAGTGGGCCTCCCGGCACCTTTCACCCTTGTCCTCAGGGAGGTATCATTGGCTGGAACGGGGTCAAGTGGCCTCCTTCCTGCAACCACCCAGCAACGGGCAGGCCCCAGGCTGAGAGCTCTGCAGACGTCATTCTGAGGAGTGTGCACAGCGGCCACCAAGGCTGGGAAAGGTCACAGAGGAAAACCCAGCCAGCTCGAACCCAGAGTCCAGGCAGCAGGCCTGCTGCCAGCCTACCCCGCTAGGCCCAGGCCCAGGATGGTGGAGCAGGAGGTGAGGTCTTCTGGGCCGCCCTGCCTTCGTCACCTCTACATCTCCAGGGCTGCACGCAGAGGATGCTTCCTGGTGTCTGCGGACTGCATGACAACTGAACCAGTGAAGGGCTGTGGGTTGAGGTTGGGCACTGGAGGGCCCTGAATGTCAGGCTCAGGCAGCTAGCGGGCAGGGCACAGCCCCTAGCAGGAGAAGCCAGGTGGAGACTGGAGCAGGTGCAGCGGGCAGGCAGAGGTGGGGCTCGGTGGCAACCGAGAGGGTCGGGGGAGGCGGGGATCTGAGCTTGGATCCCAGCAGGGCCAGGGCTGAGGTACACAGCTGGTGCTCAATAAGACATGCTGACCCACTGCTTTAATCTATTACACTCATTGCAAATCAAAGCCAGTCCCCGAAGCAGTTCTTTCTCCAGAGGGACTTCCGCCAGCTCTGTAAGAACTCGACTGTGCCAAACCCATCAATGCTGATCAATATGCAACAGCTCAGAGAGCCAGCCCAGGCCACGGCTCCCTGCCACATCCTGACAAGACAAATCAGCTTCTGGAATTCTTCAGGGAGGGGCAGGGAGAGAAGCAAGCCTCATTTTTCCCTGACTCGTCTTTAAAAATGAAATTTCAAATAAACATAGGGAAAGAAAGCTCAGCTCAGCTCCAGGGAGAAAACATGTCCTCTTGGTCTTGAGACAAGAAGATAGGGCTGGCTTCCCTTGGTTCCCGCACCCACCAGGGCTGAGTGGAGAGGGGTCTCTCCCCGAGTCCAGCCTCTTCCCTTTCCCCTGCGGACACCAACCGAGGGCAGAGATGGGCAGGCAGGCGCCACCCCCACCCCCAGGAGCTCACAGCCAAGTTGGGGGAGGGGGTCACTCAGGGCTGGCATGGGCCTCGGAATGCTCTGGTCCAATGCTCCCATTTTACAGACAGGGGAAACTGAGGCCCTGGAAGCCAGAAGGCTCCCCCACTGCCAGACAATAAGTAAGGGAATGAGCAGGAGCCTAAAGCCACATCTGATGACCCCAAACTCCATGGAACTGAGAAAAGGGCCTGTTGGCCAGGGGCACTGGGGCCTGGCACAAGCAGCCACCAGGTGAAGGCACCCCCTGCACTCAGCACCCAGCAAGCATCAGTGCGGCTAAGGAGGCTAGAGCCAGGCCCACAAGCCCATCTGCCCTTCACGGCACCCATCCTGCCACCAGGCCTTCATTCAGCTCTTTCTGTGAGCTGAGAGCCCAGCCCTGGACCAGGCAGTGGGGATGGGACACAGCTGAGATGTATGGTTACTGATGATGGCCATGCCCCATGGGGCATGCAGGAGGCCGGCAAAAGTGGCCCAGATCCAGCCCGGGAGGTCACGGGAGGCTTCCTGAAGGAGGAACATCATGGGACAAGTCTTGAAGGAAGCGAGCCCCAGGAAAGATGAGGCAGAGGGCATCCAGGCCTGCGGACAGCACATGGTCAGGCCCAGGGTCCACAAGAGTTAATGAGAAATGTCCTCACAGCTCACAGCGTGGAGAGGAGGGCTGACCGCAGGAGCCAGGTGGAGCTGTGCAGACCAGGCAGGCGAGGCAGAACCCAGCCGCAGCCCCGGAAGAGCTGGCTGCAGCAGCAACCCAGAAATACATCTTCTCCTCAGCCTAGGAGGGTGGGCAAGGCCACAGGTGCCGCATATGTGTGTACACATCCATATATGCGAAGCCATGTGTGCACATGCATGACTGGTGTCATGCATAGGGACAGATGTGTGCAGCACAGGCATACACACGTGTGTGCAATGTGCATGGATTCGTGTTATCTGCACAGGGAAGGCTGTGCGTGCCCGCAGTATGCACAGGTGTGTGCACAGCATGGGTGCATCATTTCTACATATGCCAGTGTGATACATATGCATGTGTAGACATACGTGTGCAAAAAGCACGTGTGTATGATAGTGCATATGTATATATGCACCTGCATGTGAAGAGTACACGGGCATGTGTATGCACACGCAGGCATGTGTGCATGTGTGGGAACATGTATGTGTGCATACATGTGTGTATATTCTGTAGGCATGGATGCACTGTAAATCCACATGGTATATGTAGACAGTGTGTGTGTGGATGTGTGCATGCATGTGTGTGTGAAGGCATGCAAGTGTGCATGAATAGGTTGCATGCTTGCATGCATGTGTGGATATGTGTATGTATGGGTGTTCATGCTTGCATGAACACACGTGTATTCATGATATGTATATTCATGTGTGTGCATGGATCTATGTGTGCACAAGGATGTGTGTGGATACATATATGTGTGTGGACACTGTACATCTGCGTATGTGCATGCATGCCTGCATGTGCAGGGAGGGGGCTCAAGGAGCCAAACTCCCCTCCACCCGAGCTGAGGCTGCTCACGAAGCCTAGAGCGCGGCATCCCAGGCAGGCACCCAGCTCTCTCCGGCACAGCAGCCAGGGCCCAATGTCCCATGGCTGTATGGCCCTGCTGGACCAACCCTGTCCTCCTAGGCCCCACGCATCATGGGTGAGATACAGGCAGGTTCGCCTCTGCAGCTCCAGGACGTGCCACTTCTAGGTTCTCAGTTCTAGGAAACACCTGTAGGTTTCCCCTCTGAAATATGCCCACTTCTGCCATGTACTCCCCTGCACACGTACACACAGACAGCCCCCACAACCCCCGCCAGTGCAGCCTGACTCCCCCAGCACCCTCCTTCCTCGCCCCTCCTGGTCGTGCCAGCTCGCGTCGTGCCTCGTCAGGACAGGAAGTCTTGCTGGGTACGTGCTGTTCTGCTTGTTACGGACAATCCGGAGCAGTTCCTCAAGCCTAATTTCAAGGTCTGGGGGAAGAGTCCTCTCCAGCTTCCTTGCAAACAGCTGCGGTCCCGGGCCCTCCCACCACAGGCAGGCCTGCGTGCAATGCAACCCCTATGCATGGCCCAGGGCTTCGCTCCTCCTAATGACTCCAGGCCCCAGCTTTTTGCCCTTGGCTCCATCCAGGCCCTGGAGTGGACCCTTCTGACCCCTCCCTGGTCATGCCAGGAGGTGTTGCCAGCAGCATGTCAGCCTGTTGGCTGCCATCCCCAAGGGCCTGGGCCGCTCACTGGCCAGGCACTCCAGATGCCCTCAGCCTGGCCTGTGAGTGGCCCCTGCCTTCAGCCCTCCTGGGCAGTGGGAGGCTCATCTGGCTCAGGGCCCCAGGTGCTCCGTGTCCTTTTCCCTCCAAATTCCCGTGCCTGGGCTGCCATCTCTTGGGAACATAGGAGCCAGGATCCTAGATAGATCCCCATGCCCCTGCGCATCCCCCAAAGCACTTCTCAAAAAGAGAGCCCTTCAGGATGGGGGTGGGAGGCACGCTGATGCCGAGGGAGAGAGACCTTCTCCAAAGCCTGCATCTGGCCCCTGCCACTGCTCTTTCCTAGTCCTCCTGTCTCCCCACGCCCCCAGTACAAAGCCCACTCCCACTGGAAGAAGGACAGCCTACAGAGGCCTCCCCCTTCCTCATAACACCTCCTCACTCTCTAAGCACAGTTTGGTCACCTCCTCCAGGAAGGCTTCCTTGACAACCCCGCTCCCAGGCTGGGGGAGGAGCCCCAGGGCACTGATGGTTGTCAGCGCATTCACCTCAGTGGGTGGCCCCATCCACCCACAGATGGTGAGCACCTCAACTGAGGCCAGGCCCCCCTCACTCTCTGCCATCGCAGAGGGCTCAATAGAGACAAGGGCTCCAGCGGGCCGACCATGAAGGAAGCAGGTGTGTGTGGGCTTCCCTGAAAAATGCACCTCCAGGTGCCCTGGACAGGTGGCACCTTTTAGGCAACCAGAACCAGGAGGGCCTTTAGTAAGGATGGTGACCCTCCACCATCCCCAGGTCACACACCTCCCACAGGACAGCCATGGCCTGTTGCCTCCCCGAAGGGCATATGTGCCCTAGACTAGCACAGGACTGGCACAGAAGGCTTTGGCTCCAACGTGCGCCCCTGCTTGGCAGGCCCATCATCTGAAATATTTGCTTTCTGCCGGGCCCTGGCTCGGCCTCCACACCCCCAATGCAGGCCCTGCTGGTGACAAACATGGTGAAGAACGAAGCCGTAGCTCCTGGCAGTGTCTCTGCGGAGACAGACATGCTCCCCAGTAGGGCTGAGCAGCAGAGAACACGACAGGCTCTGAGGCTAAAGCTGGCGCCCTTCAGGAGCTCAGAGAGAAGCTGCCCCAGGCCACGGGCATGGATAGGCATCCCGGGGGTAGGGCAGTCACTCCAGCCGCTCTTCATGATGACCTCCCGGGCACTCAGAAGCGCCCCTTCCCCGCCGGTTCTAGCCACAGGATGGACAGACCTTCCCTCCCTCTCTCCTGCGGGCCCATGCAGGGAGAGGCCAGCCAGCTGGGGTTCGTTTCTGGACGTTTGGGAGAAGGGTCGTCCCTTCGGTCCTAGCAGAGAAACGTCAGGCCTGAGAACTCCAGCTCTCCTCCTGGATCACCTCGTCCCTGGAAGTCCCTCTCCCACAGACCCCAGGCTGCCTGGAGGCAGAAGCCAGCACCCAACATGGGCCACAGAGTGGCAGTGCACGTGGCAGTGCACATCTGCAGAATGGAGGTGCGCGGACGGGGGCGAGGGTGCACGGGGGCTACCTCAACGGCCGCTCTCCCCTGAGCCCACCCTTGCAAAAAGCTCCATCATCCAGGCAGCTCCGTTCTGGGTGTTTGTCAGAGGTGGTGACTTTGAACACCTCTCCATCCTTTAAAAGCAGGGCCTGAGAGCCTAAGGATTAAACTTCAATCACTGCTAACATGGGTGCAGAGCTTGGGAGCTTGCCCAGGGCTTCCACAGACACCGCCGTTAGTTATGATTCATGCTCCAGCAGCGCTGGGAAGTGGGCCGAGGGAACTGAGGCCGGGGTGGGTGCGGAGGTGGCTCTGACGGGGAGCGCCGATCCAGGATCTGGTCCGGACCCTGAGCTCGGCAGGACCTGTGCGCACGCAGGTAGCGTCGCGTCCTCCCCCAGGCTGCGAGAGGTTGCTCTGCCATCAGGCCATGGACCCCGAGCCGCCCGTGCTGCGCGCGCGCGTGTGCGCGCCCCCGCCTGCGCCCATGCCTGCGCCGGGGGAGGCGAAGGAGGCTCCAGTCTTAGAAAGAGCAGCTTCTGGAACTCACCACCCAGGCCGGCCGCCGCTCGGCCCCGTCCCGCAGGCTGCAGGCGGCCCTGGAGGGGGCGCCCTCGCCGAGCGCGCGCCCCGCGCCGCCGCCCCGGACTCCTCCCCGGCGCCGCGCGGGCAGGTTCGACCAGGCGGCCGCGGGCTCCGGTTCCCGGCCAGCTCCCCAGGGCCCGCGGCCCGCCCCGCCCCGCGCGCCCGCCCCGCTGCGCAACTCGACCCAAGTTGGAAGCCGATCGCAGGCGGCCGCACTCGCGCCCAGCGCAGGGCGGCGGCGGCGGCGGCGGCGCAGCTCCGGCGAGCGAGGCGGCGGCCGCACGGCCAAGCGTGGACCGCGGGGGGCGCCCGCGCCCGGGAGCAGCCGGAGGACTCGCGGCGGCGCCGGCGCCCCGCCCGGGAAAGTAAAGTTGGAGACGGAGGGAGCGCGCGGGCGCGGGGGCCCGGAGGAGCGGCGGCCGGCGCCCCGGCGCGCCGAGCCCTAGCCGGCCGGATGGGAGGCGGAGCGCCCGGGCCGCCGCCGCCTGTCGCCTGCGCCCCGGCTGGGCTCCGGGACCGCGGGGCCGCTCAGGCACGCCCGCTCGGGCGCCGCGTCGCCGTGGGCTCGACGCCGGGGCGCTCCCCGTGAGCCGGGCCGAGGGCGGGGCCGCGCGAGGACCCCGGGACCTGCCCCCCTCCCCCCGCAGCCGCGTCGCCGCTCGCTCCGGGCGCCTCCTGCTCTGCACTTACACGCTCGGCAGCTGCGGGGAGCCCGGCAGCCACGCTCTCCGGCGCGCCGCCCGCGGAGCCACCACGGCCGAGGGCCGGCTGCTGGGCGCCGCGGTCCCCGGCGGGCGCGCCCGAGCAGCAGGCGGCGATGCGGGCGCCGACCCCGGCTGGGGGGCGCCCGAGCTGCCGCGGCTGCGCCCCGGCTCCAGGAGGGACGGCGTAGCTCGCGGGAGGACCATGGCGTCCCCGGCGCTGGCGGCGGCGCTGGCGGTGGCGGCAGCGGCGGGCCCCAATGCGAGCGGCGCGGGCGAGAGGGGCAGCGGCGGGGTTGCCAATGCCTCGGGGGCTTCCTGGGGGCCGCCGCGCGGCCAGTACTCGGCGGGCGCGGTGGCAGGGCTGGCTGCCGTGGTGGGCTTCCTCATCGTCTTCACCGTGGTGGGCAACGTGCTGGTGGTGATCGCCGTGCTGACCAGCCGGGCGCTGCGCGCGCCACAGAACCTCTTCCTGGTGTCGCTGGCCTCGGCCGACATCCTGGTGGCCACGCTGGTCATGCCCTTCTCGTTGGCCAACGAGCTCATGGCCTACTGGTACTTCGGGCAGGTGTGGTGCGGCGTGTACCTGGCGCTCGATGTGCTGTTTTGCACCTCGTCGATCGTGCATCTGTGTGCCATCAGCCTGGACCGCTACTGGTCGGTGACGCAGGCCGTCGAGTACAACCTGAAGCGCACACCACGCCGCGTCAAGGCCACCATCGTGGCCGTGTGGCTCATCTCGGCCGTCATCTCCTTCCCGCCGCTGGTCTCGCTCTACCGCCAGCCCGACGGCGCCGCCTACCCGCAGTGCGGCCTCAACGACGAGACCTGGTACATCCTGTCCTCCTGCATCGGCTCCTTCTTCGCGCCCTGCCTCATCATGGGCCTGGTCTACGCGCGCATCTACCGAGTGGCCAAGCTGCGCACGCGCACGCTCAGCGAGAAGCGCGCCCCCGTGGGCCCCGACGGTGCGTCCCCGACTACCGAAAACGGGCTGGGCGCGGCGGCAGGCGCAGGCGAGAACGGGCACTGCGCGCCCCCGCCCGCCGACGTGGAGCCGGACGAGAGCAG
Organism: Homo sapiens; assembly: GCF_000001405.40. Taxonomy (NCBI): domain Eukaryota; kingdom Metazoa; phylum Chordata; class Mammalia; order Primates; family Hominidae; genus Homo; species Homo sapiens. The sequence goes on from NC_000004.12 coordinate 3,767,473, forward strand.
CGCAGCGGCCGAGAGGCGGCGGCGCCGGGGCGCGTTGCGGCGGGGCGGGCGGCGGCGAGCGGGCGCGGAGGGGGGCGCGGGCGGTGCGGACGGGCAGGGGGCGGGGCCGGGGGCGGCTGAGTCGGGGGCGCTGACCGCCTCCAGGTCCCCGGGGCCCGGTGGCCGCCTGTCGCGCGCCAGCTCGCGCTCCGTCGAGTTCTTCCTGTCGCGCCGGCGCCGGGCGCGCAGCAGCGTGTGCCGCCGCAAGGTGGCCCAGGCGCGCGAGAAGCGCTTCACCTTTGTGCTGGCTGTGGTCATGGGCGTGTTCGTGCTCTGCTGGTTCCCCTTCTTCTTCAGCTACAGCCTGTACGGCATCTGCCGCGAGGCCTGCCAGGTGCCCGGCCCGCTCTTCAAGTTCTTCTTCTGGATCGGCTACTGCAACAGCTCGCTCAACCCGGTCATCTACACGGTCTTCAACCAGGATTTCCGGCGATCCTTTAAGCACATCCTCTTCCGACGGAGGAGAAGGGGCTTCAGGCAGTGACTCGCACCCGTCTGGGAATCCTGGACAGCTCCGCGCTCGGGGCTGGGCAGAAGGGGCGGCCCGGACGGGGGAGCTTTCCCAGAGACCCGGGGATGGATTGGCCTCCAGGGCGCAGGGGAGGGTGCGGCAGGGCAGGAGCTTGGCAGAGAGATAGCCGGGCTCCAGGGAGTGGGGAGGAGAGAGGGGGAGACCCCTTTGCCTTCCCCCCTCAGCAAGGGGCTGCTTCTGGGGCTCCCTGCCTGGATCCAGCTCTGGGAGCCCTGCCGAGGTGTGGCTGTGAGGTCAGGGTTTTAGAGAGCAGTGGCAGAGGTAGCCCCCTAAATGGGCAAGCAAGGAGCCCCCCAAAGACACTACCACTCCCCATCCCCGTCTGACCAAGGGCTGACTTCTCCAGGACCTAGTCGGGGGGTGGCTGCCAGGGGGCAAGGAGAAAGCACCGACAATCTTTGATTACTGAAAGTATTTAAATGTTTGCCAAAAACAACAGCCAAAACAACCAAACTATTTTCTAAATAAACCTTTGTAATCTAATGTTGGGTGCCGCAGTCAGTCCTTGAGCTTGGGGGCTGGGGGTATCTTCCAGACCCTCACCCTGCCTGACACCCTCCCCCATCTCCCCCACCCCACAATGCTGGACGGAGGGCACCCTGGGCCTCCGGGTTACAACTTCCTTCTTGCATGAGAAGGAGGGGTCTTGCTTTTTCTCAAGCTAACCCTTTATGTACATGGAAAATATGTACTCAAAATTCCTGTGCTGAGAGTAGCGAAGAGGTGAAAGGAGCCTAGAACCCCCAAGTTGACCCCAAGTTTAGATTCTGGGGGACTGTCTTCCCTGCATTCCCATCCCTGCCCCCTGCCCTTCCCCACTCTGATATTCAGGGCCTCCGGTGGAAAGAGGTGGGGCTCTTCCAGTCCAAGACTGAGAGTAGCTTTGAGCTAGTCCTCCTGGCTCTGAACATTTTGTGGGCGTGGCTCTTGGGTGGAGAGAGGGTGGGCGTGAGGCCGGCAAGCCCCCACACCATCACTCTTAGGCCAGAGGCCTGGCCAGAGCCAGGTTGAACAACAGGCACTTTCTTATTTCCGAAACAAACTGAAAGTCATTGAGGCCCCAGAGCAGTGGAGTGGAACAAACCAGCAATGTCTGGAGAGGGGCCTGGGGCCGGCCTGTTTCCTGTGGTGCCCCCAGGGTCTTCCCAGTGCAGCCCTGCCTTTCCCCCTTGCTCCACCGTCAGGCCCAGCAGGTGTCCACACTGTTCACACTGCTGCTTGAGGAAGGGCAGTGGAAAGTGGGGGACAGAATACCAAGGTGGGCTTCCTGGTGCTGGGCCTTCATGGTGTAGGGACCACTCAGACTCAGCCGTGTCACAGGGCCTGGAAGTTGCCAGGATGGCTGGAGGGGAGGGGCAAAAGCGGGACCTGCGCCTGGCAGGAGCTGGGCAGGGGTCCCCCCAACACACACGCACAGACAGCTCGGTAGGCGTGTGGGGGCTGTGTCAGGCCTCCTGCTTGTGACCATCCATTCCCCATTCCCGTCCCCCTTCCCATCCCTGGGAGGCCCCCCTGGGCTTCCCTATGTGTACCCTCCCCTGCCAGACCCTGCCTGCTGAGCCCAGCCCAGATCCATCCTGGATACCCACCTCTCTCTTTGGCATGGGGGGCCAGGGTCTGCCTGGGGAGGGGTCAGCCCTGGGTCCTGTGTTCTTCTGCAAGCCCCCGTCCGCGAAGTCAGGTTCCAGAGCAGGGGGACCTGACTTGCCAGAGTTGGCCCTTGGAGAACCCCCTCGCCGCAGCTGCCTGGCTTCCACCCCAGATGATGGGTCTTCAGGATACCCCAGCTGGGAAGAGCTCTCCCAGCCGTGTCCACAGCTGGCACATGTGCTAATGCTCACACCTGCTGTGTGCTAGTCTCAGACACAGGTGGGGAGATACAGACAGCAGTGGGGGCAGGGGAGGGGTGGAGAACATGGCCAGTCAAGGCCGATGAGGACATCCCTGACCTCCCCCGACCAGGCCTGGGCAGGGAGTCCTGAACTGTTGGCCCAGCTTGTCCTGGAGCTGTTGTACTGGCTCAGACAAATCCCTGCTCTCTGGGCCTCGGTGCCCCACCTGGGAAGTGGAGGGGGTCCTGGGAGCCCTCTTGGGCCCTGCCAGGCCTGCCAATCTGTTGGGCAATCTATCCCCTGAGCCTGGGACCACAGGAGACCCCACCTCAGAGACTCCATGGCTGACATCGCACCCAGGGACACTCTGAGGGCAGGCCTTGGGCTGCGAGAGAATCACTGTACACACATGAAAAAGACTCCAGAGCTCAGGATTTCTGCTCCAGAATCTGCATCTTACCAAGCCGGCAGGAGGGGTCCAAAACTCACAACTGCAAGACGGGAGGGCAGACCCCCAACCCCTCACCTGCCAGCACTCAAGACCCCAAGTCCCGCCCAGGGCACCCTTCCCTTGAGAGCACCAGCATTTCATGGGATAACTCGTACATTTCATGGGACTCAGAGAGGTGGATTAACCTGCCTGAGGTCACACAGCTGGTGATAAGACCCAACAGGGCCCAGGTTTCCTGGCCCCAAATTCAACCAGATAACAAGTATTTCTTGAGTATCTCCACCATTTCCTACTGCCTCCTGGGAGGTCTTCAGGAATGGGCAACTTCCCACAGCTGAGGGCAGACCCCACGTGGAGGCACAGCATGATGAGCAAGGGTTTGGAGGTAGGAGGTGCAAGTGTGTTTTAGGAAATGGGGTGCCAGCATGGGGAGGGGGAGACAATGCAGACAGGAGGCTGGACAGAGGGGCCGTGTGCCAGGCTGCAGGGGAGAAGCTGGTGGGAGGGTGCTTGGACAGAGTGTCAGGTTTTGATCTGACCCCCTGGGGGCTGTGAGGTCTGCAGAGGAAATGCAACCTCCCAGGGCTGGAGCCTGCCCTGTCACCTGCTCAGCAGTGTGGCCGACTGAGCATGTCACCTCTGAACTGCAGATCCTCCTCCCTGCAAGGGGATAACCACAGCCCCCCCACACCCAGGGATCCTGGGAGATTAACTTCGAGGATACAGCAGGGCACGCAGCCTGGTACACGCTCGGGGAAGAATGTCAGCAAACCTTCCTCCTCTTCCCGTCCTGACCCTGCCAGTCACACCCTCCAGGGCTATGGCCGGGACTGCAGCCGGCAGATGTTCACCACTCGATCTTGGTTGCCGCCTGGAGAGACTTTCTTTTCAGCTGGATAAACAGAGACAGAAACCTGGCTTCTCACCCTGCCTGCTGCAGGGACACGTGTCACCTTGCTCTGAGTCCTGGTGTCTTCATCCATGAAGGGGGCACTGACACCCACCCCGAGGGTAAGATGAGCCCCGAGTGCCTCCAAACCCAGCCCAGGAACCACCCGCCAAGGGGACTTCTCAACGCCCAGAGCAGGGCCCTCCCCTCTGCCGACCTGTCCACCACGGCCCCTGACTTCCTGAGTGGCTCTCCTCTCCACGGACGAGGCCTGGGCCTGCCTCACTTCTTCATGCCGACTTCATGGATCCAGAGTGGCCTGATGTCAACCCCCATATGTGGTTGTGGAAACTGAGGCCTAGAGGTGACTGTGTGGCCAGGGACCCCTAGGGGTGAGGGGGCAGAGCAAACTGTGGACTCAGAAAGGTCCCTCTGCAGAGAGCCTGGGCTCTGATCTCACCCCGTCCCAAGCAAGCCACAGAGCAGCGTTTTCCACGACCGGTTTCCTGGGCAGAGCTCCCCGTTGGGCTCTTGGGAGATTTCAGGCAAAATAAAATAAAGCAGCCACTACCGACGGAGGAGGGCTTGCCCTGTGTGGAGGGTGCTGGCTCGAACGCCGTCCTGCTCAGGGTTCCTGTGTACCTGGCCCAAGCCTGTCACAGATGCAGCTCCTACCAGATATACATAGACATGCATATGTTTTCATTAACTCCTGTATTTTAATCCTATGGCTGTTGGTAGGAAAGGAGGGAAAAGAAAGAATCCAAATATTCCATTGCAGCTCAGTATGGAATTCAAAAGGAAATATTCCTTGGTGCAGGCAGCAATGTTAGTACTTTATAGAAGCAGCTCCAGGCTTTGGATCCTGCCCCCGACTCCGGGGGTGGGGGCTGGAGGGTGGGGGAAACACGTTGCCGTGGCACTTGCTGGCGAGGAAGCCGCCCTTCCCGGCTGTGCTGGCAGCCGGCTGTATTTTTCTATCACATCCATCGGCAGGGCTCAAATATTCCGTGCCGTGTCGGATCAAAACACACGGCGCCTGCAGGCCCATCTCGAGGCTGGTTGGACAGCCACGGCCCCTCCATGTCCCCACTCCCGTCAGCCCGTGGTGGCCCCCACGTGCAAGGGGTGGGGGAGGAGCAGCCCTGTGCGGAGGGCCCTGTGCGGAGTGCCACAGGTACCCCTTTATGCAGGTGCCTCCACCGTCCCTGGGCAGGCATGGGCAGCCTCCGCTACGTGCCAGGGGGGATCTGAGGGTCATGACATGGATGTGAGATGGGGGCTGACAAAGATAGGAGAGTCCCTAGAGCTGAGGAGCAGAGGAGGGAGATGCCTAAGACTCCAAGGCCCAGGGGAAGCTTTTCCATCTTGAGGTCCCCGTTGTCCTCCCACCGGGTTTCCCTTGAGTGGCCAGGGGACCTCTGGCCCCACTCCCGGGGGTCCGCACCCCCGTGACCCAGCAGGACCGTGGAGAGCATGGATTGCAGCAGGCAGTGGAGGAGGATGGGGAGACTGGGGATCTGACAGGCTCCCTGGGGCATGCCCTGCCTGACCACCAGTGTAAATAGGCTGCGGTGTCTCCTGCCAAGGCCAGGGCCTCTACTCCAGCAGGGCTCAGTGCCACCCCTCTGAAATCTGCCTGGGAAGCAGAGTCAACTGCAAACTCCGGGCCAAAAGAAAGCCCTGGGGACCGAAAATGCCCTTCCTTCCTGCCAAGAGGGTTTGTGGCTGCTCCTAGTAAAAGCCTTGGGTACAATGGTGTTGTGATGGTCCTGATAAGGAGTCAAACCATGCAAGGTAGAGGTGGGGCGCTGGCCCAGAAAGCTCAGTTAAAGACATTCTGCCCTTATGTCCGAGCACAAAACATGCCCAGAGCTGCCTGGCAGCCATGGAGAAAAGGGGAACAGGATACGAACTCCCTCCACCACCTGATGCATGGTTGACAGGAAGGTCTATAGACTAGGAGTTGGCAGCTAGACCCACCTAGAAGACCACCAGTCCCACAAGATCTCCACAATTCTGGAAACTCTGCCTCCAGAGGAGGGCTTTGGGGACTGCAGAGAACCCCAGCGGGACATTCATGCCAGATTCCCTATTGGGGTGGGGGAATTGTCCAATCCCCGTCCTGGCCTCCATCTCCAGCTGCACCAGACTGGGCCATTTATTATTCATTCCAGCAACACTCCCCACCAGGCCCTGGCTCTGCACTGGGGAGGCTGTGGGGGAGGACAGCCATGGGGCAGTGGCTCCCAGCCCGGTGTCCCAGACTGGCCTGTGGCTGTGCGGCCTACACTGGCCCAGCACAATCCCACCCTCCTAGGGCTCCCGGGCAGGTCACAATCGCTGCCAACTCCTCTGTCCTCACCTCCGTTCATCCCACTTCCTGCTCTGGCTTGGCCGTGCCCCACGCCTTTGTGAATTAATGCTTTGTCCCCCAGGAGTGCCCTTCCCGCCCTGTGTCACGTGACAGCTTCACACATGGCCTTCACGACTCAGACCAGGCCCCGTCTCCAGAGCGCCCGTGGAGCCTCCAACCCTGCCCTCCCCAGCCCCAGGTCCCAGAGGCTGGACTAGACACTGCCCCGCTCAGTGCATGGAGCCCAGCGGGGCACAGGGACAGTGAGTAATCCAGCCAGGCGGCAGCTGGGCAGAGCAGGCCTCCCCCGCGGTGTGGAGCCACCTGTCCTCTCCCATGTGGAAGTCCTAAAAGGATCATCTCTGGACTCCAAATCCAACAGCCACTCCTGCCGTCCTCACTGTGCCAGGACACGGGCCCCCCAGGCTGTCGGTGAGAAACTTCTTACAGCAAGAGGCCGGCGTGCTGGGAGCTGGGGGCTGGTGCTGCGGGGGACGATTTTCCACTTCACGTGCGGCCCGGCTGCTGCAGTGTCTGCTCTGCTCTTGTGGGGGGCGGGCTTTTTCCCCGGTTAATCAGCTCTTAACCGACTGCAGCATCGATGAAAACAGGCATTTCCATACCGCCTTTAGAAGCCTAACTCAACTGTTAGACTCCTTAGCGAGTGCTGGGGAAAGAGATACCCGAGGGGCCGTCTCATTCAATAGCCCCCTTCCCACTCTGCAGAGAGGCCCAGAGAGGGGTGGCTTCAAGCATAATAATGACAAAGAGCAGACATGACAGTGAACCCAGCAGTTAGTGTTCGATGTGTGCCCACCATGTGCCAGTCTTTGGGCCAGGTGCTCTGTGCATGTGCTTTTCATAATTCTGCCAGGCAGGATCGATGCACCCATTTTACAGATGAGAAAACTGAGCTCCAGAAAGGGGCTGCCATAGAGAGATGCTGTCTGAGAGCCAGACGCTGGAATGTGCTCCATACTCACCCCACCACAGGGGATCCCTCGGCGAGCCGTCACCGTCCACGATATTAGCTTCATTCTACAGATGAGAAAACCGGCTCAGAGTGTGCACGTGACTTCTCCAATTTGTCTTCTATCTTCCACATCCAGCGTCCACGCCACCTAACTTTGAGCTGTCGCTCTGCCTTTTCCATTGCAAACAATGCCTAGATTACACGTTGAGCCAATGGGATCAGACGGGGCTCAATGCTCACACTCCACCGGCATTGCTTCATTATTTTTGACATAACCCGTGCACTTAAACTTCAGCAGCTCCATAAAAACAGCAGAGCTGTGCCCCTTCACAATGGGAATAAGGCCTGGCTCTGTGTTTATTATGTCATCTTAGAAACAATTCAGAACAATGAGGCTGCTTTTAAAGATCACCCCACCCAGGACACACAATGCCAACATGTTTGTGGTGAAAAATCAGTTACCCGTTTCCTAGAGTGTGCTGCCATTGCAAACTGAATTTCAAGCAAAATCAGTCCGCTTCTAATTAGTCCAAATGAAACTGTTATTCAAAATTGATTGCTGTTGTTTCCGCCACTATTCAAATAGGAGGCAAACAATAGAGGGATTCTCTCCTCTCGATACCGTTCAGTAACCCACGGAGCCCGGCGGTCGCCAGTGCCACGGCTGGGGCTCCCTGCCAAGGTGGGGTTTGCTGAATGCAGGGGCGTAATTTGCAAATTGGGAATAAACAGACGATTGCTCATGTGCCGGGAGAGGGCAGGAGGGCTGTAGGAAGTTGATGGATGTCACCTGGGCCCGCTCAGGGCTGTCTGTTTCAGAGCCTCGTGACGAAGCCTCTTTGGGGACCCCCTTATGAGGGTGGGATGAGGAATGACTGTGGGTGACGCTTTTGTCACCTGGCACGGGGGTAGGTTTCTCAAGGTTGCTAAAGTTGGACATGCAGCCCCCAGGCTTTGGGGCCCCTGACTCAGGCTTGAAACCTCACTGAATCATGTGGCGCCCTGAGCCTGCGTCCTCTGGAGAATGGGCCGAAGCCCACCCCCCTGACCTCCCACAGCTTCTGTGCAGAGCCATGAGGACCCTGGAGACCCCAGGAACAAATGTCAAACACGCTCATTAAAGGGCTGGACTCTGCAGGGTGTTGGTTCTGGGCAGACCAGACCTAGTCTTAACCCCAAAAGCTCCAGCTGGCCTGGCACAGGCCCTCCAGATGAGTGGCCACTTGACCTTGGGGGCACGGGGAGGACGGCCCTGGCTGGAGGGGAGGGGCTCCCTGGACAACTGTGCATAGCCTGGGTGCTCAGGCCCTGTCCTAGGATGGGAAGAAATTCCTCCAGGCAGCCTGCTTCTGTCTCACCTCACTCCCAGGCCCTGCACAGAGGCCTGCACACAGCGGGCACTTAATAAATGTTGGAAGAATTTATGTGAATGTGTCAAAGGTACAGTTCTGCCCTCAAGGTGGCTCTGATCCGGTTGGGGAAGCAGGACAGCATCTTCAGAGCAGACGTAGCGGGGAGGGAGGCTCCGCACCTCCGTCTTCTCTTCCGTCAGATGCGGCTGATGATCCCAGGCTCCCAGGTCTGGGTCCTCTGGGAGATCCGTGCTTGTAACGGACACGCTTCTCGCCTCTTCCTTGGCTCTGTCCAAGGAGCAGGGGTGCCTCCAGCACCACAGGATGCCCCTGGTTCACTCAAAGCATCCCTCAGATTGCCACAGATACACAATGGCCACAGGACTCAGGGGACAACACAGTCACCCAGGAGCACTGGGCAGCCTGGCCAGCCTCCGCAATGCTGCATGCACCCTTCCTCTCCTGACCTGAGTCCCCCGACTGCTGGTCCCTTGACCACCCTTCCAGCCAGAGAGCTCCACCAGGACCCGGGGGTGTTTGCCCCGTCCACCTCCTCTGGCACCTACCGGGCAGGAGCTGGCTGCTGAGGCAAGGGCCCTTGGTCGCCTGGCCAGTCCTTGGTCACCCAGCTCTTGGGGTGGGATGAGGGCCCCTTCAACTCCATGAAGGTCTGTTCCCCAGGCTGACCCAGCCTCAGGTGATTCTCAGAGAACACCACCATGGCATCCAGGTGTTGACGCCCTGGCTTAGCCACTCAAGAGCAGGAAGAGGCTTCAGACACAGCGCTGAGAGTATGACCTGAGGTCAGGGAACGCGTGTGGCTGGATTGCTGCAGTGCAAGGCCAGGCGTTGTTACCCAGTGTCCTGCGTGCTCCCCACCACTGAGGGGCATCTCAAGGAACGACGTCCCTGCCCCTCAGCAGGGAGGCACCTGCTCCTGCCCACTCTTATTATCCCGGGCCAGGGAGGGCTCGGCCAGGCTGAGTGGCTTGGCTTGCCCGAGTCCCCAGGCTGCTCAGCGACCAAGCCAGACATCAGAATTAGAGCAGGCAGCCCGAGCCCCTCTCTGCGGTGCCTCCAGAGATGTGGGTTTCCCAAGCCCAAGAGTGGCTGAAGCGGCTTCCCAGGGAGTGTTCACCGCCTGAAAGGGTGGGTACTTTTGTGGTTTGTTCCCACCCTAAGTGGGAGCCCTGTGGGGTTGGGCCAGGTACACAGCATCTGCCATGGGCTTGTGACATGGCCATACTCAGAGGCCAAAGGCCCACTGGCTGCAGGAGCAGGGACGGAGGGCTGGCTTTGTGCAAAATGAAAGCTTGGAGCGCCGGCTGAGGGAGGCCAGTCTCCCCTGCCTATGGGCCTATTGCCCTGAGGTCCCCAGGGATGGAAACTCAATTCCCAAATGTGCTGGATGTCTGGATGGGGAGTGGGCTGAATGCCAACCCGTGCCAGGGGTGACCTCCACCCTGCCCTGCCCTGATGCCATGGGATGCCTGCTTGGTCTCACTGGGCCCCTCCAGGGGTGGTAGGTGACTGTTTGTAGGATGAGATCGGGGAGAGGAGACCAGGAAAAGTGTCCAGGGTAGGGAGTGGGCATGACAGCTGTCCTGGGGTTAGCCAGAGGGGAGATCACATGTGAGCCAAGGGTCTGGTCCCTTCATACATCCCTCAAAAAGCACAAGTTCAAAGCCAAGGTTGTTAAGAATTTCAAGAGGCAACTGGAGAGCACGAAACCCCAAGTGGGTGCCCTCTGAGCATGGCACCCTTCTAAGCACAGCGCTCCACGGGATCTCACTGACACACGGCTGACCACGAGACCGGCCCTCCTCCAAGCATTAACCGGGCTTCTCTCTAAAGGCAGAAGAAACTCCAGATTGGAAGATAATTCCCATGGGACTGTGTCCCCAACAACCCTCCCGGATCTGTGAGGTGTCAGCAGAGGCTCCTGCTTCTGCTATCTTTGGCTTTGCTCTCCGAGAGGAAGTTCGTTCATTCATTCATTCATTCATTCATTCATTCATTCATCCCTCCATCCATCCATTGGTTCATCCATCATCCATTTCATTTATTCAAGAAGCGTTTATTCAACATCAGCTGCGCGTGAGAACACTGAGAAAAACACAGAACCTCCATGATTTCCTGCAACGGTTTAAGCCCTTCTATAATTCTGTCATATAGCAAAAACCAATGCACATTTATAATCATTCCTCTAAAAAGCATATATCAAGTGCCCACAGCACACCGGCCACGAGGTTAGCAAGACAGAGACACCCCTGTCCTCATGACCTGTGCAGTCTTGTGATGGGGCAGGCAATAGACGATCACATAAGCAAGTACAAAATTGTAAACTGTAGCAGTTTTATACAAGGACCTGCCCTGTCTGGGTGGGGTGGGGTGGCGAAGGTGGGTTGGGGTGGGCAGCCACCTCCTGGCAGGTTATAGGGTCAGCTGCAGCAGCAGCAGCTGGGAGCGGGTGCTCTGGGGTTAGCCCCCACATGAGTCCGCTGGGGATGCCTTAGCGGAATACCCCAGCCTGTGCGGCTTCAACAACAGAAGCTTACCATCTCATAGCTCCGGAGGCTGGAAGTCCAAGATCAAGGTGTTGGCAGGGGCGGTTTCTCCTGAGGCTCCCTCCCGGCTTGCAGACACCATCTTCGCTCCGTCTTCACCTGGTCTTCCTTCTGTGTGTGTCTGTGTCCTCATCTCCCCTTCTTACCAGACACCAGTCAGACTGGATTAGGGCCCACCCATATGACCTCAGTTTACCTTAATTACCCCTTTAAAGAAGCTGTCTCCAAACACAGTCCCATTCTGAGGTCCTGAGGGTCAGGGCTTCTACATAGGAATTTGGGGAGGACACACCCTGGCCCATGACACCTCCTGAGTCCATTTCCCTCCCCACATGGGCCTGTGTGACGGGGGCACGTTCCCTCCTTCTTCTGCCTTGATTTCTCCAGCTGTAGCCCAAGGCCTGTAACAGCACCTGCTGTGTGGGGGGCAATTTTGAGAAGCCCATGGAAAGTCCTGGCAGGGTGCCTGGTGCTAGCCAGGTCAGGGAAGGCCCATTCCCCCCATGGCTGTGCTGGGGCCTCACTCTGACCCTACAGGGAGGGTTTTTGTTTTGTTTTGTTTTGGTTTGGTTTTTTTGAGATGGAGCCTCACTCTGTCGCCCAGGCTGGAGTGTAGTGGCACAATCTCAGCTCACTGCAACCTCTGCCTCTCAGGTTCAAGCCATTCTCCTGCTTCATCCTCCTGAGTAGCTGGGACTACAGGCACCTGCCACCACGTCTGGCTAATTTTTGTATTTTTAGCAGAGACGGGGTTTCACCATGTTGGCCAGGCTGGTCTCAAACTCCCGATATCAGGTGATCCACCCGCCTTGGCCTCCTAAAGTGCTGGGATTATAGGCGTGAGCCACCGTGCCCGGCCTACAGGGAGGGTTTTGATGCCCCTGCAGTTGAGAAATGTGAGCCTTGGGGCTGTCAAGCAATAACCAGGTACCCCAGCAGGGGAGGGGCAGGGCTGGGCAGTCCACACTCATGTCCCTGGGCTGGTGAGGATACAGGTGCAGCATCTAAGATTGTTTGTGGCTCTGGGCGTGGAGAGGGGTCCTTGATGTCCATCCACTGGTGGTGCAGGAACATGAGGCCTGTCCCGTGGGCAAGTCTGTGGGCTGCAAGGCTGTGATCCATGTCCTAGCTCCTCCCAAGGCCATGCCTCCTGTGGGCCTGCACTGAGGGAGCCTTGGGAGGAGGTGGCCGTTATGTGGCCGTCACATGGCTGTGCAGCAGCCAGGCCAGCTCGGGCGCTGGCTCCCCGGAGGGCAGGTCCAGGCCATGTTGACTCTGGAGGCAGCCACATGGCTTTTGCTGGTTCCCTGCTGAGCTGGGCTTTGCAGCCTGTCACCTGTGCAACCCTTGGCCAGTATTTGTTTTGTTTTTAATGTTCATGATAGCTTTATTCATAATAGCAAAAAACTGGAAACAACCCTAAACAACTGGTAAATGGATAAACAAACTGCAGGTGCCTCCAGACAATGGAATACTACTCAGCAGTGAAGAGGGCAAGCTGCAACTTCTTGCAAAGGCCTGGGTGAGCCGCAAAGCCAGAGAAGCCCGCCTCAAAGTCAACGTGCTCCCTGGCTCCATTTACGTGACATTTTGTTGAATAGACTATTTTTTAAGCAGTTTTAGATCCATAGAAAAATTGAGCAGCAAGCACAGAGTCCCCTCTGTCCTCTTGGCATTATTTAACTTCTCCATCTGTAGATGTGGATATTGATGTGGACTTCACAGGGGCAGTGGGTGGCAGGAGATTCCTGGAGGTGGGTGTGGGCGTGCTTTGTAAACTGTAAAGTGCAGCACCCCAGTTAAAATTTATTCTCAGGCTCAGTAAGCCATGGGGTGGCTGCATAGCCACCGGGGCCTGCAGAGGGTGGGAGAGACTGGCTCCCAAGCCCAGCCCAGAGGTTCTGGAAAGGTAAGCCTGGTCACATTGCTCAGAGGTGAGGAGGAGGGACCCTCCAGCCCAACCTGGCCTCCTGCAAGGTTTGTCATTTGCGGGGATGACGGAAAACTACCAGCCTGTCTGCACAGCTCCAGCCAGAGCTCTTATCTCCCATCGGCTCGCCAGAGGCCTCGGCCCAGCCCCCAGCCGGCAGGAGGATGGGGCACCTCTGCTCCTGGAGAAGGAGAGGCCCTGTGGCTCCACCTGCCCTAAGGGCTGGCCCTGGACTCCTGCCAGGTCCCCACCCAGCCTGTGACATGCAATGCCAGGAGTCTAGAATGGCCTATCCCTGAGGGGGGTTCAGATCCTGGCTCTGTCCTGTCCCCCCTGTGTGACCTCAGCACATTCCTGCACCTCTCTTAACAAACCCTGCCAACAGCTGAGTTGCTTAGCACCTGCTATGTCGTGCAGCTTGGAGACCCTGCGCACCCTTTACCAGGACCCTGTCTCCCAAAGCTCGGTGAGGCGCCTGGTCATCCCCCAGGATGTGGGAGGCCGAGGCTGGGAGCAGAGGGCGGCCCGCACCTGCCACAGGGCTGATCTAGGCTGGGGCTGGGATTGGAATTCCATCCCCAGGTGCCCCCGACATGAGGTGAGCCGGGGACCAGCGTTCATGACGCAGTGGGAGCCCCTCCCAACAGGGCTGTGACTTCGCCGGGGATGGACCTTGCAGGGAGGCAGGCAGCTGCCCCACAAATCTGCCTCCCAGAGCCCTGAGCCGCCCACGGCTCTGGGTTGGGGTCTCAGCTGACATACAGTTACTGGAGTTTCTGTGGCTTCTCTGGACGTGGCCTGAGCCGGGCCAAGGGAGAGAACAGAAATGGAGGGACACATGTCTATGCCCTCAGCAGGCAGCACCACAGGACCCACACGAAACTCCTCCCCCTCATGAAACTCCTCCCCCATATGAAACTCCTCCCCCCACGAAACACCTCCGCCCGCAAGAAACTCCTCCCCTCACATGAAACTCCTCCCCTCACACGAAACTCCCTCCTCACATGAAACTCCTCCCCACACACGAAACTCCTCCTCCCACATGAAACTCTTCCGCCACATGAAACTCCTCCCCTCACATGAAACTCCTCCCCACCACACGAAACTCCTCCTCCCACACAAAACTCCTCCCCACGTCTTCCTCCCACACGAAACTCCTCCCCACACCAAACTCCTCCTCCCGCACGAAACTCCTCCCCTCACACCAAACTCCTCCCCTCACACGAAACTCCTCCCCTCATATGAAACTCCTCCCCCCACATGAAACCCCTCCCCTCACATGACACTCCTCCGCCCACCAAACTCCTCCCCCCCATGAAACTCCTCCCCTCGGGCCCCACGTGAGCCTGTAGCCAGCCCTCTGGGGGAACTGAGGCTTCAGTGGAAGGAAGGCCCTGAAAGCTTCTTCCAGGCTGGGGAAGGAGCACTAAGGGGAGGAAGATCACACTCCTCCAGCCACCGTGTTGAGACGCTGGGGCTGGGAGTCCCCTCTGCGTCCAGGTGTGTGGATGTCAGTGGTCAGTCTCCTTTCATTGGTGCCCACCTGCTTTCCTGCTTCTCATGAATGCCCACAAAGTGTTGGGATGACCACCAGCGGCTGCAGTATGATACCCCAGCTTGGCAGCCCCACGAAGAGGGGGTCCCAGGGCAGGTCCCACACGCTCCCAAAATTGCAGTGAAGCCACTCGGCCCCAGGGGCCTCCGGTGGGGACAGAGATGATTCTGCACAGGGACGTCAGACACTGCCGCCAGGCGGTCGTTCAGGTGGGAGGCGGCCCTGCAGGGGAGGTAAGACTGCTTTGCCCACCTCCTCCCTGAAGCCCCACTGGCCCCTGAGCAGCTGCAGGCTGGTGTCTCTTGGGCCTGCACTGATAGTTGCCTCCAGGTGTCCTGCCCTGCACGGCACTCCCTTGCCACACCCTGGGCTTCACAGCCTCGAGGGCAGGGGTCTGTGCCCCTGGAGCATGGAGCTCTCGGCTGCTGAGCCCCAGCCTGCCTCTGCGCCACCTTCAAACCTGGCTTGTATGGAGAAAGTTCTCCCTCTGGCCTCTGGCCTGGCTCCCTGGTGGCAGTGGTGTCCTCGGCTCAGGACTGCCCTGAGGGCCCTCTTCCAGCCCCGCCCCTGCTTGAGCGAGTGAGTGAGCAAGCCTTCCCCAGGTGGGCCCCTCCCTAGCTCCCAACCCTGACTTTTCCCCTGAGCCCAGGCTCTGCTGTGCTCTGTGCTAGGGCTGGATCTGCTGAAGCCGGGGCCAGAGGCCTGTGCTGCCCCCAACCTGGGAACCTCCAGACCACACTGATGCGACCGCTGCCTCCCAGTTCCCAGGAACAGATACTGAGCTCTGAGCAATGGGCACAATTTCAGACCCAGCGTCCTGGCGGTGCCATAAAACTGCAGCAGCGAAGCTCACTGGAGTCATTTTCTCCTGTGCTGCTGACACGGAGAGGAAAAATCCCCAAATAAAGCTCTTCCCACAGCCACAGCCACGAAAACATTGTCCCCTGCAACTGTGCTCGCTACTCAAACATGATTTCTCCTCCTCAGGGGGAAAAACCTCCCAGCAATTCTCATTGCAAGATGGTAAACCTGTCGCCCTAATGAACAGCTTTCATTTAGAACCCAGCGAGAAGGGGCGCACCGGGAGACGGCAGCTTTGTTGACTGCGATGTTTCCAAATCACTTGCTCAACCTGCAGCGTTCCCATGGAGCTTGGAGCGCCCAGCATAGGGCTTTATTGTTGTTTTGAGGCAAGAAAGAAGTTTTCAGAAGCCATACTTTGTGCTGATTCATGTTTCACCCTTGTGCCTACAAAGTCTCCCTCAAATGGGTATCCTGGTCCTCTTGCATGCCTCTGATGATGGGATGCTCACTACTTCCCAGTGCAGCCCCCCTTCATTGCAGGGGCTCATCACCAAGACTGCAGGGGAGGAGACTCAGAGCTCCCGTCTGTCCTGCTGTCTCCACCTATGAGTGTTTACTGAGCACCTGCTACATGCCAGGCCCTGTGCCAGGGCTGGGAGGGAGGAAGGGGCTTGCGGAGGGGCTGCCCTTTCAGGGGATGGAGCTCAGGGCTGGCTTGGCTGTGACAAGACCATGATGCAGGTTTGACACTCCTAAAGGAGAAAGGAATTGGGTGGGAGGAGCCTCAGTCACAGGTGGCAGCTGAGACAAAGGCCACCCATGCAGGGAGCTGGGACCAAGCTGGGACCCCCTGGGAAAAGCAGCCCTGGGGTGAGCCCCTCAGCCTCCAGCTTCCTCCGCACAGGTCCCCACGGCAGCCACAGTGAGGGTCCTCTGTCCTCCGTGGGGAGGGCCACGTACCCGGCATGATGGCAGCAGCTGGTGGTGCATGTCTAATATATGGCAGCTCAAGGGGATCAGCCTCTCAGCGGCCCCAGAGCAGCGCTCGGCGAGGGTGGGGACTGAAGCACCCCCATTTTATAGGAGAGGAGCAAGGCTTGGGGGTCGAGGGGACCTGTCCAGGTAGGATGTGAACACTGCTGCTTCACTAGCCTGTAAGACGCCCACGCACAGTCTGCAGCGCCTCCCAGCCCTGGGCGGTGAGAATCGGAACAACCCGAGCAAGCACAGCCCCGGGGCGGGGGTGAAGAGGGACCCCACCCAGCTGGCCCAAGGCAATGCCTCCTTACACCCGCCTAGAATAGGATCCTAAGCCTAGAATACACTGCGGGTGCAGCCTGCCCGCTGCATGAAGGATGGGCCCTGGCTTCCTAAGGCACGGACCTGGAGCACTTGATCCCGTGATGGATCAGGGGCTCCCGGACAGCTGCCCTGGGCTGACGGTTCCCGGGGTGGACAGCATCAGCCGGGGCTGGGCACACAAGGGGGAATTCAGTCCAGGAGGTTGGAGCGATGCGTGAGTGAAGAATGAATGAGTGAGGGAATGAATGATAGTTCAGGCGGTGGCCAGCAGTGCACCAGCTTCCCTCAGAGCTCCCTGCGCCCGGCCTGCCCATGCCCTCGCCTTCCTTTTCTCGTCTCTGCCTCTCCCACCCTTGTCACAGGCTGTCCCCTTCTCAGAGGCACTCGGAGTGCCCCTGAGTCTCCTCTCATTCCAGGAGGCTGAGCTGGACTCCCCGGAGCCTTGGGGTGGGGAGGGGCTTGGTGGGGGAGCTGGGGGCGGGGCCAGCCTTCCTTCTGGCTTGGATGCGCCCTTCCCAGTGACTCCATCACCTCATCAGCAAAGCCAGGGAGGCAGTGACACAGGTGCTGCTCCATGCGTGTGGGGGCTTGTCTCATCAGCTGGCACAGGCATGTGAGGACACGCAATAGGACAGGCCGGTCGGGTGAGGTGGGGTGAGTCTGGGACAGGCGATGGGGGCCCCTCGGGGCCTGAATGTTGGCCGACGGGCCCCTGGGACAGGTGCAGGGGGCAGTGCATCCTCTCCCCGCTCCCCAGTGCAGCCACAGAAACAGCAATAAAAGCCTTTTTGTTGCCTTTCCAGCCCAGACAAAATCAATAAATTCTGGAAACATGAGAACAGCTGACCTTTGAGATTTCTAGCAAACCTTCAAAGAGGAAATGTGGTTCGGGCTCCGGCTCAGAGCTCAGCACCAAGTCCAAGGCGCTGGGAACCTCCGCATAGGCCCAACTTGGGTCCTGCACTGTCACAGGGGTGAGACCCCAATCCTGCACGTGCTTCTCAGGCAGGCCTCACTCATGTGGATTCCAGAAAGTTCCGTGGATGGAACCTGCTCTTTCTGTGGTGAACGCCAGTATTGCTTTAGCTGTGTCTCAGCTGTTCCTTCTCCTCTAGAGAGTTCTCCAGCAGCTGCGAATTTGGAGCATGATCGGCTGGGGCGAGGACAGCACCACTTTGCAGATGGGGAAACTGAGGCCCTGAGTAGGCGGGATTTGGGGTTGATGCCAAGCTGCTTGGGCCTGATTCTCGGTTCACTGGGATTCACCCACCTGGGCCTTGGTGCAATTTCCAGAGGTTTGGTGGGGGAGCCGGGGGCGGGGCCAGCCCTGCTTCTGTCTTGGATATGAGCACCCCGGCAACTCTGTGGTCTCATCAGCAAAGCCAGGGAGGCAGCGACACTTGCGGGTCCCACTCGATGAGTGTGGGGTCCTGTCTCATCAGCCTGAGCAGGCATGTGAGGACCACTCCCCCAGCAGTAACCCAGGTCGCTGCAAGTGGCTATGGCATTCACTTTTGCCCAGGTGCCCAATTCAGTTATTTATTTATTTAGAGACAGGGTCTGTTTTTTTTGCCCAGGCTGGGGTGCAGTGGTACTATCAGGATTCACTGCAGCCTCAACCTTCCAGGCTCAAGCGACCCTCCTCCTACCTCAGCCTCCTGAGTAGCTGGGACCGTAGGCATGTGCAACCATGCGGGCTAATTTTTATATTTTTTTGGTAGAGATAGGGTTGCACCATGTTGCCCAGGCTGGTCTCCAGCCTCTGGGCTCCTGGAATCCTCCTGCTTCGGCCTCCCAAAGTACTGGGATGACAGTGCTGGGATTACAGGCATGAGCCATGCACCTGGCCATAATGTGGTTATGGATTGAGCTCCCACAAAGCGATGGTCATGCTCAGGGCTGAGGAGGGGCAGCCAGGGCCAGCCATGATCCCTGTGCTCTATGAATAGGACTCTATGGAGGGTGGGATGGAAGGGAAAGGGAAAAGACAGAGATGGAGACTGCCCCCCAACCCCAGGCTAATGACCGGACTCCTGCAGGAGGGGGTGGACTTGGGAGAAAGGCGAGGAGGCTTCTTGAGCTTTGAGTGTGAAGCTCGGAGAGAAGTCCAGCCCAGAGAGAATTTTGGGAGCCCTGAGCACAGATGGGGCCTCCTGCAGGTTGGTGTCATCTGCAGTGCCGAGAAATGCAATGCTGCTGTTCAGGCAGCCGCTCCCTTCCCCGGGAGAAGCAGAGGCCACGCAGACCCAGGCTGGCAGCCCAGGGCCACAAAGAGGGCTGGCGACGTGCTGGGCACAGAGCTGAGTGGCCACCTGCTGGTGCTGCCTGGACAGCCTTCTGCATTTTCACTGTGCCAGGCCTGGCTGCAGCCAAGGCTGCCAGCCAATCAGTGCTGGGGGCAAAGGTTCAGCTCTTCCATCTCACAACCACTCCCTGGCCTGTTTCCATCGCTGCAGTGCTGTGTGCCAGGTCCCTCCTGGAAAGTGGGTTTCTGAACATCCAAGCAGAGAGAGAAAGAGGAGGGTAGGCGGGGCTCCACAAGTAGGGCCCAAGCCTTTTTTGCACCATCCCTGCAGAGTGGGAGAGAGCTGCCTGCCCTCAGGAGAGAGCCCCAGGGAGGGAAGGAGCCTCCTGCAGCCTTGACCAAGCAAGCTGAGATGCCTGGAGGCCCAGCTGGCCTCCTCCCACCTGGAGCACATACGCACTGGAAGCAGCCTCCCCACAAACTCGCGGGAAATTGGGGGCTGGACCCAGAGGCAGGGGACCAGGCCAGCTTCACCCCAGGCCACTTTCTGCCTGGCTACACGCAAACCGATTGATGCTCAAGAGCAGCAAAAACCTCGTGTCTTTACCAACCAGCTTTTGCATGTTTTAATTAATGATGAACTTTATGTCTTAAGAAGGTTTAGGTTTACAGAAAAAGGAAAAAAAATGAGAAAATCATAGAGAGGGTTCCTATGTGCCCCCGTTTCCCTCATGTCGAGCATCTGGTACTGAGGAGGTACCAGCTGATGAGCCGATACTGATGTGGCGTCATTAACCGAAGCCCACAGTTCACATTAGGGTTGATTTTGGTGTTGGATATTCTCTGGGTCTGGACACATATATAGTAGCATGCATCCACTATTATAATACCGTGCAGAGCAGTGACACTGCCCTAAACATCACTGTCCCCCGTGGGGCTCTGCTGACTCACCCCTCCCTCCCCCTCCCCTCTGGCAACCGCTGATCTTTTTACCATAGTGCTACCGAAGTCTCCACAGTGCTGCCTTTTCCAGAATGTCCCCTAGTTGGAATCCTGCAGTGTGGCCTCTTCAGACTTGCTCTTTTCACTTAGCAACATACGTTTAGGGCTCCTCGTGTGTCTTCATGGCTTGAAAGCGCATGAATAATGTTCGATTATCGGGATGTAGCACAGTTTGTTTATCCACTCACATGCTGAAGGACATCGTGGTTGCTTCCAAGTTTTGACAATCACTAATAAAGCTGCTATAAAGCTGAGTGCAGCTTTCTGTGCAGACACAAGCTTTTAACTCTTCTTCAGTTTTGCCTCATCAAGACTTCCCTTGTGGTCCTGGAGACTTGAAGATGAAAGAGGCCTCGGGGGCAGTCCCTGAAGGCCGCGCCCTGGGGCAGGGCGGACACAGCCCTGGACAATGGGCCTGCTGTCTGGGGAGGGTGGCGAGGAGGCCGTGCCTCGGCCCAGGAAGGGCTTCCTGGAGGCAGTGTCAGGAGCTCGGGGAATGAGCCAGGGTCGAGCAGGTGGAAAGGGAGAGAAGAGCCCGGGAGAGGCCTCAGGTGAGCATGCATGTGGTGGGTGGTACGGAGCGGGGCAAGGGTGGGTGTGGGACGTCCACACCCTGCGGGCGCCAAGAACCACGTTAGGAAGGCCGGGCTTTCTCCAGGCAGATCAGACGTGGTTCAGCTTCCTGAGGGGGTGGATGGAGAGCTGGGCTGGGGTAAGGTGGGTGGCCACAGGGAATGGGGATGGAGGCGGCTGGGGTTGTATCTGTTGAGTGAAAGCCACGGGCTGTGCTTCTGAGATGCTCCCTGTGTTTCTGAGATGACATAAAGCACTGGCCCCTGGGGCTCCATCTGGCCCCAGCCCTCCAGCTCCTGCCCCTCCTGCCCCTCCAGCTCCTGCCCCTCTGCTGTTTCTGGACACAGCAGAGCAGGAAGTCAGGCCATGTCACGGTGGCGTGGACACCACACACACTGCTCATCTGGAGCCTGGCACCAGGACTCAGGCTGGAGGGCTTGGGAGCAGGCAGCTTACTGGGAGGTGGCCCCAGGGGGCACAGGCAGGGAGGGAGGACAGTGAGCTGGGAAGAGAAGGCGAGGCATTTGGGCTTGGGTCCCGGCAGGGGAGGGGTGGTCCAAGGCCACACCAAGCACAGGTCAGGTTCATTCCTCGGTGTGTCACGGGACAGCGTGCCGTGGGATGTGGTGGTAAGAGGGTGTCAGAACTTGTAGGGTTTGGGCTTCGGTTGGGCAATGTGAGGAGGGCTGAGGCAGCAGTGGGGTTGTCTCCAGACCAGATGCGGTCGGAAGCGGCAGTTCCGTGATGGGCATCTACTCAGTCGCGTCTGCAGGGAAGGAGGCCTGCAGCGGGGTAAAGTGGCAATTGGGCAAGTCCTGGGCCCTCCTTTAGCGCAGGAGAGGTGGCATTTTGAGGGTGGCACTGAAGCCTTGGCCTTGCTTAAAGTGGGTGTCCTTCAAGCTCGTTCCCGTCCTGCGAGAGGATGCAACTTTGCTGTCAGGTCGGTCTCTGGGTGGCAGAGGCTGCCTCTGAACCTTCCCACCTAGGTCGGGGAGCTGGTGTTTCTCTGCTGATTTTTCATTGGCCCAGGCCTTCCAGGCTGTGCACAGTGTGCTGGACATGCTCTGAGGCGCTGCAAAAGGAAAGAGCCTTGAGGAGGTGCTGGGGGCCACCTGGGAGATGAACCCCACGGAGAGCCAAGGGCATGGGGGGCAGGGGAAAGGGGGTGAAAGTGGCCACCTGGCCCAGCAGCTCCTCTAAGGGGCCATCCTAGCTTCCTCCTTCCTGTCCTGTCACCGTTTTCCTCCATCCCCGTAGAGGGGTGAATAATGTCCCCTCCCAATTCACGTCCATCTGGAGCCTCAAACTGTGGTCTTCTGTGGAGGTCTGGTCTCTGCAGATGTAATCAGGTAAGATGAGTTTATACTGGATGAGGGTGCACCCTAAACCCAACAACTGGTGTCTTTATAAGAAGAAAAGACAGAGACTCAGAGACATGGGGAGGAGGCCACGCGGAGATGGAGGCAGAGGCTGGAGCAATGCACCCAAAAGCCAAGAAACGCCTGGACCCACTAGGAGCTGGAGAGGCAGGAGGTAGCCTCCCTGGAGTCTCTAACACCTTGGGAGTGAGGCTCTGACCACACCTGGATCTCAGACTTCTGGCCTCCAGAACACATGAAAAGACATCTCTGCTGTTTGAAGGCCCCAGTTTGTGATCATCTGTGAAGGCAGCCCCAGGAAATTAATGCAGGCCTCCAGGGTCCCAGCCCCCCAAGTCTACCTTCCTGGGTCCCCTCAACCCTGCTTCACGTGTTCTTCTAACTTGAGCCCACAACTGCTCCACCTCAGACCCCGGTGAGCCCACCAGTCCTGCTCAGAACTGTCCCAGCCCTTTCCGCCTCCATTCCCCCCTTCCCCAACCCCAGCCAGGCCTGCCCACCCTCACACCGTACCCCCTGGGGACTGGCCGGGCTCGCCTGGTTCTCCATCGCTGCTTCCAGGCCCTGCACCCCACTCCTCAGGGCCCAGACCTACTCCCCAATCCCCATGGCTGCCACCCCCATCATGCCCTCATCCCTGGAGGCCGGCACCTGGCTTGCTGCCTTCTACAGCCATAGCCGTCCACACTGCAACCTGTGCAGAATGGGATGGCCATCCTTATCTCTCCATCTCAAAGTCTTCTCCAGATGGCTCAGAGTCAAAGAGGAAGTGAATCTCAAATTAAAGGCATTTAAAGTAATGATAATAACCCTCCCATCAAGATGAACTTCGAGGTTGGGGATCTTTTGTCCACAGCTGTGTCCTCGCGCCTGGCGCAGTGCCTGTGATGGACGCGTCCAGGAGTGGATCAATTTTCCCTTTTCCAGCCAGGGGACCTGGGCTTGGAGATGGGGTAACTCGCCCATAACAGCTGGACCTGGCTGGCTCCTGACTTCAGTCCGAGCTTTCCTAAGTTAGGCAGCACCGTTCCGGCCAGACCAGGCCAGCTTTACTTCCTGCAGCTGCTCTGAGATGGCCCCAGGGCCCATAGAGGGAGATGGCGGCTTGGGCGTAGACCTGGCATGAGGCTGGCACCTGGTGCTGCCCCTAGTGTCCCTGCTCAGCAATCACGCTGCCCTCTCAGGGTGGTGAAGCCCCCAGAACCCTCATCCTCTGAGCTGCTCCAGCCCACCTGACCTGGGAAAGCCTGTTGCTGTGATCTCTGACTGCCTTGCCAGCTTCTGTGGAGGAGGCTGTGTCTCTAATGGAGCACCCCAAGACTCCAGGCCCAGGAAGTGCAGGTGTGGGGTCCCTCCTCCCACCTCATCATGATGCTATAATGGCTTCCTTCCCTACATCCTCAGCCGCCCACCTGGAGCTCTGTGCTCCTCTCTCCCTTGTTCCCTCCCCGTCCCTTTCTCTCCATGCACGCAGCCCTGCCCTGCCCTGCTAGCTGGCTTCACTTTATACCTAGGACCACACACACACACATGCATACATGCACATGCACACCCAGGCACACACACATACGTGCACGCACACACGCATAGATGCACACACACATGTATGCACACAGTTCTGTGTGGCAAACCTTCCTCCCCTCTCCCAGGAAAAAGAACACTTCTCTCCTCTCCTGTCTGCACATGCAGGTCTTGACCTTCCTGCTCATGTTTCCTGAGGACAGAGGCCATTGGATGGAACAGCCTGGGCCTGTCTCCCACCCACCCTCAAAGGGCATGCCCTGCCTATCCCTCGCCCTAGCTCCTGCACCCTCCCTTCCCATAACTGCCATTCCTATTTGTCCACCTTCATCTCCCCATCAACCCTTCCTAGGCCCTAAAGATGCCAACTGCAGCCCCACACGAAGCTCTTACTGCACCCCCCAGGTGAGGAAACTGAGGCACAGAGGTCTGGAGCCCAGGCTCCCTCTTAGGGATTTCACCCAGGAGGCTGTACCCAGGGAGTGCGGGACCCCTGGACAAGCCATCCCCCTGTGGCCCCCTAGGCTCTGCCATTCTTTTCTTCACAGCAGGTCTTCTTGAAAGAGAAGGGGTTTGTCTGAGCCCCGTCTGCCCTCACCTTCCCTGGTACCCTCTGGCCAGACGTTTATCAAGGCCCACAGCAACCCTGGGCCACCAAGCCTGGCCACCACGCCTGGCACCTCTGTGTGCTGGCGTCTCGAATGCCCTCACCTGGATGCTCGCCCTGTCCTCCTGCACAGGTTCCTTCTGGGTGTCTGGGGCCCTGCGGCCCCTCCCTTACCCCACCTGAGTTGCTGATTCCTCTGGGGGTTGGGGCCCCAGAGCTCAGTGCTGCTCCTCCTGAGACCCCCTGCACACCACACAAGGGCCCCATATTTGCGTGCCTGGCCCTGGCTGTTGGGAACGACCTCCATCCCTGCACCTCCACTCACCACCCTGACACCTCTCCCTGGCTGTCCAACAAGCCCCTCCGACAGCTGAGTCCAAAGCCTGCTCCCCCAAAACATCCTGCTGCCCTCGCCTTCCCTCTCAGCCCCTGGTGTCTCCCGCCACCAACACTGACATGTTGGCGTCTCGGAGTCTCCTCCCTTCCTCTCATGCTCCTCACCATCTAGTCCCCAGCTCCAACATACTCTGAAGGCTTGAAGGGACAGCCAGAGGGTTTGGGAGGGAAGCGCCCATGATGTCTCACGGCTGGAGCACCTGGCAGGTGGGGGTGCCCTTTAGGGAGATGGGGGGCTGCAGGAGGGAGACATGAGGATGAGGAGAGGTCTGGAGCTGGTTCTGCCATGCTGAGCGGGAGGTGCCTGAGCTGCCTGCAAACCAGCAGGTGAGCTTCACAGAAGGCTGAGTGGAGCTGTCCGCGCAAGGGTGGTGCTGAAGGCGCAGGCATGCCTGGCCTCCCTGGCAGCAGGTCATCAGCGCAGGCAAGGGCGCTCCAGGCAGCCACTGGCGTCTCTGGACTCAGTTGGAGCAGAGACATGGAACATATGATGGTAGCGCCCCTCACATCCCGAGTTCCTAAGTCAGGGGGCCCACCAGCCCAAAAGGGAGCCACTGTTCTCCCCAGTTGACCAGTGTGCACACAGCAGTGGGGGAAGCACTGCTCACCATAGGGTGACCAAGGGGCCATCCCAGACCCCAACCCTACATTCAGGAGACTTCCCACCACCCTTTACCTCAGCTTCCCGTTCATGGAAGAAGGCTCACACCCTGTCAATGCCTGCTGGAAACATGTGTGTGAGTCGGCAGAATGGCTGGTGGGTACCATCTGCTCCCACCCTTCCACTGGCCCTTTCAGTACGTGCATTTCTGAAAATGCCTGTGTCCTGCATGCCTCTGTTCCTTCCAACATAAATCCTGGCTTAGCCTAAGTCAGCCATGGGCAGGGACAGCCCTTCAATTTCAGTAGGAAATGAGATTGTCGTGAGCTGATATGGGTTTGCAGTCGTGGGCACCAGATCAGAGGACGAGGAATGCGCATGTAGGTGTGTGTTGGGGTGGGTGTTGTGCCCACTCCTGTGGTATGCACACATGTGTGTGCTGTGGAGCAGGTGTGTGGGCACAGGTATACATCTAGACATATAAATAAAGCATTTCTTCAGGTCACATGTCCAAAGGCAAGATGCAGACAGCATTTTCAGTTTTTATTTTTCTCAAAAAGACCCACATAAAGAAAGACTTCTCTTGATGAACTGTAGAGGGCTTGCCCTGGGAAGGCAAGCCTGAAGGGGGCGCTGCAGGGTCTAATTCATGTTCCCAGCACAACAGAGCTGATCTCTCCACCACCTGATGAGAGTTGCTGCTGGGTTTTCCTGAGTGTCAGATCGGGGGTGTCCAAAGGCATCCGTGGGGCTCCTCACTCTTCTCTCTTCAACTCTCCTCTCCTCTGTCTCCTTCCCTCTCTCTCTTTGCTCTTTTCCTCCCCTCTGCCTCTCCCTCAGTTCTTGCATTCTGATTATTTTTTTTTTTTGCGGGAGTTGGTATAGATAAGCAGTATCAGATCAGCCTCTTTCCCAAGGACAGCTGGGCTTGGTGAGGTCTGGGGCCAGAGTCAGCTTCGGGAGGTAAAAACAGCCAGGGAAAACCTTCACGTTTGTCTCTAACTTTCCATAGCTGGAATATCAGGTTAAAATTAATTTCACAGTCAGCTGTGATGGGAGCGGGTTTCAGTCTGGCAGTGTTCAATAGGTTTCCAGTTGCACACTGGGGTCCATGGGAATAATGCCACAATCGACTAGTGATGCCTGCCAAGGGCAGGGAGAGGAGGAGGTGACATGATTGCTATGTGCTGGGTAAGGCCAATTTGGACATTGTGGGTGTGGCTAAGAGAGAGGCGAGGGCCACCCTGGTTACATGTGACATCCCAAAGCCTTCACTATTCCTAGAGCCATCTTGCAGCCCGTCCTTCAGACATGTGCTGCTTCCCTCAGCCCTTCCCTTGACATGTGCTGCTTCCTCCACCCTCTGCCTGGTGACCTCACTCATCCTTCAGTGTCCAGCACAAGGGGCCCCTCCCATGTGCCACCCTGTACCATGCAGACACCAGCCACCTGGACCCTCTGCACTGTCTGCTGCTGGCCAGGGGCCCTATGGCTAACTCTTAGTGCTTGGTGCCCTCGACTCTGGCATCAGGCAGTGGCTCTGAGCCTGTGGGATGAATGGAACTGAGTGATGTTCTCTCAGACTCTCCTGCCTCACAGTCAGGGCCTAGCAAATGGGAAAGGGGCCTCTGCCCCATTTCCAGCAAGCAACAGAGGTGTTGGGCTTCACAGAGACAAAAGGAAAGCTTGGCTCCTGCCCCAGGTCCACCTTTTCAGGGGCATCAGGAAATGGCAAAGTTGGATATCATGGACTGGCACCATTAGAATGCCCAGGAAAGTGGCATCAAGTTACCACAGATTGCTAGGGTATTTTTAATCAGTTTTGAAAACAACATCAAGGTACATTTCAGAGGAAAGCATGTTATCAGAGATGAAAAGATGAATCATGATAATGAATCATTTCATAATGACTAAGAGATCAATTCAATAAGAAAACAGAACAATCTTAAATGTATATGCACATAACAACAGAGCTTAAAGTAAATAAAGTGAAAATAAATAAAACGGATATAACTAAATGGAGAAATAGAAACTCCACAATGATGGTCTGGGATTTCACTACACCTTTCTCAGTAATTAATAGAACAAGTAAGCCCAAAACCAATAAAGAAATAGAAGACTTGAATAACACTATCACCAACGTGACCTGATTGACATTTATACACATGCTACCACCACCAGAAGAACGTACATTCCTTTCAAGTGTATACTGAACAATGACATTAGACCATATTCTGTGTTATAAAAACAAGTATTACTAACTTCGAAATGATACAAATCACACAAAATATGTTCTCTGACCACAATGTAATTAAGTCAGAAATCAATAACAGAATTATATCTCAAAAGAAAATCTCAAAATTTTTGGAAACAATTGATACACTTCTAAAGAACCCATGGGCTAAAGAAAATATCAAAATGGAAAATTGAAGATATTTTTAACTGGATGAAAATAAAAACACAACATATTAAAAATGGTGGAATGTTGCTTAAACAGTGCTTAGAGGGAAATGCATAACACTACATGCTTAGACTAGAAAAGAAGAAGGTCTCCAATCAATGATCTTAGACTTCACCTCAGGAAACTAGCAAAAGAAGGGCAAATTAAACCCAAAGTAGACAGGAGAAAATAAATAAAGAGCAGATCAGAAGTCAGTGAAATAGAAAACAGAAGAACAATAAAGAAAATCAATAAAACCAAAACCAATTACTTGAGAAAATGAATAAAACTGATAAATCTCTAGCAGACTGATAGAACAAAGAAGAAGAAATAAATCACCAGTTTCAGGAATGAAATAGGTGACATCACTATAGATCCTACAGATATTGAAAGGATAATAGGGAATGTTATGAGCAACTTTACAATACTTTTGACTCCTAGAAGATATGAACAAATTCTTTGAAAAATACAAACTATCAAAGCTTACTAAAGAAGAAATTGGTAACTGGAATAGCACTGTAAGTGTTAAAGAAATTGGATTTGTGGTAAAACACCTTCCCACAAAGAAAACTACAGGCCCAGATGGCTTCCCCAATGTTTGGATTGTACCAAAGATTTCAATAAAAATAATACCAGCTGTACACAAACACTGCTAGGAAATAAGAGAGGAGAGAATAAATATTAACTTGTCCTATGAGACTAATATTACCCTGATACCAAAAGCAGACAAAGACATTACAAGAAAAGATAATTAGGGACCAATATCTCTCATTAACACAGATGTAAACATTTTCTAACAAAATGTTATCAAGCTGAATCCAGTAATATGTAAAGAGGATGATACATCATGGCCAAGTGGGTTTTATCGCAAGAATGCAAGGTTGGTTTAACATTCAAATATCAGTCAATGTAACTCAACATGTTAGCAGGCTACAAAAGAAAAACCACATGACCATCTCAATAGATTCAGAGATGCATTGGACAAAATCCAACATCCATTTCTGACTGAAAAAAAAAAAAAAAACCCTTAGCAAAGTAGGAATTAGGGGATTTCCTTAACCCAATGAAGGGGATTTATGAAAAGCCTACAGCTGACATACTTAATGGTGAAAGACTGAATGCTTTTCTCCTTAGATCAGGAGCAAGTCAGGGATAGACTCCCTCACCCAGGTCAAATTTTAACAACATCGTGTTGCTGTTACTGCCACTGCCTTTATGTGATTTAAAGCTAAGTGGCTTCCTGTCCTGGGGAGCCCCTTCTCCTTCTGCCCACCTTTTGCAGCTGGCTCTGACTTTCAGCTCCAGCTCCAGCCTGGCAAACCTCCCTGGCCTCCCCAGACCCTTGGTTTGCCAAGTCCTTATAAGCCCCATAGTCCTGGCTCTTCTATTAAGTTGATGAATACTTTCTAGATAGTTTAGAGTTACTTCAGTTAGGTTGTATGTTCCTTAAAGGTAGCTATGCATAGAGGTGCCCAGTAATTACTTATTTTGCAATATATGTGGGCCCACTGAACCCACCGACAAGCCACCCCTGGTCTTGCAAAGCTGTGATCATGCTCCTAGACTCTCATAGTCACGTGGAGTCTTCACTGCAGTAGAAAGGACCACAGGGCAGGGAGTCAGAGGGACTTGATAGAGCCCTATCCTCAAGGAATCACAGCCAATGGCTAAGGAAGGAGTGGGGGCAGGGACTAAATTAGACCACCAATGGCTAGAGCACAAAGGAAACTCCAGGAGACTGACACAGAAGTTCAGGGTAGGAAGTGGGTTCCTCCAATGGGAGAACTGAGTAGTGCTTTGTAGAAGGGACTGTGTTCACATTGACCTGGGCAGGTGCTTGTGATTTCAGCTGGTGGGAGGGATGGGTGTGGACATTCTAAGAGGGGGCAATGGTGTGGACCATGTGACAGAGTCCTGCACAGGGAATTGGGGGGTCACAGAGTCACTCACTGGGATTCTCCCGCCATGAGGACCAGAGTCCTTCACCTAAGAGCCAGTGCTGTGGAGCATGGTGGATGTGAGCAGGGGCTGCAGTCAGACATCCAGGGCTCAAATGCCCACATGACCATTTGCATATGTTCACTGCCCAACTATACCTCCACACCATTGAACTCAGGAGTAGAGATGTGACTGACTTTCGACAATGAAAGGCCACTGGAAGTGATGTGTCTCTCTTGGGAAGCATGAGGTTCTCTGCGAGGCTCCTCCCCTGGGCAGTACCCCACCTGGTGGCTGCCCCATTCACCTGGACACTGGAGTGAAGATGATAGATAGGCAGCTTGAGTGCGAGGTAGGCATGGATTGCTATCAGCCACTGAGTGTGGGGATGTTTGTTACTGCAGCATCACCTAGCCCAAGCTGACTGATACAATTGGCTTCCTATGTTACTTGAGCAATCTGTGGTTTAGCTTCCTCAACAGGAAAGAGGGGATAATGACAGCACCTACCTTTTGGGGTGGGTGTGAAGATTAACAGGCTTCTTATAGGTAAAGCACATTGAAAAGTGCCTAGCACAAAACATACACAATATGAGCATCTGCTGTTTTCTCTCACTTGTAGCCTTGATTTCCTAAGTCCAGCTGTAAAGTAATTTTCCACACTGGAGTCCCATAGAACACTCGTTCTTAAGGCGCTAATAGATGTGCCATCAAAAAGACATCTGCATTTGAGAAAATACTGGGTTAAACCAAGTTAAACAGTTGCATTTAATTGCCAGACTTCTCAGAGTCTTTAATCTGCTAATGCACCACTGAATCTCCAAGAGACAGTTTCCCCTCATATTTGGCCACGAACATGTATGTGTGTGCATGTACATGTGTGTCACAGTGATTAACTTCACCCCGGGCTCTGCCCTGTGGGATGGCTTTGGAAAAGGTGGGCTTTCCAGCAATGCCTTGTGGAGTGGTCCTCTAGTGGGCACCGGGTGCTTTCTGAGTTTGGTAGGGATATTTGGGGTGAAGCCAGCACTAAAGAAGCTTGGAGGGGCATGAAGCCATAATGGAGAGGGACTTCAAAGTCACAGGGCAAGGAGCCCGGGAGAGCCCAGAGGAGCCACTTCACCCGCGCAGGGCCGCAGAGGCTGTAGAGCAGCTTTGGGAGTGGTCCAGGAGCCTGGGGGGCGGTTGGGGGTGGGTATGCCCTGCGCAGCCAAGAACCCTGGACAGGAGTGCCTTTAACGTGCAGGGGCTGGGGGCACTGGGCCAGCTCAGGGTCCAGAGTCAGAGGGGCAGACAGCCAGGACGGATGCGGGAGAGGAAGGCCACAAAGGTGGGCTGCTCTTCTGAACAAGTCCCTGGGTAGTGAGGCAGAGAGGAGAGGCAGTGACTGGGGACAGCGGCAGGGCCCAGGAGAGGGGAGAACCGAGAACCGAGGCCTTCTGCAGGTGAAGGAGAAGGAGTGTCAGGTGGACTGGGGCCCTGCGGCACATGGAGTCCTGTCTGGGAGACGGGACGGAAGGACCGGTGTGCGGGCAGGGATGTTATGCGTGCAGAAGTTCTTGGAGGCAGCGGGCTGGTGGGGCAGAGTCAGGGTGGGGTGTCCACCTCTGGGGACTGGTCCTGACTCTGCTGCCCAGAACTTAGGCCGCTGGACTCTCAGAAGCCTGGATTTCCCTTCCTCTTGGCAAGGCCCCCGGGCCATGGTTAATTGGATCTGAGAATTTGGTGTGGCTGTTTACAGAAAGCTTTTTGTCCTTAGGACAGGATGGAAATTGGATTTCGTGTTCCTGGCTGGGAGATGCTCCCCAATTCCCGACTCTCATCCTGCTCTGTGGGGGTCTCAGACAGCTGCTTCGGCTCTCGACAGATGATAAATTATGCATCCACTTAATGCCTGCTCGGGCCAGCTCCATGCCAGTGTGCAAGTAGTCCAAATCTCTGGTCTCTAGACACATCCATTTCGCTTGCATGAGCCTCTGGGCTCCTGCCTGGCCAGAGCCTGGCGGTGACTGGAGAATTTTCCTGATCAGTTGCCTGGGCTTGGGTTGTGGTTGCTGGTTGTGCAGGTGGGTCTGTGGGCACCGCCCCCCAGCACAGCTCAGACCTTAGGGGCTGAGCTACCAGACGGGGCCTTGGGTGAGTGATGGATGGCTTTGTGAATCACTCATAAACATTTACTTTCACAGAAATGTGTAACAGTCACTGGACACCTAGCCTTGGCAAAGACGGTTTCAAATGTGCTGGTCAGAGTTTTGGAGACCATTCCAACTTCGTGTGGGACTCTTGGACTCCTTATCCTATGACCACTCTCTTCTCTCCCACTCCAAAACTGAGGAGTCTGCCTCCTTCAGGAAGCCCTCAGGGATTCCTCTCTCCTCCTCCCAACTTTCACCACTGGGGCCACTCACTGACTCAGATACAGGGTGCCCAGGGATGAGCTTTTGTTCCTAATCACAAGACTCTCCCAAAGGTTGTGGGGACCTCCTCCTGGGCACTGACTTCTTCTCCATCTCTCCAGAAACTCTTCCTGAGCCAAGAGAGGCAGAGAGGGAGGCATTCAGGGAGAGCAGGGGCTTGAACGAACAGGAAAAATCGAGAGAAGGGGAAAGAACAGGGCTCCCCAGGCTGCCTGACAGGCCGGGCCCAGGCCAAGCGATCTCCAGGGTCTTTAAGGATATCTGGCAAAGTGCATTCCATCACTCCACCCAGAAAGAGAAACGGAGGCTCGTGGGAGGGGATTTCATGGTTCAGCAGCAGCAGGATGAGGATCCATGCTCCAGGGACACCCAGAGGTGAAGGAGCCTCCAGGACACCTCTGCTCTGGCCCACACGGCCAGACATGGGTTTGAGCCTCATCCATCCATACACCGGGCCCTTTGTGCACCAGGCCTCACCTTCCAGGTGCAGACAGTGAGGCACGGAGTGAACAGTGACGCAGCTCAGGGAAAAGCATCATGGCGGGGATACTCCGGCCTCCACTCCACCACCCGCACACCTGGCCCCCAGACCCTCGCTGACGCAGGCCACTCGCGTGCCTGTGTACCGTGCAAGGGCCTCGTGGGTGACTCAGAATTATGCAGATGTGAAGCTATGTTATTAATATGATTAGCCTTACTTTGTGAGCAGAGCTTAAAATCATCGAGCTTGGCGGCAAGTTGCTTTGCCTCCCTGACCTCAGGCTCTTCCTCTAAAGATTAGGTTTTCAGGCCAGGCACGCCTGTAATCCCAGCACTTTGGGAGGCCAAAGTGGGCAGATCACCTGAGGTCAGGAGTTCAAGACCAGCCTGTCAACATGGTGAAACCCCATCTCTACCAAAAAAATACAAAAATTAGCCAGGCGTGGTGGCCAGTACTTGTAATCCCAGCTACTCGGGAGGCTGAGGCAGGAGAATTGCTTGAACCTGGGAGGCGGAGGTTGCAGTGAGCTGAGATCGCACCACTGCACTCCAGCCTGGGTGACACAGCGAAACTCCATCTCAACAACAACAGCAACAAAAGGTCGGGTTTTCAGAATGTCCCTTGCAGGGCTTGTGGTTTCCAGCAAGCCTTCGTGGATTTAGAAGGATGTGGAGCCCCATATGGAAATGGGAAAGATGGATGTAGGTGCTTCAGTTTATGCCCCAGTCCAGGTGCAGGGGGCAGGAGGAGAGGACGCCACCACCTGCTCCTGAAGATGTCACAGTCTCAGGCGAAGCAAGTCAGGGAACATTGGAGACGATGCCAGGCTCAACCCTGGGTTCCCAGTTCTGCCGTGAGGGCGAGAGGGATTCAGATGGGCTTGGGTTCACGGAACGGCCACAGCTCCGCCAGCCGCTCAGTACAGTGATTCCTCCCACATGTCACGCCAGCAAGAAGGGGATCTATTGATAGAGTGGCTTTAGGCCCCTCATTCACGCATGCAATGCCCTTCTGCAGCATGCAGAGCCCTGGCTGGGGGTTCCACAGGGAGGGGCCGATGTCCCTGCCCACAGGGAGCTCAGGTCTGGTCTACCACAGTGGAGCAGCTTAGAAAGATGTGCATATTCACATTATACACTAAAATGGAAAACATCACATTAAAATTAAACATACTAAAACTAAAAGTTCATTTTAGTCTTCTGACTTCTAAGAAATTCGAACATTTTCCTGAGCCCCTGAAACTTCTGTGGACCTCAGGTAGGCACTGTGCTGCTGGTGGGCCATGCAGGTGCATCAGGGCAGGTAGCCCCAACAGAGGGTGGGGCCGTGCCCTCCCTTCCCTGAACATGACCCTGTGGAGGGGCCGAGAGGCAGAGGCAGGGCACTGGAGTGGAGAGTGGGAGTTGATTTCCATCTGAATGGAAAGCCTGCCTTCCCCAGGCTCCATCATCTTCCCTACGCTGATTTATTCCTATCAGTAGTTGGTCGGCAACAGGCTGCCGGCCGCCCGTGAAAATTAATTGCTAGGGAAAGAGCCGGTCAAAAACAATGACCAGGCATTGGAGCTGCCTGGTGCCTGAAGCTGGTAGCTGGTGAATGAGCGATGAACGACACATGTCACCCTTTGCCTGGAGGTGACGACTCAAAACTGTGATCCAGGAATTACGCACAGGTGACTTTGCTCATCCTCACAAGGATCCTACAAGGAGCTGATGTCATCGTGTCTGGTTTCCATTGGGTCCTCCCATTGGGTCCCTGGATGGGCCCCGTGTGCCGAGTTCCAGGTCCTGAGGACAGCCCTGTGCTGCTGCTTATCCCAACAGCACCGTAGTGAGGTCGGCACCTCCTCCTTTAAGCAGATGAGGAAACCAAGGCCCAGAGAGGTTGAGCCACTTGCCAGAGGACCCATAGCTAAAGTGGCCAACCCAGCCCTAAGACAGTCTCACCCCAAACTCTGTTCTCGATCTTTGAATTCTGATGTAGCCAGACATGGGGCAGGGTGGAGGTCTGGGACAACGTTGCCTGCCAACTCCTCCCAGGATCGAGACCCTGCTCAGCACAGGTACTGTGGTAGCTGGAAGCTGGGCCCTGCCGGCCCCTGAGTTCCCGACTGGACAATGGGCGGGCCAGAGTTAGCAGATAAAAATCCGGGGTACCCAGCTATACGTCAATTTCAAATAAACAATGTCTACATTTCTGGTATAAATACATCCCATGCAATATTAAGAAATACTTATTCTAAAGATTACTCATTGCCCATCTCATACTAAAGTTTAACTGGGCATCCCTTATTTTCTCTGGCAACCGTAGCAAGGGCAGCGGAGAAGGCTTTCTGTGAAGCCCCCCCACTTTGGAGAGCTGCTTAACATTCCCCAGCAGAGCGGAAGTGCCCCACATCCCCATGCTCCTCCCAGGCCCCAAGCTGACTGGCCTGTCAATGGAGCAGATGGTGGTGAAGAGCCCTCTCTCCCAGAGCCCTGGAGTCTGAGTCTGCCGCATGGTTCTTCCCATTTCTGTGTCATCTCTTAACCCTGGGGCACCCCAAGGAGGATGGGATGTGTTGTTCCTCTTATTCTTACTCTCCTTTTTTTGTAGATAAGGACACCAAAGCTCAGAGCAGGGGGGCGCCTCACCCAGCATCACCCTGCAGGGGCGGGCCGCGGGCACGCCCCAATGCTGAGGCCTCTGTGACGTGCTCCCTGGCCCCCCGAGCCTGGAGAAGCGTGAGTCTGCTGCATACTCCCTGACCCCTGGCTTTCTGGGGTCCCAGGAGCCCCAGGTGAAGGCCCCTCCCTGCCTGCTGTGAGGCTGGGCCTCTCTCCGAGTCACACCTGCCACTCCTTTGTGCTTCAACAATAAACAAGCCTCTGACGGGGGTGGTAGAACTCCACGGGAGAAGAACATATGAAAACAGCGGTAAAGGTGGCAAAGGACCCATGGCAGGCACTTAGTCTTACCAAATAGACGCCCACAGGCAGTAATAGAATAAGGGCCCCCTCTGCATTCCTCCCAGGCCTTTTCAAAGCAGCACCTTTGTCCTGGACTCTGGGGCAGGGGAGGCATGGACCACTGATGCCTTCTCTCCTAGACAGCTGTAGCCTGAAGCCATTTGCAAGCCACATTCTGTCTCACCCCTGACTTGTGAGCACCAACTGCATGCTCAGAACTTGGCCCACCCAGGATCTTTTAATCCAAGGCTGACCCCTGGGGGAGGGGCTGGAGAGGGCGTCACAGGTCCCAGTCCTTATCCTCAAAGCTTTGACCACTTCAAGTATGTCTTCTTGGTGTTTTTCTTTAATAACTCATTTGGTGACAAAACCTGGCCTGATGATTGATCTCTATTTCTTGGATGTTGTTTGGCTGCAGAGCAGTGGATTCATTTGAATGGGACGGTCTGGCCCAGCCCCCTATGGGTGTGGTGAAATACACAGAACAGGCACCACGTGGCTTTGTCAAGGCTGAATTCTGAAGCCCACTGGCTTCCGGGGCCTCTCGTAAGGGTCCTGGACTTGTGGCTGTCCCCACCCCCGCGTTGAGGAAGCTGAGCTGAACAGCAGCCACAGAGAGTCCTGTTAGCTTGGGAGGCTGGGGACACCGGGGACTGGACATGCCTGGTCTGGCGGGACAGTGGCAGCACTGGGTGGCAAGGGCTGATTCAGGGTGGGGGGCTCGG
Organism: Homo sapiens; assembly: GCF_000001405.40. NCBI lineage: Eukaryota > Metazoa > Chordata > Mammalia > Primates > Hominidae > Homo > Homo sapiens. The sequence continues at coordinate 3,803,327 of NC_000004.12, forward strand.
GGGTCTCCTCTGAGGGTCGGCCAAGGCTGGGAGGTGGAGCAGGACCAAGGGCTCAAGTCTGGGCTGGTCAGGATTCCTTTGATGAAGGGGTTGACCATGATTAGGATGAAAACAGGAGGAGGGCAGTGGCCCCCGGACTGAGGGTCCCCCCATGTTGGGGCTTCCTGTGGCCACACGGCAGATGCTCTAGAGACTCTGAACTGTTTCACGCACGCCCCGTCCCAGAGTGCAGCCTCCAGACAGCCAGCCCCGCCTCCCCTGCTCGAGGGCGGCCTTGTGCCGGAAAGCCCACAGCCCTGTGCGCACCGAGCAGGGTGTGCCCAGGACGTGGCCCTCCTCCCCCAGCCCCCCACCCGGCAGCCCGGACGATAGGAGCCCTGCAAATGCCCCAGCTCCCTCCCTGACCCCGTCAGGGCACTTGGGGATGGGCACTGCAGTCTCTCCAAAGTTGCTCTCTGTGAGACCAGTGCGTTCACCCAGGACCCCTCCCTTCGCTCAGAGGGGCCCCGTTCTGGGGGTTTATGCTTTTAGGTCTCCGCCTTGAAATTCCTAACGATTTTATCTTTGACTTTGTGTTTGTGAGTGACGTCCCATAGAGAGTTTGGAGCTTTGGTTCATGGGCGATCCCGCCTCCCACCCCTCCCGCACTCTCAGGTGGGCTCTCAGCTGCCCACTCTCCTGCCCCACCAGTGATTGCTGTCACCCTCCACCCCTGAGAGGGGCTGTGCAGGTGTGGGGAGGGTCTCGGGCTTGGTTGTTCACACCCTTTCGGGGGCTCCTGCCCGCCATGCCCTCCTGGGTTTCCTGGGAGCTCTCCCTGAAGTCACCCTTGTCTCAGGTCCGCTTCTGTGACTCCTGGCCTGAGACAGCCCCCACCTTGTACATCCCACTGCCAGGTGTGTGTCCCTGCAGACCCCTCACCAGAGATGCCTCCTCCTCTTCCTGTTTATCCAAATGCTCCTGACCCCCCTCCATCTCCCCTCATCCCCCGCCCCTCCACCAGCTGACTCCTGCTCACTCTTCCAGTCTCCACTGCAAACATCTCCTCCTGGAACCCTCTGAAACCTCTTCTGGTCTAATGTCCACCTCACACTTTTCCTGGCTGACAGTTCTCCTGGCCTCTGTGACGTGGGCCCTTCTCCTTGTTCGTGAGGAAACGCACTCCCTTGGTGCTGTGGAATGACTTGTGTCCCCACAAAAGCCTCATGTGGAAGTCCTGGCCCTCTGGACCTCAGAATAGGACTGTAGGCAGATATGGGGCCTTTAGAGAAGTAACTAAAGTGACTGGGCATGGTGGCTCACACCTGGAGTCCCAGCACTTTTGGAGGCCAAGGGTGGGGGCCACCCGAGGCCAGGAGTTAGAGATCAGCCTGGCCAACATGGTGAAACCCTATCTCTACTAAAAATACAAAAACTAGCTGGGTGTGGTGGTGGGTGCCTGTAATCCCAGCTACTGAGGAGGCTGAGGCAGGAGAATCTCTTGAACCTGGGAGGCGGAGGTTGCAGTGAGCTGAGATGGCACCATTGCTCTCCAGTCTGAGCAACAAGAGTGAAACTCTGTCTCAAAAAAAAAAAAAAAAAAAAGAAATTAAGGTAAAGTAAGGTCATGAGGGTGGCCCTAACCCCGTGTGACTGCAGACCTCATGAGAAGAGGTGATGGAGACACAGACAGGAACACCCCATGAGGTTGCAAGGAGAGAGTGGCCATCTCCAAGCCAAGGAGAGGCCTCGGGAGACACCAAGCCTTGACTCTTGAGCCTGGAGCCTTGGTGACATCCTGCAGTGGTTTAGATAGGGTTGGCTTGACCCTGCCAAGTCTCCTGTTGAAATGTGATCCCGATGTTGGAGGTGGGGCCTGGTGGGAGGTGTTTGGGTCACGGAGGCGGATCCCTCATGAATATCTTGGTGTCTTCCTCGCAGTCAGGAGTGAGTTCTCACTGTGTTAGCTCCTGTGAGAGCTGGCTGTTGGAAAGAGCCTGGCACCTCCCCACTCGCTGGCTTCTGTTTCACCATGTGAGGTCTGCACAGGTAGCTCCTCTCCCACTGCCGCCATTGGGGGAAGCTTCCTGAGGCCTCCCAGAAGCCGAGCAGATACTGGCTCCATGCTTCTTGTACAGTCTACAGAACTGGGAGCCAAATGAACCTGTTTTTTTTATCAATTACCCAATCTCAGGAGTCCTTTACAGCAACACAGGTGAACTATGACACACCTTGACCTTGGACTCCCAGCCTTCAAGACTGTGAGGTCATCAGTTTCTGTTGTTTAAGCCCCTGGTCTTCGCTAGTTTGTTATGGTGGCCCCAGGCAGATGGATCCGGTTGGCAACTGGGCCTGTCTGCCTGAGGCCTGTTGACAGCTCCTTCCCTGCGATGCCCCAGGACTGGTCATTGATAGCCTTTGCCAATGGCAGGAAATAAACAAGGAGAAGGATGCCCCTCCTGCAGGTTTCCCTGCGGCCCTCATCTCCTTGTCTGGTGGTTGGCCTTGACGAAGGCTGGCATTGGCAGTGCGTGCCCCTCTCCCTTCAAAACTTTCTCCTGCGTGGATCCAGGCTGGCTTCAGGGCCTTGCTTGGCCAGTGGAAAATGGCAGCAGTGACTTTCTGGGGCTCCGAGCTGGGTCAGAAGACGCTGAGCAGCCTCTGCCTGGGCATCTCGGAGTACTCACTCCCTCTTGGAGCCCTGCCGCCATCCCGGAGAACCCCAAGCCACATGGAGAGACCACGTGTGGGCCTGTCCTCAACAGCCCCAGTGCGGCCCTCAGCTGACTGCCAGCCTCAGCTACAGCATTGAGTGATGAGCCTGGAGGGCATCCCAGGGGAGCACCCATGTGAGAGCAGCCCTGGCAGACACCCCACTGCAGCCAGTGGTGAGACCCAAGTTACAGCCTCCCAGCAGAGCCTGGTCAACCCACAGAACTGGAAGACATAATGATACATTGTGGTTTTACACTAGTAAGCTTTTTTTTTTTTTGAGACAGAGTCTCACTCTTGTCGCCCAGGCTGGAGTACAGTGGTGTGATCTCGGCTCACTGCAAACTCTGCCACCCGGGTTCTAGCGATTCTCCTGCCTCAGCCTCCCAAGTAGCTGGGATTATAGGCACCTGCCACCATGCCTGGCTAATTTTTGTATTTCTAGTAGAGACGGGGTTTCACTATCTTGGCCATGCTGGTCTTGAACTCCTGACCTCATGATCCACCCAACTCGTCCTCCCAAAGTGCTGGCATTACAGGCGTGAGCCAGCACACACAGCCACATTTTTTTAATGCAAGAATAGATGCACAGAATACCGCGTGGTCCTGACTCTGGCCTCAGGGCCAATGAAACCCATTCCGCATGCCCCATGATAGTCCTCCAGAAATCTGCAGACAGTTCCTAGGTCCCCAGAGTCTGTTCTCTCAGTGAAACAGCTCTGATTCCTTCAGACATTTCTCTAAGGACCCAGTTTCAGACTGGCTTTCCAACCCCATCATTGCTAATAAGCCCACTCTAATCGGCCGAGGCACAGATTACCTAAAGGGACCCAGAACCAACCACAACGCTGCAAAGAATGGTATGATCAACCCCTAGTGCAGCTGAATGATCGCCTCCATTATTCTGGACACTTTGCTCCTATTAATGTAACTGAAGATTAAGTTTTCTTTCTAACCAACCTGACCCTGTCATCTGCTCAAATGAAGCTCGTATCAATTATGGTGTCTCCTTCCTTCCTTCTTTCCTTCTTTCCTTCCTTCCTTCCTTCCTTCCTCCCTCCCTTCCTTCCTCCTCCCTCCCTCCCTCCTCCCTCTCTCTCTCTCTCCCTCTCTCTCTCTTTCCCTCTTTCTTTCTTTTTGACAGAGTTTCGCTCTTGTTGCCCAGGCTGGTGTGTAGTGGCACGATCTCAGCTCGCTGCAACCTCTACCTCTTGAGTTCAAGCAATTCTCCTGCCTCAGCCTCCCGAGTAGCTGGGAATACAGGCGCCCCCACCACGCCCGGGTAAATTTTTTTTTATTTTTTTAGTAGAGACGGGGTTTAATCATTTTGGCCAGGCTGGTCTTGAACTCCTAACCTCAGGTGATCTGCCTGCTTTGGCCTTCCAAAGTGCTGGGATTACAGGCGTGAGCCACTGCGCCCCACTGGTTTCTTTTTAAACAAGCACTTTCCACGTTTTCCTTGGGAACACATATACAGGTTGCCAACAGAGAATTCCAGGATCCAATGCAAGGGGGTCACTGGGTGGCCCAGGGCAAAACATTTCCCTCTGGCAGCAGGGAGGTGCTAATGAGCGAGTGGGAAGATAACAGATTTATGCTTTCGAAAAATTTCCTCCAAATAAAACCTGCTGCAACCAGGGACCATGAAATTTGTCACACATAACATGATATATTTTTTAAACAATTCCAGGTTTTAAAAAATTCACTGATTTTCTGTCACCCACCTCAAAAATACAAAAGAAAAAAATACATATTTCATCATTTCTTAAAAATTCAAAATGATTTCTCTTCCAGTATTTGAATCAACACCCCCCAATTCAAATGTGGCGTTTCTGAGAACGTCTAATTCATTTAACTATTTTTCAACTCGGAGGAATGAATTGTCAGTCACACGCTATTTCGAGAACAAAAGGTTCTGTGGAAGACCCGTTCTGAGGAAGCTCTGAGCCCTGCAGGCAGGGACAAAACCCCTGGAAGCTGAGCTCAGGCACGAGGAGGGTCCTCTGCACTGGGCAACTAGCGCCGAGAGATTAGCCACTAATCAGATTGACCCCTCCAGGACCCGACATCTCCCCCACAGAGACCAACAAGTCTTCACAAATTTGAGAAAAACAAAAGAAGAATGTTTATCATAAAGATCTGGGCTCACCACCCCCTGGGATGGCTTCATTTCATTTTGAAATCACAAAACCTGCAGCTACTTAGGAGTAAAACAAAGAAAGGACATATTTCTTAAGGGGAAAAGCATGTAGGATTAATCTCAGAGCTTTAAGAGCCGAAGGTTCAGAGTGGATTTGAGTGGTTGCAGCATATGCCGTGTTCCGCGTGAGAAATACTGATGTGACTGCACAAGTAGCTTTCCTTGGCATTTTAATGTATTATATAAGCACATTTATATAAATGTTTTCCTGGGTTGGATAAATAGTGCTTTTCTATTTAAATTTAATCTGGGTCCTTGAGAATGAATTTCACTGATCTTTTTGTAACCCTGGAGATTTACCCTTGATGCAGATTTCAAACGTGAAATGGAATGTTGCTGAGTTCATTGGTTCTGGCACTCGCGGTGGTGTCTGGTATGGAGGAGACCCCCAGGAAGAAGAATGAGTGGGCAGGTGAATGTTGGAGGTGACAGATAGCCTAATTACCCTGATTTGATCATTACACTGTATACATGTATCAAAATATCACATGCACTCCCAAAATATGTACAACTCTTGTATTATATAGCAATAAAAAAATATCCCCCCAAATGATGGCAGGTTCATTCCACAGATGCTTACTCAGCGTATCTACGTGCCTATCTGTTCTAGGCATGAGGAATACAGCAGACAACCAAGGTGCCAAGACCCACACCCAGGAGCTTCCATTCCACTGGGAGAGAGTGACGATAAACCGGAAGCACTTGTGCCAGGTGGTGCTAAGAGTTAAGGAGGAAATGAATGTAGAGCTAGTGTGGTAGAGAGACCGTGGGGGTTTTTCGTTCTACATGTGGGGTCAGGGAAGGTCCCTTCCCCAGAAAGGGGCACTGGAGCAGACCCAGGAGAGCTTGGGCAGCACCTCCCCTCGGAGGCGGCAGCACCCGGGGCTGCAGCATGTGATGCAGTCAGGGCATAGCGCAGAGGCGTGCGGTGCGGTCCCGGCATAGCGCAGAAGTGTGCGGTGCAGTTTGGGCATAGCACAGAGGTGTGTGGTGTGGTCAGGGCATAGCGCAGAGGCGTGCGGTGCTGTCAGGGCACAGCGCAGAAGTGGGCGGTGCTGTCCGGGCATAGCACAGAGGCGTGTGGTGCCATCAGGGCGCAGCGCAGAGGCGTCCGGTGCGGTCCGGGCGTAGCGCAGAGGCGTGCGGTGCAGTCCGGGTATAGCACAGAGTTGTGAACCAGAGGAGGGGACGAAGAGTCAGGAGGTCAGATCCTTTGGGCCTCGGAGGCTGTGGAGGGACTTTGGATTTGACTCCGAGTGGCTCAGAGCTCACTGGAAGGTTCTGAGCAGAAGAGGGACGAGTTCTGCCTTCTGTTGCGGAGGTGTCCCTGGTGCTGTGTAGGGAAGAGCTGGTAAGGGCAAGACCAGGGCACCAGGGAGAAGCAGATGCTCAAGGGTGGTGGCGCAGACCAGGCTGGGCTCTGGATGGCAGCTGAAGGGAGAGCTGACGGGATTCACCAGCCATTTGGAAGCCGGCAGAGACCGAGAGGGAGACGGAGAGGGAGGAATCAGGACTGGCCCCGAGAGGTAGAAGCATGGATTGGCCAGCAGCCGAGACGGGGAAGACTAGAACAGGCTTTGAGCTGGGAAGTAAAAGGTTTGGCTTTTATGTGATGCCTGTTAGGCCATCAAGTGGAGATCGCTGATATATAAGCCTGGTCTTCCAGGGCGATGTTGGGGCTGGAGGTGCAGATCCACGCGCCATCAGCAGAGGGGTGGAATTGACAAGCCTATGAGCCTGGACCAGGGAGTGCGGGAGGCGTGGGTGGACAGCCAGCCAAGAGTGGAGGGGCTGGGAGCTGGGCTCCGGGATTGGCAACTCTGGTTTGAACCTGGCTCTGCCACTTTCTACTTGGTGGGGGGCAGGGCAAGCATCTTAACTTCCCTTGGTCTCTATTTCCCATCTCAAAATGGACTAACATAGCTCATAGGTGTGTGTGAGGGTGAGGGCCATGGCCGTGAGCACTCAGTGCCTGCCCCCCAGGAGCTCTTGGCGTGAGTGTGCTTTTGCCCTCTCTGGCTCACACATGCCAGCTCCCCCTGTGTAGGGAGGGTCGGGAGCTGCGTGAGGGGGCTGGGGTCTCGTGGGCAGCCTGGTGCCGTGATGGAGGCAGAAGGGAAGGGTGTTTAGGCTGGAGGCTCGAGTCACCATGGGTCAGAGCACACCAGGGCCAGGCATGTGCTGGGGCCTGATCACAGGGCCATGTGGCTGCCAGGCTGTACCTCTTGGGCTTAGGTGACTGGGAGTCCCAGAAGGTCTTGGGTGGGTGAGTGACAGGGCCAGACCTCACTCCTCCAGCCTGGCATGGCCCAGGGCCCAGCACGCTTGCCAACCCCCCTGCCGAGCTGCAGAGCGGGCTTATTGCCTGGTGGCCCTGGAGACGTGGTCCTGCCCACCGTCCCTGCCTGAGACGTTGTTATCACGGGGTCTCTCCTGACCATTGGTCGGGGACCCCAGTGGATCATCATCTCCTGAAGCAGAGCTGGGACCCTGAGTGGATCCAAACAGATCTTGTGGGGGAGGCGCTGAGAGGTTAAGTACCTTTCCCAAGGTCGCTGGCTTAGTCCTTCTGCGTTGCTATCAGGGAGCACCTGAGGCTCAGCGAGGTAGAGAGAACAGGGGTCTCTGGCTGGCGGTTCTGCAGGCTGCACCGGAACCATGCACAGAAGCCAGTACCTGCCTCTGCTGGAGGCCTTGGGCTGCCTCCACTCACAGTGGAGGGTGAAGGGAGCCCGTGTGTGCAGAGACCACATGGAGAGAGAGGTGGGAGGTGCTGGGCTCTTCTCAACAGCCAGCTCCCACGGGCGCCCACTCACCCCTCACCGCCACGAGGACCCAACACCTCCCATGAGGCCCCACTGCCAACACTGGAGATCAAACGTCAACCTGAGGTCTGAGGGGACAGACATCTAAGCCATGGCAGTCACATAGCAAGCAGATGGGGCAATGGAACACAGGGCCATGAAGCTGCCCATGGCCCTGACCCCTCTGAGCTCCTCACCGCACAGCGGGGTGGCGATGTGGACCCTCAGGGTAGCTGCAGGGTGTGGCAGCAAAGCCTGCCTCTGAGCCTGGCACTCGGCGCCTGTTGGGCACGGCTGCCACACTCACACTGATCTGCCGCCTGGCCCATTTCTTTGCCATTCTCAGCCTTGGCTCTGCCCGCCCAGCTCTGTGACTTGGAGAAGCCCCCGTGGCCTGGGGCTTTGGCTGGAGGGGTGTCATGGTGCTGTGCACCCTGGACTGCCTGGCGGTCCCGGTGAGAACTGAATGCACCATGTGGAGCGTGGAGCATGGAGCATGGAGCCTGAAGCATGGAGCCGGTCCTCCAAGCCCCTGATTCCCCATCTGTGGAAGCAGGACAGTATCTGTCTACCCCATGGGCAGTGGAGAGGAAGACAGGCAACGTCTCCAATGTGCTCAGTGCAGGGAGGGGGGTGCTGGTGTGGCCTCCATGCGGGGGTTGTGTGTGGTGTTTATGAAGCTGCCCCTGGACACCAGCCCTGGTCAGATCTGGGTGGATGCAGCCGCCCAGGCCTGACTCGCCTGCAGGGCCCACCTTTGAGGGCCTTGTGGCATTTCAGGAAACTGCGCAGGTGAGCAGCCTCCTGTCAGGTGCACAGGGGTCAGGGGGAGCCTTTGAGGGTCTCTCTTGGGGTTTGGCCTTTTGGGATGGAGCTGCCTGCAGGCATGCCAGTGGGAACCAGAGCCCGCCACTCCAGGCCAAAGGGATAAGTGTCCCCAGAGGCTGGTGGCCCACATGGATGCCTGGGTGTTGAGGGCCATGGCCCAGGTGAGACAGGATGTGGGGCAGTGGGCCTCAGGGCTCCCCACAAAGGCGTTTGGGAATTCTCTTCTGATGAGGGGCGCAGAAGGTTTTTAAGCAGAGGAATTGTCCCATCTGGTTTGCTCTGGAATTAATACTCCTCTATTGAAGTTACTTTGAGTTTGAATGAAGCCTTTGCTGGCGAGAATGCCACCAGCTGGGTGCCATGGCCCCACCCTACACTCCTGGGAGGCTTCCCCCCGGCCACGCCAGGATTCCTACAATGGCCTGACCTCTCCTGGGGGGATTCTGAGCCCCACTCAGAGGTGGGACCCCCTCAGATGCGGGGGAAGTCAGCCTCAGGAGAGCCTCTCGAGGTTCTTCCCAGCACCCCACGGGCTCTGTGCGGCACTGTGTTTTCTGATTCAACTGAGCTGACATTTAGGAGCCAGCCTGGGAGCAGGCACTTCAGGGAAAGTGTCTTTCGCCAAGCAAGCAACCTCAGTGATGAGCAAAGTGCCCACCCACGAGGCCCTCCTCACCTGAGCTCTGCTTGGTGGGGGTCCCCTGGTCGGGGTTCGGCAGCCACCTCTGCCTGTGTGCAGTCTGAGGTCCCTGTGGGCCTCCCTCCATGACCGTCCCGGGCACTTGGCAGACCGACCATGATGCTGTCACCTTCAGCAGGTAGCATCTGTAGGGCGGGGTCGTGTGTCACCTATTTCAACACACCAATCCTCTGACCTGCACAGCAACTCTGACATGCTGTTGGGTCAACCCCGTTCAAAAGATGGGAGGGCTGAGGTCACGCGGCTCCTGCTCTTGTTTTCAGCACATGCGGAACTTGTGTGGGTCACTGAGACCAAGGCCAGTGCTACAGATGCTGAGGGCAGCTAGCAGAGTCAGTGTGCCTTCAGGTGGGGGTGCCCTGCCAAAGGAAAAATGGCCTCCAACTGTGCCCAGGCCCTAACCCCTGAAACCGGAAGTATGTTCTCTTGCATGGGGAAAGAGCTGCATGGAAGATCTGGAGACGGAAGAAGGTCCTGGGTGATCCAGGTGGCCCCATAAATCACAAGCATCCTCACAGGAGGAGGAGGGTCGGAGTCAGAGATGGGATGATGGACACAAGAGGCTGCTGTGATTCCAGGAAGGGGCCACAACCCAAGGAACGTAGGCGGCCTCTAGAAGCTGTAAAAGGCAAGGAAACGGAATCTCCCGGGGAGCTTCCAGGAGGACCCAGCCCCACCGACCCCTTGACTTTAGACTTCTGGCCTCCACAGCTGCGAGAGCTGGAACTCGCACTGCGGCAAAGCCACTGAGCTCCAGGTAGCTGGGGACAGCAGCACAGGAAGCTGGAGAGAGGCACTGAAGATCCGGGGCGGCTGTGCGGGCTTGGATGACGATCACCCGGCTGAGAACGTGCCCACGGAGGACTCGCTCACCTCTGCCTGACTCCAGGACACTGAGGCTTTCAGTGGGAATGAGATGATTTCCTTCAGGCACCCAAAGGGACTAGAAGTGAAACTCAGCCCCCTGCTCCACCTTCAGCTCTGCCTCTGGACGCAAAAGCAACCATGATCCTTCAGCGACCAGGGCCCATGCTGAGTACTGTGGCTGGTGCCAGGGCCCTGGAGAGGATGGAGGTGGCAGGGAGCTCTCAAACTGGCATCTCCTTAGGACCCCACGAGGCCACACAGTGGTGAGGGGTGGGGCTGGAGCGCAAAGCCCCATGTGGGATTCCTGGTCCAGCGCTCCAGGACCACACGCTCACACGTGCTCTCACGCACAGGCTCACAAGTGCTCCCACGCACACACACTTCGGGGAGGTGTTCAATGACCAGCACTTCAGAAGGATGTTCCACCAGCCCAGATATCTGAGCCCCATGCAGGGCACGCAGTAAGAGCTCATCATGCTCTGATAATTATTATGATTAGAACACAATGTGACGCCAGGGCAGAAAGAGCCTGCTTGTTGGGAAGACAGACTGCCAGCTAGGCAGAGACGTGCATGTGCTCACGTCCCCAGTGGTCCTATCCTGGCCCCACCTTCTCCTTCACCTCTCAAACCACTCACAACCTGTCCCCAGTGCCCCTGCGTTCCTGAATCCAGCAGTCGGTTCTCAGACTGTCTTGCACCTTGGTCTTTCAGCCTCAGACATCAGCCTCCTCCCAGGAGACACATCCTTCTCTTGGCTCCCAGGAGCTGCTCTCCCCCAAATCCATGGCGCTCCCCTTCTCTCCTCACATGGCCCCACCTCTGGTTGGAGCACGCCCCCAGACTCAGAGCTGTCTAACCTCAGCCCCCATGGTGTTCTCCAGCCTCAAGGCTCAGAGACCACCAAGGTAGAAGGTCTAGAACACCTTATGACCCCCCAGGCCCCGCCCACTGCCCCCTGGCCACCTCACACCTGGAGGCAGCACAGATGCTAAACCCTCCTCTTGAGCCCCCAGCCGGCAGACCCAAAAGCATTCTCTTGAAATCATTTCATGGCTGGTCAGCCTCTGACTTGTCAGGACAGATGAGGTCTGTTTCCTGAGTGAAGGCTCTTTGCTTGCAAGACACAGTGGGGAACAAAGCCCTGGAGCCCAACAGGTCTGCATTAGAAGGCAGGCTCTGTGACTTAGGAGCTGGGTGACCTTGGGGATGTCACTTAACCTCTCTAGCCTCATGTTGCTCATCGTGCTATAACTGGTGCTATTCTATGCCTTCCTCATTTATGCTCTACTATGCTACATTAAATCACACCACACCACACTCCACTACACTAAGCACTACTATACTCCACGACACTCAATTCCATTATACTACACTATACCCACTCCATCAGGCTGTACTCCACTCTACTATACTCCAGTATACTATACACTACCCACTCCATCAAGCTGTACTGCACTCTACTATACTCCACTATACTATACACTACCCACTCCATCCAGCTGTACTGCACTCCACTATACTCCACTATACTATACACTACCCACTCCATCCAGCTGTACTGTGCTCTACTATACTCCACTATACAATACCCACTCCATCCAGCTGTACTGCACTCTACTATACTCCACTATACTATACACTACCCACTCCATCCAGCTGTACTGCACTCTACTATACTCCACTATACAATACCCACTCCATCAAGCTGTGTTACACTCTATTATACTCCAGTATACTCTACAATACCCATTGCATCAGGCTGTACTGCACTCTACTATACTCCAGTATACTATACTACACTATACCCACTCCATCAGGCTGTACTGCACTCTACTATGGTTCACTATAGTCCACTATACTATACTATACTCCACTATACTATAGTATACCCACTCCATCAGGCTGTACTACACTCTACTGTACTCCAATATACTATACTATACTACACTATACCCATTCCATCAGGCTGTACTGCACACAATACTCCACTATACTATACTATACCCACTCCATCAGGCTGTACTACACTCTACTATACTCCACTATACTATACACTCCCCACTCCATCAGGCTGTACTGCATTCTACTCTACTCTACTCTACTCTGCTATACAATACCCATTCCATCAGGCTGTACCACAATCTACTATACTCCACTATACTATACTATACGCATTCCATCAGGCTGTACTGCCCTCTACTCCACTATACTATACTATACTATACTATACTATACTATACCCACTCCATCAGGCTGTACTGCACTCTACTATACTCCACTATGCTATGCACTACCCACTCCATCAGGCTGTACTGCACTGTACTCCACTGTACTATAAAATACCCACTCCATCAGGCTGTACTCCACACAATACCCCACTATGCTATACTATACCCACTCCATCAGGCGGTACTACACTGTACTATACGCCACTGTACTAAACTCTACCCACTCCATCAGTTGATAGGGTACTCTATTACAGTCTACTGCACTATACTATATAGTATGCCATACTCCACTACATCATACCATATGAGAATATCCCATTCTTCCTTCTGAGCTATCATCTGGCATAAGTGGAATGGGATGAGCTAGTATTCCCAAGCACTTAAAGCAAAGACTGGCCTGAATGTGTGCTACCTAGTGTCTGTGGGAGAAATAAGTAAGACAGTCCCTCCTGCCTGCCTTGGGGAGAGGTCCCTCTCTCCTCAGGGTTGAAGGCACATCAGATGGAGGCACCAGCTTTATGAAGGCCAGTCCAGGCCCCTGCCCCTCTGACCTCTGTGCCCTCTGTTTCTCTGTGCCATATCTCATCACCCTCACAGCAGCCTTTTCGAATGGGCATAATCTTCTTTGATTTTTGGTGGGAAGGACTAATTCCTTTGGAGATGGGGCAGCTTGCCAGAGTCCCACAGCCAGGATGTCGTGAAGCTGGTTCTGGCACTCGCTCTTCCTATGCAGCCCGTTGGCTTCCTGGTCTCTGTTCCTGCGTTTGAGCCAGTGCTCAGGGGCCGGGATGTGGGCCTGGGAAGCCCCAGAGCTTGCCTGGAAAAATCCCACCTGTCGTGTGGAAGGACAGTTACAGGCATCGTGGTGTATCCTACAGAAAGGGGACCCTGCTGGGCCAGCCTGGGGCATGTGGCCTTTGTGCTGCAGGTAGCAGGGGCTCCCTTGGTCACAGGAGTGGAGGACAGGCAGGGCCTACCCCTGGGTCCAGCACAGGCTTGCTGAGTGACCATTGACCCAGTGTTCCCAGGAGCAGCGAGTGGCTCTGGGTTGGCCATCCTGGTCTCAGTGGGTCCCAGGCCACAAGCCTTCCCATCCCTCTCAGTGTAGACCCTGCTCAGTGTGGTGCCACATGGACCCCTTGCTCCCCACACCACTCTGCAAAGGTGGGCCTGTGATCATCCACTTTTACTGATGAGATCCTGGCACACAAGGAGCTCCCATCTTTGATGTGGACCTGCCTTGGTGGACTCCAATCCAGTGCATGCACTTACTGTAGGTCTTCCCAGTCTCATCTGCAAAATCTACCCAGATGCTGAGCATGCCCTCAGCTCAAAACAGTGCAGAAGACACACCTGCTGAAAACCCGGACCCTGTCCCAGGAATGGAGTGGCAGGGGGCCCCAGGCAGCAGCCACAGTTCCTCAGAGCTGATCCCAAGGGGAACCCTTACCTAAAGATGGTGTGGGGGAAAGCATGGAAGAGAAGCCCCGTGATGTTTTGGTCAGCACAGGTGAGGTTATGCTTGGTAACAAATGAACCCTGTTCTTAAATGTTGTCATGTCAGGCTATGCCACTGCAGATCAGGGCTGCAGGTACTTGGCAACCTGCACCCCTAGTCTGTGTCACAGGTTCCAGGGGCTCAGCAGATGGCTTCTGGGGTTGCTTGTCAGGAGATGAGGGAGGATGCAGAGAACCCATACCGACTCCTACCTGCCTAGCCCATCCTTCCACTCATAGCCCATTGGCTGCAGCTGGTCACATGGCCCCACCTGAGCACAGGGACTCCTGCAACGTCCTCCCATGTGCCCAGGAAGAGAAGGAGGTCTGGACATTGCCAGCACAGGAATCTCTACCGCAGGTTCTAGACACTCCTCTCCAGGTTGGTGGAGGCAGCTATGGGGGGAGCCTCGGTCTGGCCTGAATGCTGGGTGTAGGCCTGAGACCCCATTTTATTACATTCTATGTCCTGACCTCCCAGGAAAGCATGGCTGGAATCCCCCAGGACTCCTAATTCAGCCCATTCCCATCACAGGCAGGGAAACTGAGGCCTAGAGAGGCTGCGGCTGGGGCAGAGGTCTCAGGCCTCACCAGTGAGTCCCAGCGCCCCGTCCAGGCTCTGGTGTGCAGTGAGCACTTTGACAGCATTTGTTAGTAAACAAAGGAATCCATGAATCATAGGAGAGGCATGATGCCCCCGCTCCACACACACAGAGATCACGCAGTATCATGCCTGTTCCTTCCTGTATCAACTGCTACACCCTGAATGCGCCTTCTGAACACCTTTTCATGTATGTCTGGTCCTTACCACTGCTATTCAAAGGGCAGTGGATGTGTGGTCACCTCCCATGTCTGAGGCTGTGATGCCACAGGGCATGTGACCCCCTGATTAGGCTGGAGGACCTGAGAACCATCAAGGCTTGTGCCCATGGGGCTGGGCTTCCCAGAGGGGGGCCCTCAAGTGAGAGAGAGAGACCTACCCAGGCTCTGCCATTATCGCACCTTTGATGGAGGCCATGGACATGAGACTCCACGGTAGAAACACGTAGCTCGAGAGCAATAGTGAAGGGCAGCCAGCACTCAGGCGGGGAAAGCACATCGCACCCTGAGGGGTGGCCTCCCCTCTGCCCCTGCCCACTGCAGGTGGGGGAGTCCTCTGACATTTTTCCAAGGGAAGCTAGAAATCTAAACTTGCTGAATATAAAATTACCCTGTTCTTAAATGTTGACACCTAATTGAAAAAATGTTTAAACATTTTGAAGGCCAATGGTGTGTAAGTCAAAACACCATCTGGCAATCTGTAATGGCTCCTATAGTTCAAAGACGTGTGTTTATGGATGGAACTGGGGAGGTGATATGGTTTGGCTCTGAGTCCCCACCCAGATCTCACTGTGAATTGTGATAATCCCCAGGCGTCAAGGGTGGGACCAGGTGGAGGTAATTGGATCATGGGGGTGGTTTCCGCCATGCTGTTCTTGTGATGAGTGAGTCTGATGGTTTTATAAGCATCTGGCATTTCCCCTGCTGGCTGTTATTCCCTCTCCTGCTGCCCTGTGAAGAGGTGCCTTCCGCCATGATTGTAAGTTTCCCAAGGCCTCCCCAGCCATGTGGAACTGTGAGTCAATTAAACCTCTTTTCTTTATAAATCATCCAGTCTCAGGTATTTCTTCAGAGCAGCATGAGAACAGAGTAATACAAGAGGTCACTGGGGAGTCATTCGAGACCCCACTGTGGCTGCTCAGGATAGGGGGGATCCTGGCCCTCCTGTCCTCAGAGCAGAGATGTTTCCTACCAGGGGACAAAGCCCAAGAAATCCTCTGCATTCGTCTGCTCGGGCTGCCATGACAACACACCACAGGCAGGGCTTGGACACCAACATTCACTCTTATGGTTCTGGAGGCTGGAAGTCCACGATCCAGGTGCAGGCATGGTCGGATTCTGGGGAGGGTCTCTTCCTGGCTTGCTCACGGCCACACTGACTTTCCACCGCATCTTCACATGGAGAGAGCTCGGGTGTCTCCTTTGTAAGGGCACTGGTCCCATCATAAGGGCCTCACCCTCAGGCCCTCATCCAAACAAGTGCCCCACTCCACATACCATCACCTGGAGGGTTAGGGCTTCAACCTAGGAATTCTGGGGTGACACCATTCCGTCCATAGCATTCTGCCTCTGGTCCCCTGAAATTCATGTCTTTCTCATATACAAAACACATTGACTCTATTGAGTCCCAACAGTCTTAACACATTCCGGCATCGACTCTAAAGACTAAAGTCCAATGTCTCTATGTAAATATAATCCAAATCAAACATGGATGAGACTCAAGGGTGTGATTCATCCTAAGGCAAAATTCCTCTCCAGCTGTGAACCTGTGAAAGCAGACAAGCTACGTGCTTCCAAAACGCCATGGTGGGACAGGCATGGGATAGACATTCCCATTCCAAAAGGGAGAAATCAGAAAGAAAGAGGAAGTGATGGGGGGCACGCATGTCTACAGCTTAGCAAGGCCAATTGCATTCGCTATGAAGGCTGCAGAATCCCCTTCGGCTCCACACTCAGCTCTCCGGGCCCGCTGGGGAGGCAGCGTCACCGCACCACTCGGCAGGCAGGCTTGACACGCGGGTCTCTGAAAGGCCCCTGCCCCCGTGGCTTTGCGGGGCCAGAGTCCCATCCTCAGGACTCTGCAAGGCAGTCCCACCTAAGGCCACCTGGCCAGCTGAATCAAGGCAGTGGCCAGATGATCTCTGAATTCCCTTGGGGTCATTTTTTCTGTCTTCTTCAAGAACGGTCCACATTTGCAGCTGAATAGCATCATCATCCAAAAAACCCAAAAGCCTTCCTTCATTCCACCCCACTCTCCAAACACCGTCCCATCAGGGGTTAGGGCTCCAACGTGTGAATTTTAGGGGGACATGATTCAGTCCACAGCAGCTTTCTCAGGTCCCTGCCCTGCCTCTGGACCCCTCTCCCCGGGCACCTGCTACCCCAAGGGGAATGTCTCTATCTAAATATAATCTAAATCAAACATGGACGAGACTCAAAGGTGTGATTCATCCTCAGCAGACACCTGGTCCCAAAACTGACCCCGCAGTGGGAGCACTGCACCTCTGCCCTCAGAATCCTTGCTGGGGGGCCGAGCCCGCAGAGCAGCATCAGCTGAATCTGCCACAGGGGTCATGCGGGGGAACTCTCTTGGGTGGAAGCTGGCATTGCCTCCAGCACTGGGAGGTCCTGGGCCCCCACTGGTCCATCAACCTTAGGGACACTCCTGCAGGGAAGGATGCAGGAGTCAGGGGAGATGATCAACTCCCAAGGGAGTAAAGGATGCATCACAAACCAAGGTCTATGTTAAGGAGATAAAAGGAGGAGCTGATGGGATAGACTGTGAGTGGCCCGGGCTGGGGCTGGGGTGGGGCCTCTGAACTCCCATTCCAGAGGCAGACCTGCAGCTGTGCATGCCTGCGCCATGGCCCCTGAGCCGCGCCCTCCCTCACCTGCAGGACCCTGAGCACTCACTGGCCCCAGCAGCACCCACCCTCTGTGCACGGCACATGCTTCCGCTCCTTCCCAACATTTCCATCTGCTGCTCCTCTGGCTCAGGGCCCCAGGGACACAGGTCCAACAGGACCCAAATCTACAGAGCCACCGTCCCCAGGCCCAGCATGTGTGGGGCATGTTGGGATGGGGGTGGATCAGGCCAGTCCCCCTCACTCTCAGCACAGGTGCGACAGGAGGGGCCCGGGCCCTGGGAGTGCACAGAAAGGGAAGACCCACCCAGGAGGGAACTTCCCGGAGGCCAAGACCTTGAGCTGGATTGTCAACAATAAGGAAATAACCAGCAAGAAGAGGGGGCAGGGGATGCTCGAGGAAAGGGACAGCAGGTGTGCTGGGAGAACTGCAGGGAGGCCACTGCCGGGACAGGCTCGGGAAGCTGAAGGGCCGGCAGGGACAGGGCACGGAGAGCCGGAGCACAGGCCAGGGGTGCAGAGCTTGCTGAGGGTGCTGGGGAGCCGTGGAGGAATTTAGAGAGGGGGCGGTCTGGGTCAGGTCCAACAGAAGCACGAAGGTGGGTTGGGTGTGAGACTGATGGCGGCATCAGGAGGACGCAGGGATGTGCTGGGTGGTGGTGAAAAGGCCTGGACTGGGCAGAGGCACCGGGCGTGGGGTTAGGGCAGTCCAGAGACGTTTAAGGAACATCACCGGTGGGGTCTGCAGATGGATGGCGTGAGGCGGAGGGTGAGGCAGATTTCTGGCTTGAACAGTGTGAGGATGGAGAAGCGTCAGCCAGGAAGGGGCCAGGGTGGGGTCTGGGGGATGGTGAGCTCAGCATGGCCTGTGGAGCATGTGGCGTCAGTGGGACACATGGGGGAGCTGCCTCAGGGAAGGAGCTGGACCGACACAGGGGACACAGCAGGGGCCTGAGCCCGAGGCTGCCCTCAGAGGCTGCGGACGGTGGAGGCTGCTTTCTGTGGCCTGGAGCGTAGCGGGCAGGGGAGGCTGTGGGCAGGTCTGGCTGATGGAGCGACACAGACTGGGGCAGGCACGGGCGCTGGAGCAGTCTCAGCAGGGCTGGGGCAGGCAGGGGCACTGATGTGGTCTCAGCAGGGGCCAGGCTGGCCACTGGGGTGGTACGCCTGTGCAGGAGGTGGGGTGTGGGCTCCCTGGGGCAGGGAAAGGCAGGGCTGTGTCCTCAGTGACCAGGCTTTGGCTCGGGGGCCTGGAGTCTGACAAAGGCACCTGCTGCTTTGGAAGTGCCCCTCCCCCATCTCATCGGCAGCTCCCCAAGTCCAGGCCAAGCAGCCACTCTTTACTCTCGAGGTCCTGGGTGCAGGCCCAGTGCCAGCCTAGGGGGTGCGGCAGGCCCAGTCCCTAGCACAGCCCATGGTCTCTCAGTGGCTTCCTAACAGGAATGAAGTAACCAAGTAAAAATGCGAGCTTGATTACCTCAAAGGCTGCTCTCTCAGCCTGGACACCCCCACGCAGGTCCTGCCTGAAGCCTCATCCCCCTGGGCCTGGGCTGAAGCTGCTGCTCCTCCCTTGGACCCCAGGGAGGCTGCCCCATGCTCTCGGCCCTCAGCTGCCCTGGGGTCTCCTCCCCGCAACCTCCTACACGCCCCGTCTCCCTCTCCATCTGGTCTTCCCGTCCTCAGAAGGCTGCACTCAGGCCTCCCAGCTGGCCTGGCTCAAGGCCCCACTCCCGGCCTCCCCTCCCACCTGGCAGTGCCCGGGAAATGCCCTATAGGTCCTTAACCAATGGACAGAGGTGCAATCGTCCCGCACCGGCCCGCAGCCTGCCTCCCCTACTCAGCGTGAGCCTGGAACATTCTTGCTGGGGTGTGGCCCAATAACCTCCCGCCATGTAGCTTCCTGCAGCTGCTCAACACACTCTCACACACGTAGTGTCTTCAGACAACACAAGGGTGGCCTCCCAGCTGCCGAGGCCCGAAGTCCCACAGGCAAGGTGCCTGCAGACGTCATTCCTCCTGGAGGCTCAGGGAGAGTCATTTCCTCGATATTTCCACCTTCTCCAGGCACCTGCATTCCCTGGCTCCCTTCCTCCACCTTCAAAGCCAGCCTCGAGACATCTTCAGATCCCTCTCTCTCTCCCTGCAGCCACCAACACGTGCTCTTCTCCGCCCCTTCTCCTCCCGCCCCTCCTTTAACGCTGGCCCTGCACCCACCTGGGAAGTCCAGGATAATCTCCTAATTCCAAGATCCTTAATCTAATCCCCTCTGCCAAGTCCCTCTTACCATGAAAAGTGACATCATCACAGCTGCTAGGGATTAGGGCATGGCATCTTTGGGGGCTGTCTCTCAGCCCCCCATGAGGACCGTCAGTCCTTGAACCCCTCATCACTGGGCCTTTATGTGGTACCCAACATGTCGCTATCACCAAGACCACTTTAGCGAACATGTGATGCCACAGGCCGACCTGAAATTTCACTTGTGATTCCTGCCTCAGGTGTGGAATTCCTGGGTTAAAAGGAACAGAACATTTTAAGGTTTAAAAACACATCTTGCCAGTGGGGCGCGGTGGCTCACACCTGTAATCCCAGGACTTTGGGAGGCCGAGGTGGGCAGACACGATGTCAGGAGTTCAAGACCATCCTGGCCAACACGGTGAAACCCCGTCTCTATTAAAAATACAAAAAATTAGCTGGGCGTGGTGATGGACGCCTGTAGTCCCAGCTACTCGGGAGGCTGAGGCAGGAGAATTGCTTGAACCCAGGAGGCGGAGCTTGTAGTGAGCCGAGATCGCGCCACTGCACTCCAGCCTGGTGACAGAGTGCGACTGGGTCTCAAAACAAAAACCAAACCAAAAACAAAACAAAACAAAACAAAAAACACATCTTGCCAATTCTTCCTCAAAGGCTACAAAGCACACAACTTCCTTGGCCTTCGCTGTGCTTGGGATTGTGGGGTTTGTGTTTGACTTTGTCACTGCGAGGAAGGAGTAGACCGGGCTGCCCTGTGGACCACCTGCCCAGCTCGCCTTGTCTCCCAGCCTCCCGCTTTGGAATCGGACTGGAATCTCCCGTTCTGAATCCAAAGTCCAGTGTGAACCTGTCGGCCGGAAGGAGACCATGTCCCCAACCCAGGCTGCAGATGACACTGGGATGCTGTGGATCTCCAGCCCTTGGGAGGCATCCAGGCATGCTCGGGTGCCCCTTCCAGTGTGGGTGGAGGCCAGCCCTCCTGCTGGCCCCAGAGGCGGGAGCATCAGGCCGTAGAAAAAGGACCAGAGACGGGGACACCCCACTGTGGCCTGTTACCCAGAGAAAGGTGCTAAATGCAGCGACTCCACGTGTGACGAGATCCCACCCGCCTCGGAGCATAGAGGCAGTTAGACAAGTCTGCGACTCGGTGGCCTGGCAGATCAAGTGACTCATTTTGTACAAGTTATTTTTGAGTGCCTCGAAGGCTGGTGAGGAAGCTGCCTGACAGCAGCGGTAATTAGCCTCCCTGCACAGTGCGCCCGCGGGGTTCCAGCCAAGGCGCAGCGAAGCAGCGGCCCCTGCTCCTGGGTGGCACTGCCACACCTGAAGCTCTCAGAACTCTCTCGCCGCCCCAGGACATCGAGACCCTGGGATCTGGGCCCACCTGCCTTCTCAGCCTGCTGGCCCTTGAGCCTGTCTGAAACCTGCACCCGCATGCTGCTCACCTGCCTCCCGTCCCGACTCATTCCTGCACCTGGCTGACCTGTCCCAGGCACACCTCCCTGTCTTGGCTGCTGGACACCCCTGCCATCCTCCCAGGCTCCCCTCAAATGCCCACTTGCAGGGAAGCACCTGCCCTTGCTCCCCACGAAGCCGGGCAGTTCCCAGCCCCCAGCTCACCTCCCTCAGCACTCTCCATGGCACTCTCTCACCACCTCCTTCAAAGGCTTTCTCTACCCGGCTCCTGCCAGCCACCTTGGCCCCTGTCTTCAGGGCTCTCCTCTCCACTGCCCTCCCTGCCGGTGACCTCATTCCCATCAGGCCTGCAAATTCCATCTCTGTCCCAACTCTAAAGCCCATCTCCAGCCTGGATTTGCTCCTGGATCCCTGGATCCACTATCCAGCTGCCTCCGCACCATCTGCACCTGGCTGCCTGCTCCTGAGGCTTCTCAAACTCAACATGCCCCTACGGCGTCCCATCCCCCTCCTGGCCGTTCCCCGCTGGCTCCTCCATCACCAGCGGTGGCTCTACCTTGCTGGGGCCCCAAGCTCATGTCATGGTTGTCTCCTCTCTTCTTCTCATGTCCCACGTCTGGACCATCAGCAAAGCCTGCTAGCTCTTCCCGTTGGCTAAATGTACCCAGAAATGGAAAGCACCTCCCCGTCACTGTGGTTCCACCTGCTCCGAGCCACCATCCCTGGCCTTGGTGGCCGCCGTGGCTCCTTGCTGCTGTCTCCATGGCCACAGAGCCTCCAGAGGGGTCCTGGTCACCTCTGCTCGGCACCTTCCTACACTCCCACCCACTCAGTAACACCCAAAATCCCTCCTGCAGCCTTCAGGAGCTGACGTGACCCCACCTGCGACCTCTCTGACCTCATCATCTCGGTGCTCAGGGCTCCTGCACCCACAGGTTGGCCTGCTCCTGCCTCCGGGTCTTGGCACTTGCTCCTCCCCTGGGGGCTGGTGTGCCCAGCACCCTTACTCACTCCAGGTCTTGCCCAAGTGCCACTTTTGGAACATGGGACCTACAATTTTGTCAGGCCCCTCCTCAACATGTCATCTCCTCTGGGTCGCTGTCCTCCCTCTTGCATTTTCTCTGACTCATTAATCTGGTTTCTATCTGCTTCCCCCCCAGAATGAAAGCACTGCGTGGACAGGAGTTTTTATTGATGATTGATGTATCCCCAGCCCCTAAAACAGGGCCTGCCACATGGTGGGTACACAATAAATATTTGCCAAATGAATGAATGAACAAGTGAATTAGCGTATGCCGCCTAGCCCTCCCAGTGGAAGTCTGACCCTGAGGCTGGGCCACGTGGGGTTGCTCTGACTGGCAGCCCCAGATGCGTCCAGTCTGCCAGTCACCCCAGCCAAGGTGCCAGATGTGAGTGCTGCCACCTTGGCTTTCCAGACCCAGCCACCCACCTGCCGAGTACCACCGAGCGATGCCAGCCAAGGCCGCACGGAGCAGAAGAATCGCCTGGCCAAGCCCCTCCTGAATTTCTGCCCCACAGAACCTGGGGCTTTAATAATGGCTGTTTTGCTCCATGAAATACTGGGTGGTTTATCACTCAGCAACAGAAAACTGGGACATGGGTGAAGGGCCGATGCTACAGGACCAGCTTCAGGCTTCAGCTGTTACAACCCCTGCAAAGGTGCCCCTGTTACAAACCCTGCACAGGAGGCTGTGTTATAACCGCTGCACAGGTGACCCTGTTACAACCCCTGCACAGGATGCCCTGTTACAACCCCTGCACAGAAGGTCCCGTTACAATCTCTGAACAGAAAGTTCCGTTACAATCCCTGCACCCCTGCACAGGAGGCCCCATTAAAACCCCTGCACAGGAGGCCCCGTTAAAATTCCTGCAAGGGAGGCCACATTACAATTCCCGCACGGGAGGCCCCGTTACAATTCCCGCACGGGAGGCCCCGTTACAACCCCTGCACGGGAGGCCCCGTTACAATTCCCGCACGGGAGGCCCCGTTACAATTCCCGCACGGGAGGCCCCGTTACAATTCCCGCACGGGAGGCTCCGTTACAACCCCTGCACAAGAGGCCCTGTTACAACCCCTGCACCAGCTTCGGAGATTTGGAACCTGGTACTTTGCTCTCAGCCTTTGGGTCTTTGGCTGAAATGTCAAGGACCCCAAGGCTGAGAGCAAAGTACCAGGTGCCAAATCCTGGAAAAGTTGCATTGATCATCCTGGCACAAGATCCTGGCTTCTGTGATTAACAAACACTTCTTTGTCGGGGAATTTTGAAAATAATGACTCGCGTTTATGTCGGGATGGTCGTGGGCCCCGCCTCCTGATAAGCACTTTACAAGCCTTCTGTTGTTGCTCATAGCAGCCCAGTCATGGCCCCATTTCACAGGCGAGAAACCAGAGGCCCAGAGAAGTCAAGAATCCCAACCCACCTCTGTCTGGCTCCGACCCCCGCAGACACTGCCTCCTCCCAGGGCTCCTGGTAGCAAATTGTGACTGCATCTGACTCTGAAGGTAGGGACCACACTTCTCCATCTTCCTGGATGGAGAACTCGATCAAGTTTTGAGGACGTGGTTGGATGTAGTGCAGAGGCCACGGTGTCTTGATTCCGATGTCTCGGGTAAGCCACCCCCCAGGGTCTGGTGCCCTGCGTGCGTCAGACACAGAAGCTCATTACCTCACGCTGCTGGAGGCCAGAAGCCCAAAGCCTGGGTGTTGGCGGGACGGTGCTCCCCTCAGGGGCTCCAGGAAGGGCTCTCTCCTGGCCAGGTGCAGCTTCTGGTCATCCTCGGTGCTCCTCAGCTCGGCTGGTCTCTCTCCTGTCTCTGTGTCTCTGCTTTTTCTCTTCTAAGGACATCAGTCATATTGGGATCGGGCTCCCCTGAATCCAGTCTGACCTCATCTTACTTTAAATAATTATGTCTACAAAGACCCGACCTCCAGAGGTCACCATCTGAGTTTCCAGGCAGACATGGAGTGGAGGGGGACAGTATTCACCCCAGAACCCTCCCGAGCCCCTGTCCCTCACCTGCCCGGGGAAGCTCACGTGTCCCCACCTCCTGGGCCGTGTGTCCTTAGGGAGGGGTCCAAAGGGGCTGCCTACAATCCCCCCTGGGCATCCTTCCTGCCCACCTCCCTGAAGAGTTCCAGAGCTGACTCACGTGTGTGTGTGTGTGTGTGTGTGTGTGTGTGTGTGTGTCGGGGCCAAGGGGTGGGGGGCGGGTGCATGCACAAGTCAGAGTGGGAAGGGGCCTTCCTACGGGCCATGCCGTCACCCACTGGCTTGCTCCTGAGATCCAGGAAAGCCGAGCAGGGGCGGCTCCACCCCGTGTGGCCACGGGCCTCCACCCACTTCTCCTGGGCTTTGGGGCCTGGCGACTCTCAAGGAATGTCCTGCAGTGACCTGGGAGCCCTGGGCACAGCTCAGTGGAGGTCACTGGGACCGGCTGGACGAGTCCCTTGGCAGCAAGTCCCAGAGGAAGGTCAGCCAGGGTTGTCTGGAGTCTGGCTTAGTCCCAGAACCTCCCGATGGTGGAGGACCAGCCTCACAGGGGGCTTGGGCCACCCAGCCCTCTGCCCAGATGGGGGTCCTGCAACACAGGCAGCCCAGGGAGCCCAGGCCCCTGACTGGCCGATACCTCCCGCAGCCCCATCCCTCAGCTCTGGAAAGACGCTGCTAAGCTGAGCCACCGGGCAGTGTGCCACCAGGGAGGGACGAATGGCAGAGCTGCTCGGGAAGCTGGCTGCAGGCCCAACCCTCGGCGAGGCTGTGTGCTGTGTAGGGAGGCTGCCCTGTTGACCCCACGAGGCTGTTCTGGAAGGCTGGTGCTGGGTTCAGAGTGCAGACCTGCCGGCGAGGCCGCTGAGCCTGCTCAGATTCTCTGCAGGAGGACTGGGCAGTGTCCCAGGCTCAGCTCTCTGGGCTCTGCCCCCTGGATGCTGCCCCCTGCCTGGGGTGAGAAATGGAGGTTGGGGTTCTTGCCTGATGCGTGGCAGAGAAAGCCAGCGGCTCCCCAGGACCTAGTTTCCCAAGGCTCTGCTCCCCAGCCTTGGGAGCCTCGTGGAATGCATTAGAAATTCAGACTTCAGGGCCCTGCCCCAGACCCCGAATGGGCGGCTGTGTGATGAGGAGCTGCTGAGGCACTGTGGAGCTTCCAGTACGGAAGCAGGGCTGAGCCCGCCTGGCTCCTCAAGATCCCAGTTTACTCCGCTTCCCAGAGAGCACACACAAGATCAAAACTCAAACCAGCAGCATCCATTTGGTGCCCAGGATCCTGGCTTTGGAAGGGCCTTTCCATCGACTACTGAAATTCCATGTGGCATCTTGGAGGCAGAAAAATTCCCAGCCTCTACAGGAAGAGGGCTGCTGCGATGGGTGGTTATTCAGGTCCCCTCTTGAATACTTCCAGCAACAGGGTGCTCACTACCACTAAGACAGCCTGTTCCATCAATGTGGCGGTCGGCAGGCTCTCTCCCACGGGGCATGAAAAGCCGCCTCCTTGGCATTTGCAAGGCTGCCTCGAGTGTGGGCCTGGCTCTTTCCCAGCTTGCCCTCTGCGTCCTCGGCCTCAGTTTCCTCATCTGTACCAGGAGGACAGAGTCCTGCCTCATGTGGTGAGGGCATTTGTGGTTGGTGGCATCAAGGGACAACAAATCAAGGCCAGGGAGGAGTCTCCAGCCCTGGAGACAACTTGTTCTTCCATAAGACACGGTGAGCAGCGATGCAGCAAGAATGATTCCAACCACAGCATAGCCCCCAGGAGGCACAGATGCTCCCGAGGGTACGGGCTAAAATGCCAATTCCAGGGCCCTGCTTCCACAAGCTCTGACCCAGGAGACCCGGGACAAGCCCAGGAGTCTGCATTTGAACCAGGTCCAGGGAATTGTCAGCGGCTGTTCACAAGACCACATTTTGAGGACCATAAGCTAATATGTCACCTTCACTTCACAGGGGGACGGTCAGGACCAGGATCACACAGCAGCTTGGCATCTGGGACTCCCAGAACCTTCCGATGGTGGAGGACCAGCCTCACAGGGGGCTTGGGCCACCCAGCCCTCGGCCCAGATGGGGAAAGTTGGAGGCAGGGCTGTGGCTGTGCCAGCTTGCAGCACTGTGCAACTGCGATGGAACTCGTTCACACACATGCACGGGTGCAATGTGCACACGCACCCACAGCACTTACAAACACACACGTGTGGCATGCATGGCCTCCCACGGCCCATGCATGGATACTAACGTGCACACACATATGTACCAACAGCACTTACAGGCACGCATGGAACATGCCAGCAAACATGGTCCCTGCAAGCTAATGCAGGACCCTCCATCACGCTTTCGTCTAATAACTGGAAAGTGCTTGTGGACATGGCCACTCAGCAGGTGGGTGCCACATGCGGCTGGGTGCCACATGCGGCTAGGTGCCAGGCCCGTACTGGGCACATGGAAGGGCTGCACAGAGATCAACCGGCACAGCCTCTGCTCTTGTCCTACTCACTGTCTATGAGGGAATCGGACAAGTAGGCAGGCAGGGCCACCCCGGGCCATCCCCAGACGTCTAGGGGCAGCCCAGGTGAGCCAGGGATGTGTGTGGGTGACCCAAAGGGGGACCACCTGGCTGGGAGGGGCAGGGCATGAAGCTGGAGGGGCTGAGCCACTCTGCCCCTGGCACAGGTGTGGCTGGAGGTGGGGTGGAGACCTAGGTGTGGGAGGAGCACGGTGCAGGTGAGGATAAGAGCGAATATTCTGGAAGCCTGGGATAGGGAGATGGGCAAGAGGCCCCAGTGAGAGCGCCGCCCCGTTCCCCCAGCTGCACTGCACAGTGGCAGCCTTTCTTCCTCCAGCTGGGGATGCCCCGTCTGCCTTTGTCTTTTTAATCCTTTGGGTGGAGCCCAGAGGCGACCGTGGCTAATTGGTTTTCTGCTCAGCCTCAGTCAATGGGATATCTCATCCTCCTGTTCTCTCCTCCCTTCAGGACCTGCCCTACCAACACCTCTACGCACAGGATGGTCAGCCGGGGAAGCAAGGGTGGCACGTGCCCCGGGTCAGCAGAGCCCTGCTCATGGCCCCACCTGCCACCCCTAACTACTCTCACCCTCTGGTCAAGGACAGGTGACCTCGAAGTGGGAGGTGCCATCTCCTGGTCTCAGCACCCAGACTGCGCCCTGGCTGTGCCCCAGCCCTGCAGCTGTCAAGGGGGGTTGGAGCTGGTCCTGCCCGCAAGGAGATCAAGAGTCAGGCCAGGGAGCCAGGGAGGACCCTTCCTTGGGCCAGCCAGAGGCTCAGGGGCTGACAGCGCTCTGCTATATTCCCCAGGAGCAGAGGATGCCACAGGGGGCGTGAGAGAAGAACACGTGTTCTCCAGGAAGCAGAGGAGGGGTGGAAAGCCAAGGCCATTCCAGCTGGAGGGAAGGGGCAGGGAGACTGCGGGGCTCAGCCCAGGGAGCAGGGAATGAAACAGAGCAAACCCATGGGGAGCTCTGGGTGGAGGGAATACAATCAGGGGGGCTTCCAGGAGAAGGCAGCATATGAGTCCTGGTGTAACAGGAGGAGCAGCCCCAGGAAAGGGCCTACCCAGGCAGTGGGACCAGACGGCCCTTTGGGGCTGGGCTAGGCCCTGAAGACAGAGCCCCTTTGTGTCCCGAGGGCCTCCCTGGCTCTCCAGGCTTCCCTGCTTCTGTGCCAATGTCCCTGACCCCAACACCCAGGGCACCTGTCGTCTGCTAGGAGGGGCTGTTAGGCTGGGCTCCCAGAAGTAGACCCTGAGACTGGGATTCCAGTGCAATCAGCTTGTTTGAGGGCCACAGGAGGCAGGGCAGGGAGCGGGACAGTGAGACCAGGAAGGGGAGGGGCCGCTACAGGTGTGTTGTGAGCAGGCACTAGGTTCTGAGCCATGGGAGAGCATGCCCGCTGTCACCCCCCCTGAAGGCAAAGGTGCTGGAAAGTCATCCTCCACTGCCACCCCCAACAAGAGCCCAGCACTTCCATGCTGCCCTCACGTGGCCAAGAGAGAGCCCTGGGGAGGCGGGGGAGGATGACCCCTGGGGGAGGACAAGTGGGCAGGAAGGGGCCCAGGCAGGGCCGGCGACCTGTCACAGTGGGGGAGGGTGCGGCAGGAAGCAGGTCCCAGCACCACCCCTGCCTCCCTGAGAGGCCTGGCCTGGTCAACCTGGCAGAGTTCTGCCCCAAGGCCCATCCCGCGGCACCATCTGGGTGAAAGCAGAGCCTGGGGGCCCTCCTTGTGCCCCAGCCCTGTGGACTGCACAGGGATCATCAAGATCCCTGATAGCCCCGGGATCCAATCTGCCTTCCCAGCCCCACTCCCGCTGTGCCCGTGCTCAGGCACCTCCCTACCGCTGGGCCTTGGCACAGCTTGTGCCCCTGTTGGGAGCCCCCTTTTTGATTTCCTGGTCTCAGAACTATTTGCTTGAAGTTCAAAACCTAGTCAAGCACCATCCTCAGAGAAACCTTCTCCTGCCCCCTCAGCACGTTGTAAACACCTCTGTACTAGCACCTGCCCTGCGCATGGGTGGTGTGTGTGTGTGTGTGTGTGTGTGTCAGGCGTGTGTGTGTATGCCTGACTTCCCCACTCCACTCAAGAACATGGACCCAGCCATCCACCTGTGGATCCCCGGAGGCAGCCGAGGCCCAGAGCACAGGCCTGGCGCTGCTCAGCTTCAGGTCTGCCAGTCCCAAGCCTGACACTGTTCCTGACCGACAGGCCTGTGCCTCAGTTTCCACAGCCATAGAACTAGGTGGCCTCCAGTGTGGGGAGTAGCCACAGAGCCTCGTGTGAGGCATGCACTAAAGAAAGCTGACCTACACTGAGGCAGAGTTGGGAACAATGACAGCGGTGTTCGCTGTACACCTCCTGTGGGCCAGGATTTATGGGGTGGGTGTATAGCTGTGAATATATTTCCTCCTACAAGAGCCCAGTGAGGTAGGCTTCTTCATTTTTAGGAGTCAGGGATTTGGATCACAGAGAGGTCAAGTAATGGGCCCAAGGCCACACAGCATGATATGGCTTGGCTCTGTGTCCCCACTCAAATCTCATCTCAAATTGTAATCCCCATAATCCCCACCTGTCGAGGGAGGGACCTGGTGGGAGGTAATTGGGTCATGGAGGTGGTTTCCGATGCTTTTCTCGTGATAGTGAGTTCTCACGAGATCCGATGAGTGATTTTCTTGTTCGTGCGTGTGCTCTCTCTCTCTCCCGCTGCCATGTAAGATGTGCCTTTGCTTCTCTCTCACCTTCTGCCATGATTGTAAGTTTCCTGAGGCCTCCCCAACCATACGGAACTGTGAGTCCATTAAACCTCTTTCCTTTGTAAATTACCTAGTCTCAGGTATGTCTTTATAGCAGTGTGAGAACAGACTCATCCACAGCAAGTGAGCAGAGAGCCAGGGTTTGCACTTGGAGCTGTCCACATCCTGGGTGCCTCCCCAATGCCCGTGAGAGATAGGCAGGGTTGGGGAGGTGCCAGGGAGACAGGTACTGCAGGGGAGTCCAGGACCTGTGGCTGGGGCCCTCTTGTCTTGGCCCAGGTCCTGACCCAGCCAACCTGCAACTCCCACCTCACCCTGGGGCTCAGGGAGGCCAAGCTAAGGCTGCGTCATCCAGAAGGAGCTATTCTGAGAGATTATACCTGCTCCTGGAAATGATGTTAGTGCCACAAGAAGTAAGGAAATGGCTCAGGAGGAGGGGCCGCCGCCCTCGGGTTTTCAGAACCAGCCTGTGGGTGGGGAGAGAGGGCTTGTCACCCACACGGCGTCTTCGAGGGAGAATAATTCCCAGGGCAAGTGCTCTCTGTGGAAGGCCTTTCCTCACCCTGGACCCAGCCGGGCCAGAGGCCTCTTGGGTCTTCTTTGTGCTCTTGGGACAGGGGGAGAGCTGGCCTGTCCGGGTGGGGCACGTCACTGTGAGGAGTACCTCAGCCTCTACAGGAAGAGGCATCCAAGTCAGGCGTGAGGCGTGTGCATCTGTGTACACATGCATGTGGTATGGACGTGCACTGGCTGCACTGAGGCCCACAGGCGTGCTCTTCTTGATCTCCATGCAAACACCACCTCCTCCAGGAAGCCCACAAGACCTCTCCTCTAGGCCCCTCCATCTCTGCCCTCTACATTGTCCCCGTAGGGCCTTAGCACCTTGTACCAGACCATGTGGTCCCGGAGTGCAGGCCGGATCGGAAGGACTCTGTGTCTGCCTGGGGGAGGCCTGGCTCTGCGGCATGGATGCTGGAGATGCTCTGCAGCTGCCAGTGAAGTGGCAGCTCCTACAGATCAGGGAGCTCCATGGGAATGTATGCGCCTCCTACAGATCGGGGGGCTCTGGGAGGTGATGGCCCAGGACCCAAACTCAAGATCGCGCCAGCGATCCCTGGTGGCCCTGGGTGGCCTGGGTGTGTCCTCCTGACAGGTGGATCATGGCTCCAGGAGAACTCTGCAGAGCAACAGCCTTCGACTCAAGGTTCCAGATCCTTCTCCAGCCAGATTGGCAGCAAGGAATTTTCCACGAGTGATCCCTCTTACCCACCGCCCACCTTCTGCTTGGTTACTCATTCTAATCATTCCTCTCCTCGCTTATCTATTAACAAAGTGGCTTCTGAAGCCATTGGCACCGCGGTCCCACTCGGCTCCCTCCCCTCCACACCCACAGTCTTAGCAGCAGCAGAGTCCTTCAGGCCCTCGGCCAGTGCCACCTCCCAGCCACGGCCCTGGTGAGCCTCCGTGTTTCTCTGTAGCCTGGGATGAGGCTCCTCATGCTCTCCCTGCCCCCTGCCTCCCACACCTTCTCCACACCAGCAGCTAAAGAGTTGGTTCCACAGTGCGCCCCTGATGGGTGACTGCCCCCTCAACGTCCTTCTCTGGCTCCCCATTGTCCCCGGATGAAGCACCGACCCCTGGATGGGGCATGAGGAAGGCTGGACGCTCGGCTCCTCAGCTGCAGGACCAGCCACTCCTGAGCTGCGGAAACTGCTCCGTGTTCCTTTGCTGAGCAAAACTCAAGAAGTTCTGGGTAAACGTGCTGCTCTGTGATGATTGGTGCCACCACTAGGGACTTTGTTGAGTTCCAAACCCAGCTGGAGCCAGTCCCCTCCGGGCCCAGATCACGGATGCTCAGACACCCTCCTGCCTTCCCGTCCCACCCTCCATCCACCCACACAGGAAAAGCAGGAAGCAGCCAATCAAATAGGTGCATGGCGAGGGGGCAGCTGCGGGCCAAGCTGGAGTACCAGCACTGGTGGCCGTTTCCTTTCCTCCTGTTCCCTGCTGTAGTAAATGCTCTCCTTCCCTTAAATAGATCCTCCTCACACCTCCGCCCTGCCCTGCCACACCCGCCCCCACCGACCCCGTGGCTTTATGGTGGCTGTTGATCAAAATGTCCCTCCCACCTGGCACAACGTAAACATGTGACCTGCATCTGTGGGGTCGCTTGCAGGGGACGCAGGCATCCATCCGAGGCCAGGCCAGGTGAGGGCCCAGTCGCCACGTGCAGTCCAGCTGCAGGGCAAGGGGTGCACTGAGGTCAGGGTGTGCACCGGGGGGCGGCCATGTTTCTATAGTGGGGAGAGGGAGTCTGTGTGCTGGAGGCAAGAGAGAGGCCAGCTCCTGAGATGAGCACAGCAGAGAGGAGAGGGAGGGAGAGAGATGAGGAGAGGGAGGGAGAGAGATGGGGAGAGGGCAGGGGTGAGGGAGAGAGAAAGACAAAAGAGAGAGGGAGAGGGAGGAGAGGGAGGAGAGAGAGGGAGGGGACAGAGACAGACAGACATGGAGAGAGAGAAGAGGGAAGGAGGGAAGAGAAAGAGAGGGAGAGTAGGGGAGAGAGGAAGGAGGGGAGAAAGGAAGGAGGGGAGAGAGGAAGCGGGGAGAGACAGAGGGAGACAGCTGGCTATAGCTGCACCAGAGACCACCCGACCCTCGGCCCAGCCTTCCCCTTTCCGGTGACAGGTGTCTGTGTGAAGTTCCAGGAGCCGCCTCCCTGTGTCCCTTTGTATCTAAACAAGGACTTACCAGGATGAGGTGGAGGTGACAGGGCGCTGTAGTGCTTCCGAATGGACAGGGTGTGGAGTCAGGGTGTGTAGTCAGCAAAACACAAAAGTCACAGACATTTGCCCCTGAACTAGCGCCAGGGTGCCCCCATGAGGCCCCAGACACAAGCATCTGAGGATGGCACCTGCAGCCCGAGACCTGCCTGGGGAGCAGCAGGCGGCCCTAGAGTGGGAGACTGTCAAAACCAGAGGGACAAAGCAAGAAGTGGGCCTCCTGGGCCTCCTGGGGACCGGACTGGCCAGAGCCTGGCTGGCAGGCTCCACACCTGGAGGGGACCTGGCCCCACCAGGAGCCACCAGGCCAGACACTATCACATCTACCTGTCCACCGACTTTCCTGGTGGGACCGTGCAGGAACAGGGATCTCACAGCCAGGGACACTGAGCAAGACCCCAACTTATCCCAAACCTGCAGCTTCCAACACTCTCAGAAGAGACGTTACACCAAACACAGGCTGAGCTGGAAGACACCTGCTACAGAGACTCATCTCCTGTCACTCTGCTGGCACCGCAGCAGTAGTTATGGGGGTGCCAGCTCCAAATCAGCCTCCAGATCAAACCCAGCTCTGTGGCCTTGGGCCTTGGGCCTTGGGCAGCTCAGCCTCTCTGCGCCTTGTTTTTTCACATGCAAAAGGAGGCGATAATCACTGAGAACAGCAGTGTCTGCCCGCTGCACCTGTTGGGGTTCTGAGTACCCCCGTGTGCATGCTGCCTGTTTAACCCTCACCACTACCCTCCAAGGAAGTCGCTGTTGCTGTTCCCCTTTCCAGACGAGGAAACCACGGTTCGGAATGGCTCCGTACCTCCCTCCTATGCTGCTGTGAGACTTGAAAGAACATTGCAACGTGCAGAGCCCGGCTCCCAGCGGGCCCACAGCTGCTGCTGCTGTTTTCACAATGGCCCGGTATGGCCTCAGGGTGAGAAGAGCCTGGCCGTTTTGGAGGAGGGAGTGCAGGCAGGCAGGGCCACTCACCCTCGTCCAGGCTGCCTAGCATGGAACTGGCCTGGAAATGGGGGCTTGGGACTCCCACCCTGGGTGCCCCCAGCCCTCCAGGTGACCCGACAGCGGTGGGCACTGCCCTGAGGGCATCTCCTGGGCAGCACCGTTTCCCCCAACCTCCCTGAGCCCCTTGCTGCTGAGCGACAGCCGCCTCCCCACGGCTCCAGCACGCTTTGCTTTGATGGTGTTGCCTTAAAAATAACCAGGCTTTGACATCTGGAAGCAGGCAGCTGATGAGTCCCCTCTTCTGGGCGTTCTTATTTTAAGAGCATATTAATGTCTACGCCCCCATCTCAGCTCTAACTTTGCTGAGCTCTAACTTTCTCTCCATTTTCACCAGCCTGTGTCAGTGAGTGGGTTCCAGCCCTCCCACCACCACACGTGCCCCATCCCGGGCCACTGACCCCGCCCACCTCATAACCCCACCCCTGCGGTATAGCTTTGATCCCTGCTGACCACGCCCACCTCTTAACCCCACCTCCCACAGTTTTGCTTTGATCCCCATTGACCCCGCCCCCTCCCAGGCTCCGCCTCCTGAGGTGTTGCTTTGATCCCTGCTGACCACGCCCCCTCCCAGGCTCTGCCTCCTGATGTTGCCTTGATCCCTGCTGACCATGCTCCCTCCCGCAGTGTTGCTTTGATCTCTGCTGACCACGCCTCCCCCCAGGCTCTGCCTCCTGTGGTGTTGCTTTGAACCCTGCTGACCATGCCCCCTACCAAGCTCCATCTCCCCAGGTGTTGCTTTGATCCCTACTGACCATGCCCCCTCCCACAGTGTTGCTTTGATCTCTGCTGGCCACACTCCCCCAGGCCCTGCCACAGTGTTGCTTTGATCCCTGCTGATCCCACCCACCTCGTGGCCCTTCCGGGGTGGTGCCCCTCTGTTCTGCATTCCTGTGACTCGCCCCCATTGTAACCATGGCCCAGCGTTACTTGCATCACCCTTTCTGTGGCACCTCCCATTACGCCTAGTGCCCATCCCAGACCTCAGCACAATGCCTCCTCCACCACTATATCCAGGCTCCACCAGGGAAGGCCCATGTGGTCCTCTTGGTTCTACAGTCTTGAGGGGGCATGGATAAGGATGGAGAGGCAGGCCTTCCCAGCATGGGGACAGGGCTCCAGTCAGTGACAGATCAGTTACCCGGAACTTTTTAGTGACCAAAGGAGGAAGTGTGGTCAAGGACAGTGCCTGTGGGCCCAAACTCCCACCCAGGATGGGGAAAGACGTGAGGTAGTGTCCCCCACATTAAGCCTGGGGTTGGAAGGGGCACGGGGCAGCACGCACCCCCCACATTAAGCCCAGAGTAGGGAGGGGCATGGGGCAGCATCCCCCACATTAAGCCTGCGGTAGGTAGGGGCACGAGGCAACATCCCTGACATTAATGGCTAGAGAGGCCTGGGCTCATGACTGGGCCCTGGAGTCGGGTGCCTGGGGTCAGCTGCTGGCTCAGGACAAGTTACCAAGCCACCAGCCACCCTCCTTATCTATAAAACAGGGGCCACCATGCTGCTTCCCTCTCCAGCATGTGCAGTTCATCGTTGTCACGACACTCACCTCCTTCCTTGGGAGGGGAGTATACATTTTCTTTCCTGTGAAACATATGCGAGGCTATGTGGGCTTCCTGGAGATGAAGTGCCGGATCAGAGGGGCTGGATGTTGTCATAGTCTAGGTTCCCTTGAGAACAGAACCTGGTGTGTCAGCTTCCTACTATGTAACAAGCCACCATGAATGAAGTGGCTCAGAACCACACACACTCACTGCCTCCCTGTTTTACCAGGTTCTCTGCATAGGGGTCTCCCCAGGCTGCAGACAGGTGCTGGCCAGGCTGCATTTTCATCAGAGGCTCAACTGGGGAAGAATCAGCTTCCCAACTTCTCAGGTTGTTGCAGAATCTGCTCCTCACAGCTGTAAGTCTGGAGGTTCCAGCTGCTCGTTGGCTCCTGGAGGCCTCCTGCAGTTGCTGTCACTGGACCTCCCTAGCAAGGCCATGGAGGCTGTCAAGCCAGAGAGGAGGGTCCCTATGGCATGTGATAGACAGATGGCATCTCATGGGATGGCACGTGGCCATGGATACTGCCATCTGCTTTGCCATCCTCTATCAGTGGTGAGCTGCAGGTCTCACCCACACTCATGGGTACGGACAGCAGGAGACAGGGTCATGGGAGCCACCCTAAGTCTGCCTCCTATGCCAAGGCCACATTTCCCTGCCAGAGCTTTAGGTGAGTGCAGTCCCAAGGCAGCAAGAGTGAGGGACAGAGGGAAGAGGGGACAGAAAGCAAGTGAAGGGGCAGGTTGACAAGCTGGTCTGGCTCTCTGCCTGGTCATGCAGGACTTCTTGGCTAGTCCATGAGGGAGGAGGGCAAAGAACCCCTTGTCTTCTGCCTCCTGTTGCACAAAGTTCATCTGAGGGGGATGGGGGTAAGTCCCTGCACCGTGAGGTTGTACCGCCAGCCTCTCACACAGCTGCAGTTTCCATGTCTGCTGTGGCAGAGAGCCTCCCTGGGTCCCACTGGCCAGGCAATAGTGTGGAGTTCACAGTTTCCCCCTCGCAGGTTCAGGGGTCCAGGCATGTCCTGGGTGCACCTGGCAGCCAGCAGTATCCAAGGGTGAGTTCATGGCTGTGCCTGATACAAGTGTCATCAATTTCAGTTCCTCACACCATAGATGTCCCCTCCTCATGACTGCAGGTGGTGCCTTGCCAGGGCCTCTAGGAGGGCAGCCTACATGGCCACCACCACACCAGCCCAGCCACCTCCCTTGTTCTGGGGAGGGTTCCTTGTGCAGCACCTCTCATGTCAGGGCCACAGGGCAGCGTGGAGTCCCTGTTAGCTCAGCACCAAGTGAGGGCCTGCTTGTGGTGAGGCCTAGTTCCTGCCTGTTAACAAGGAGAGGCAGGAAAAAGTGTCCTGGGAGTCCTTGCCCTAAGATGATCCACGCTCTGGGTTGAGTTCAGGTGGTGCCTGGGGAGGTGACTAAACAGAAGAGCCCAGCAGGCAGAGCAAATGGGAGTCTTGGGCCTGGGCAAAGGTCAGGGCTAGAAATGAAGATAGGGCAGTTAGGGGAGCCAGGGGTGGTGGTGAGTCCCCAGGGGAGAATGGGCACTGTGAGAGGAGATGAGAGCCCAGGGAGAGATACCTGTGTGAGAGACAGGAGGAAGAAGAGGCAGAGAGAAGGGTGGAGAGAGACCAATGGACCTGTGGCCAAGGGAAGTGAGACCCTGAAGGTGGTGCTCGCCCCTGGCCAGGGAAGAGGATCTGAGAAGGGACTGATGTTGGCCCATCTCTTGGGGCAAGTGGAGTGGACATTTGCCCTTTCTCTTAGGAAAGTCACATAGTTTTTTATATTTATTGTAGAGTCTCAACCTCCATGTGCCTCTTGGCAGGAGGAAGGGCCTGTCTCCATCAGAGTAGATAAACCAGGTAGCCTCCATCCTGAGACTTCAAATCGGGAGCAAGAAATATGGATAGGGTAGGGTGGCAGGGAGAAGGAGCTATGAATTCTGACAGCATTAGCAGTTACAAAAACACTGAATTCCTTAGAAGGGGCAGTGACATTAATGGTGGTGGCCATAGCAGCAAGATGCAGGCCCAGAGCTGTAGCTGCCACATCCAATGCCCTCCAGAACATCTCTGCAGTGCAAGATTGAGTATTATTCCCAGCTGCTCAGGTCTGAACCCAGCTTCCCCTTCTGGAAAATCTTTGGATGACTCAAGAGTCATCATCATAATTCCTCTTCCGTTTAGAATCCAACTTGGTTTCTGTTGCTTTCAGGTCAAAACTCTGACCACTAATGGAATTTGGTACCAGAAGAGTAGGAGTAACAAACTCTAAAATGTGGAACTGGTGAAAAGCAGAAAAACTGATCTTCCATTTGACTGAATTGTCACCTATTTAAGCCTGGGCTGCATACGACATGTCTGCTGAAGCTGTAGCTCTCAGGGAAACGAGGGTGGTTTCAAGGGGCTGTGAGTTGGCTGCTTCTAATGGCTTGCAGAAGGGCTTACAGAAAGGTGAGTGGCTTGTCTAGAAATGGCCCACATATGAGCAAAGGAGAAGACAAGAGACTCAGGAGCAGCAGCAGCTATGAATGGATTGAAAACCAAATCTGTTTTCCCAAGCCTCTGTCAAGCATCCTCTGCTAAATATAGAGACAATCCAGTTGGCAAAAATCAGGCTACAGGGAGCAGAGGGGCCAGTGGGCCCACGCCTAGGAGGCTGGCATGCCTACAGTCAAAGGTTATGTCTGGTCCAGATCTTTGGCTGAGGTCATTATCCCATGACATTGACTGGACACAGCAATCTAGATGTCTGCTGAGCTTTTAAAGCAACTGCATTGGCAAAGAAACCCTGTACGTGACTGGCATCCGTCTGCAGATGCTCAGCTCTTTAGTGCCGGGCTGAGGCACTGACAGGGCTGGGACGAGGGTGGAGCCAATAGGGGTTCACCTGGGCACAAATGTAAGGGGCCTCCAAGCACTCATCCCAAGAGGAACCATTTATTCATGTCACATCTTAAAAATCAAAATTAATGAAAAATATACGATGAACAAAATATCATGGTTTCAAACAACGAGGACCAGACAAATCAGGGACTGGGGTGAGGTTAGCGAGGGGAGCCGTGCTATGCAGGACCAGGGACTGGGGTGGGGTGAGCAAGGGGAGCCGTGCTATGCAGGACCAGATCTCATCTTTAGAAGGTTAGTATTTCCTTCATCACAGATTTTCTTTTGCATTTGGTTTTTCATAATTCTGCATCAAAATATTTAATTTGATCATTGAGGTTTTTTGGTACCCCTTAAATTCTGTGCCTGAGGCCAGGGACTGCCTCACTTAACCCTTGTCCTGGTGGGCATCAGAAGGAAGCAGCCAGGCAAGCTGTACCATGCCAGGGAAGGGCGGTCTCCACGCTGCTGCCTCAGAAGGTCCTGCAGCAGTGACGGTGGAGGAAAACCCCTCAGTCCAGCCCACAGCAAGTGAGGAGCACGCTATGGGCTTCTACACAGAAGCACACAGGGAGAGGACTCTTCCATGGGATATGGTCATGTGTGCACAGGCCCCCAGGATGGTGACAGCCCCTTGCAGCCACAAAGGCAGCCTGGCAGACACGGAGGATAGTGGAGCAGAGAGAGGGAAAGGGCCCCATCCTCCATGGCCTTTCTGAGCTGCTGAACTAGCCGGGACCACCTGCCCTGAGACTCAGCTGGCGACCTGGTTTTGAGGACAGTGGTGGTGGCCTCATCATTTGCACTGGAGTCCTCTGGAGGATGCGAGGCAGGGACAGCGCTCTCCTGGAATGGCCATTTCCTGACACGCTGGGAGCTGCCTTCATTTCTTCCACTTTTTCCAAGAATATTCCTCAGAGCTGGGCTTGGTGGCTCTCGCCTGTAATCCCAGCACTTTGGGAGGCCAAGGTGGGTGGAAGACTTGAGCTCAGGAGTTTGAGACCCGCCTGGCCAATATGGAAAGACTCCGTCTCTACAAAAATTAGCTGGGCATGGTGGCGTGGGAGGCTGAGATGGGAGGATCACTTGAGCCCAGGACATCAAGGCTGCAGTAAGCCATGATCGCTCCACTGCACTCCAGCCTGGACGACAGAGGACATCTTGTCTCAAAAAAGGAAAAAAACAAAAGAGAGAGAGAGACAGCATATTCCTCAGGCTTATGAATGTGCATAGCAATGGTTCAGGAGGCTGCAGGTGTCGGTTCAGAACAGCAGACTTTTACTGAGCACCACTGGGCTCTGGGCCACATAGGGTAATGGCCATAAAGTCAACAGGACGAGCTTTTCCCTGGGGAGGTTTCAGGGTGTTCTTGGTTGTCCCAGTGGTGGGATTTCACCTGGTAATTAGCATCCAGCGAAGCTGGGTGTCCCATAATGCATGGACAAACCCCCACAGGAAAGCCGCATTCCGCATTCTGCAAAGCTTCTCAAATACTGTGGGGTTTCTGAAGGGCATTTTTGTCAGAAAAGAAAAAAACAATTTAAAAAATATAAAATAAAATACAAATACCATGGGGCATTATTGTGCATGAAAATCCTATCAGTGGCTATCTAAACCTAGATCCTCACTTCACTATACAAACAAACAGTGAGGATTTTTATAGTTTTGAAATAAGCTGGATTTTCTAGGAATGCAACTGTGATAATGTGAAATATAGCTTTAGTCTTTACCCCTGCTTCCTGTCACACAGCTCCTAAAGCCCTTGAGTCTCTGGAGTGGTGAGAGTGTCTTGTGTGTGCTCATGAGATGGCTGGGGGCTGGGAGCCCCTAGGCAGCTACAGGACGGGGCTGGTCACCCAGAGACGCCAAGGCGTGATTAGAAGGTTAGGACTTTAAGCCCCACTCCCTGACTTCTGGGGAGGGGAGAGGGAGGAGGAGCTGAAAGTTGAGTTGACCGCCAACGGCCAATGAGGTAATCAATCAGGCCTACATAATGAAGCTTCCATAAACCCCCACAAGGACTGGGTTGGGGGAACTTCTGGAAAGCTGGAGACATGGAGGTGCCTGAAGGGAGGGCATGGAAGCTCTGTAGCTCTCCCCCCGCCTCACGCTATGCATCTCTTCATCTCTATCCTTCGCAGTATCCTTTATCATAAACCAGTAAACATCAGTGAAGTGTTTCCCTGGGTTCTGTGAGCTGCTCCAGTGAATTAATCAAACCCAAGGTGGGGACTCACAAGAACCCCAACTTACAGTCAGCTGGTCAGAAGCACAGGCCACACCTGGACTTGCGCTCAGAATCTGAAGTTGGGGCTGTCTTGTGGGACTGAGCCCTCACTGTGGGACCTGACTTTAGGTAGACAGCATCAGAATTGAATTGAATTGGAGGACACCCGGCTGGTGTCCACTGCAGAATTGCTTGATGTCACCCCCACACATCTGGCATCAGAAGTGTTACATTGAGTGGTGTGTGAGAATAGGAGAAATGCTTTGTTTTGTTTTTTCCCTCGTTATATCTATTAGCAATTCACATGTAAATTGAGGAAAGATAGAACCTGCTTATTTGGACACTTCATGAAAATCGTGTCACCTGGCCTGTGCTTGGCACTTGCATCTCAGATGCACCATGCCTGCACCATCTGCACCACTGGTTCTGCCAGTGTCTGCACACTGGCATATAGAGTTTAAAAAAATCGCAACTCACTTCCATTTTTCCTTTGTATTGTAGTTAGAATATTATATCGCCTTTTAAAGTGTATTTGTGTGATAGGTTAAATCATTTACTTCATTTCAGGATTACAATCTAGTATAGAAGTAAGAAACGTATAAAAATAATGTTTAAATCAAATCAATGATTATAACATTCAATAAAGTACCATTTCCTGAGTATCTATTGTATGCCAAAGACTGTGGCAGGCACCCACGCATCCTCTAGATCTTGTAAAAGTCCCAGGAATAGGAGGGATACCATTCCTCTTCAACAAGTGAGGAGACCAAGCCTCACAGAGCACACACTGGCTGCGGGGAAGCGAAGATCCATGATTGGGTAGGCTGGACCTCAACACTGGCTCTTTTTCCCCTGGAAGTTTGACCCTCCAAACACATTTACATGTGATACAACAAAGATGTATCTACCCAGTGCAGAAATCAGACAGGAGGATGGTTTAATTAGGATTTCTCTGAGCAAACATCCCTCCTCAATGACCTGTATGGTTTGTTGAGTAAGAACACCTGACCGTTAGGTTGTCACTGAAGCAGAAGCGGTAATACATCTTCCTGTGGGAAGTCCCACCACTAAGGCTCGCCAGGGTCCTAAAATCTTACAGCCCTTGCGAATAGAGTTTCCTTTTGGATGTTTTACCTCTTCTCCCTGAACAGCTCTACCAATATTTCCAGCCAAATTAAATGCCCTCCAACTCTCTCCTGCTGCATTCTTCCCTAGGAGATGTGGACAGTCAATGTGTTGGCCCCTCCAGACCCTTCTTCAGATAAACCTGTGCCCATGGGAGGCTGCAGTACCTCCCATTTTCCTGGGCCAGCTCTTTGAGACAAACATTGTTTTCCACAAAAGAATCCTATCCCTTTAATTTTTTTTTATATTGTACATTTCTTATGTCAATTTGATCATCATAATAAAATCATTTGGGGACAACTGACAATAACGAGAGTAGAAAAACTTCGGGAGTAATGAATCATCCTGAAATTGACTGTGGCAATACTTTGCTATTTTTCCTCAAATAGTATTTGTCTTGTAAAAATAAATTGTCTTAGTTTGAAAGGAAGGAATACACACAAAACTACCTTTATGATTGGGACATGTCAAAAGAGCCCCTGGAGACGTAAGTGAGCAAGAAACCACCTCAGAAACACACAACTGGTTCTTTTTGTTCTAGCACACATTTTGCAGCTGTATTGTATGGTGCAGGCATGGTTAGGATTGCTATATCTTCTTGGTGGAGTGATCTTTTTAACATTATATCATTATGTAATGTCACTCCCTGTCTCTGATATTTTCTTTACTCTGAAGTTTACTTTATCTGATATTTATACTGTGTATACAATATTGTGTTAATTCAGTCACTCCTGCTTTCTTTAGATTAATGTTTGCATGATATATCTTTCTCCATATGCTTATTTCAACCTACCTTCTCATTATATTTGCAGTGAATTTCTTGCACATGACATATATTGGTTTTTTTAAAAATCCATTCTCCCAATCTCTGCCTTTAATTGATGTGTGCATTAGTCTGTTCTCACACTGCTATGAAGAAATACCTAAGACTGGGTAATTTATAAAGAAAAGAGGTTTAATTGACTCACAGTTCTGCATGGCTGGGAAGGCCTCAGGAAACTTACAATCAGGGTGGAAGGCACGTCTTCACGGGGTGGCAGGAGAGAGAATGAGTGTCAGCAGGGGAAATGCCAGATGCTTATAAAACCATCAGATCTCGTGAGCACTCACTCACTATCACGAGAACAGCCTGGGGGAAACTGCCCCCTCGATTCAATTACCTCCCACCGGGTCCCTCCCACGAGGGATTATAGGGGTTACAATTCAAGATGAGATTTGAGTGGGGACACAGCCAAGCTATGTCAGTGTGTTTAGATCCTTTGCATTTATGTAGCTCTAAATATGGTAGGGCTTAAGTTGGCCATATTTTTTTTTCTCCCTTTTTAACTTTCTTTTTTTTTTTTTTCTGCTTTCCTGTGAGCTATGTAAACATTTTTTAGGATTCCATTTTTATTTATCTGTAGTGTTTTTGAGTGTGTCTCTTTGTATGGGTTTTTAAGTGGTTGCTCTAGGTACTGCATTATGTATACATAACTTATCACAGGCTACTGTTGTAGTCATTTTACCATTTGAGTAAAGTATAAAAACATTACCCCCCTTTGTCCCTCTGTCATACTCCGTTTATAATGTAATTGTCTTAAATAGC
The DNA here is from genome assembly GCF_000001405.40 of Homo sapiens. Classification (NCBI taxonomy): domain Eukaryota; kingdom Metazoa; phylum Chordata; class Mammalia; order Primates; family Hominidae; genus Homo; species Homo sapiens. Next base: position 3,845,717 of record NC_000004.12, read on the forward strand.
TCCTTCACATACATTGAGAACCACAGAGAGTGTTACAGTTTTTGCTTCAACCGTCAAGCATAATTTAGACAATTCAAGGGGAGGAGGAAAGCCTCAGGTTCACCGTGAGCACTGTGATGGCTGTGACATGAGCCACAGTCAACTGCTGCCTGTGTATGATGGAGCACACTGGTTTGTGAACCACAACCTCATTCTATGTATGGGAAACTGAGGTTCAGAGAGGCTGAGCCACTTGTCTGAGGTCACACAGCAAAATTGACTGCGTACTTCCTATGTGCCAGGCCCTGTGCTTGCCTCTGATGCTGTGAAAATGAATGAGGCCTGTCCCCCATCTGCCCAAGAAACACATTTTCTTCCCTCTGTCAGTCCTTCAAGTAAGGGGGCAAGGAAGCTAACATTTGGGGGTCCCAATATGTGCCAAGCAGTGGGCTGGGGCATTACAAGTGGTGGCTCATGTGACTCTGAGATTCCACCATGGCTGAAATGTGCTGGCATCTGCTCATCTTTCAAGTCTGTTTGTGGCTTTTCGCTGCTTGAACCTGCCAGCCTCAGGGCGCCCATGTGTGGAGGAGACCCTAAGTGGGACCCACTCTCACCTCTGCATGACAAGCATGCTCGGGAGCGAGGAAAATATATCAGAGAGCACGCTGGAAGGGCTGGTCATATGTGCCGATTTGGTTTGGCTGTGTCCCCACCCAAATCTCATCTTGAATTGCAGCTCCCACAATTCCCACATATTGCGGGAGGGACCGGGTGGGAGATAATTGAATCATGGGGGCGGTTTCGCCCATACTATTCTCATGGTAGTGAATAAGTCTCCTGAGATCTGATGGTTTTAGAAAGGGAAACCCCTCTCTCGACTCTCATACTCTCTTGCCTGCTGCCACGTAAGACGTGCCCTTCGCCTTGTGAGGCCTCCCCAGCCACATGGAACTGTGAGTCCATTAAACCTCTTTTTCCTTATAAATTACCCAGGCTAGGGTATGTCTTTACCAGCGGTGTAAAAACGGACTAATACACATGCCCACTGCAGGGGTGGGCTTCATGGCTTCTCATCTCTCTCAGCCAGCTATTTCCGTGATGCTTAGAAATTGTCCCAATTAGGATGAACTGAGCTCAGCAAACTCTAGGAAACTCCTAAACTAATTTGAAGCCTGTAAAGTGAATCCGGTGGGATGCCTGTAACTTAGTTGATTAAGGAAGAAAATATCCTTCAGGTCTCCTTGGCCCTAAGAGGATATACACAGATCTTCTCAAATGAGTTCTCTTGGAGAGAAAACGTGATTCACAAAAATGATTTCAACACTTGTGGGGAGAACCAGGCACGAAGGAAGATGTGATGAAGTTTGTATAACTTGAGAGAGAGGAGTAGAGCTGTTATTGGTCCTAAACATAGATGAGATTTTCCTAAAACTGGTTAGAGAATCCCCAAAATGGCTGACACTCTCCGAGGACTGTCTTTAGGGCCCTGCAAAAGACATGTTCTTTGAATTCAAAAAGAAGATTTAAGCAGATGCAAGGGTCCATGGCTGAAGGATGATAGCAGAAAAGCAGAATGTCACCTGAGTCTCAGCTTTGGCTCAATGTGGTACAATACACATCCTTTGGCCCTTGCAATGCCTGCCTGCAGCAATTCAGTGCTTGTTGATTAGAAGGCTTTCCAGACGGGAGAGGCCCTGGTTTAAGCCCCTTATCTGGAAGGGGGTAATAAGTTTCAGTCTCTCATTAACCTCACAACAGAACCAAGTATCTCCTGTAAGCTGAGCCCTTTGCTTGTTACCAGGGTTGGTGATGTAGTGCCTACAGCTCAGTGGGAATGACAGATGGGGGTCATGGTGGGATCACAGTATTGTCATGGAATCCTTGGGGTGTAACTTTGCCAGCCTCTGTGGAAACCTCTGTGGTTGGTGGTACCTTCTGCTGCTGCTGCCTCTGCTCCTGCTACCGGCCCGGATCCCACGCCTGCCAATGGTGAGCCAGGCACAGAGTGGTGAGGGATGTGTGAGCGAGCGCAGAGCCATGTCCAGCCACTGCACACAGCCAGGCATGCCGACTGCTGCGGCGGGGTGGGCAGCTCCAGTGCCAACACAGGTGCTGGCTCCCTGAGAGGATGTGGCTGGACCAGATGTATCACTCTTGGCTTCCGCTGTGGACACCTGTGTCTGGACAAGGGAAACGCAGTGGTGCTGGAAGGTTGGAGACACCAGGAACCACAGAGCCCCAAAGAGGGTGTCACAGCCCTGGCCTGGGCTCCCTGAAGGGCCACAGCTCTTCTCTCCTCATCGCCCATGATGTGGACAGTTGGTGGCGGGGGGCATGTTTCAGTCCTGTTTGTGTTACAGCTCTTTCAGTCTCACCATTTGGCAGGTCCTGAGTTCTTGTCCTGTGTCCAGGAAGATACATGGAAAACTTGAGGGTGAGCAAGGCAGAGAGGAGTTTCATTAAGTGACAGAAGAGCTCTCAGGAGACCCCAGGTGAGTAGTTCCTTCCCACAGCTAGTAGTCCCAATGTCTGTGTGAGTCTGTCTGAGTCCTGGGTTTTTATGGGCTCAGAAGGGAGCAAGTGTGTGCTGATTGGTCCATGGGCAGCCATGGGTGGGCCCAGAAAAAATACAAGTTCTCACTCTGAGGGGCAGACTCTACCCAGAACTGACAGCCCAGCCCCCAGGTTTCAGGCCAGCCCTGGCTTGGAGATGGGGCTTCACCAGGGACCCACCCCTTTCCACCCAGGAGCCTGTCTGCCTTCAGCCACCATCAACCGGTCATCCACGGCACCAGGCTGTTTGTGCCGGGGGGCACCTGCAGGCCTGCGATGAGCCACCCTCAGTCCCCGCTTGACCTCCCTCTTGTGCTAGTCAGTGCCCAAGGTCCAGAAGGGGCTGAGGTGGCAAGGGGCTGGCATGGTCAGTTCTGCCCCCAGGGTAGGCACACCTGGCTGGATTGTGACAGGGCCCAGGCTCAGCCACAACTTTGCTCTGAAATTGGAGTGGATGCCAGGAACAGGGAGAGGCCAGGGAGCAGGAGCAGATACTTCCAAGCCTGTGGGCTTATGGGGGTTTTCCCGGGCCACTGACAGCACAGAGATGCCCCAGTCTGGAGCTGTGGATGGGCAGCTGCAGCTGTGCCTGGGAACATGGGGCTCCCGCTCCTTTAACTTGGTAGGGGGCGGGGCTCCCACCTGTTCCTGGCCCCCGCCAGCTCCACGCAGCCTGCAGCCATGGCTGCACCTCACCCACTGCAGCTGGAGACCCTCTGCTCCAGACAGGCTGCTACCACCATCAGTATCAGCCACCTGCTATTGTGTCCCCCAAATTCATATGTTACAGCCCTCACCTCCAGTGCACCGGTATTTGAAGGTGGGGCCTTCGGGAAGTGACTGGGTCCTGAGGGTGGTGCTGCCCTCAGGGGTGGGTTTAGTGCCTTGGAAGAATTGGAAGAGAGGGTAGAGCTCACCAGCCTCCTGGGTGAGCCCCATGCCCCTCCCCATGGCCTCCAGCCCTGCAGGGTGGCCTTGGCCACCCTTCTTCAGTCTCTCCCATCTCTCTGGGCCCAGCTGTTCTGATTTCCCTCCTTTAATGACCACAGCCCTCCTGCCACATGTCCCTTCCATGTGCTCTTCCCTGACTCAAATGTGCTTCTCTCCTCCCACCCTAGCCTTGTCCTCCAGGTAAAGGATGCTCCTAAATTCTAGCAGCAACCTCCCAACTGCCTTCTTCTGCTTCCACTTCTGTGCCACCAAATGTTCTCTCCAAAGCACACTGACTACTGAAGATTCAACCATTCCCTTTTCTGCATAGAGAGTAAAGCCCTTCACAATCAACTTGTCACCTGAGGTGGGCCATGCTCCCAGTACTAACACCATTGGCAGTTCCCTCTTGTGTCAAATCTGAGCTGGCCCTATGATGTGATGGTGGTGTTAATCCATTTCGCATTGCTATAAAAGAGTGTCTGTAACTGGATATTTTATAAAGAAAAGAGGTTTATTTGGCTGACAGTTCTGTGGGCTGTACAAGCATGGTGCTGGCATCTGCTCAGGTTCTGGTGAGGCCTCAGGAACTTAAAATCATGGCAGAAGGCAAAGGGTGAGCCGGTGTGTCACATGTGAGAGGGAGCAAGAGAGAGTAGCGGGAGATGGCAGACTCCTTTAAACAACTGGCTCTCGCATGAAAAGAATGAGAAATCACTCATTACTGTGGGGAGGGCACCAAGCCATTCATGAAGAATCCACCCTCATGATTCAAACACCTTCCCACCAGGCCCCACCTCCAATATTGGGGATCACGTTTTAACATGAGATTTGGAGGGGACAAATATCCAATCCATATCACTGGTGGAAAAGAGAGGAAGCAACACTGCACCAGCTCTGAGACCAAGCCTTAAGAAAGCATGACACATCCACTCCTGGGAGCTGGGAGGTAGCAGGTAAGAAGTCCTGCTGGAGAGACCACATGGAGAGAGGGGAGGCCCCTTTGTTACCTCAGAGCCCAGGCTACCAGCTGTTCCTACCAAGGCCCCAGACATTAAGTGAAGCCATCTTGGGTGTTCCAGCCTGTGCTGCCCACTGACTGTAGCCCCATGAGAGACCTCAACTGCAAAGACAGAAGAGCCACCCAGCTGAGCCTAGTCAAACCACAGACTCATCAGCCACTGTTGCTTTATGCCACTGAGTTTTAGTGGGGCTTGTTGCACAGCAATAGATAAGCAGAATGGGATGGAAGCCTGTTGTACCGTGGACATCTCCTTCTTCTCCTCCCCTCCCCTGGCCTTGGGCCAGATAAGCCAAACCTCAGCCCAGGCTTCTTGTGAGCTGCTCATGCCCTGTGTCTAGGCCTAGGCCATCCCAAGCTCCTGCTGCCCTCTGGCAGGAGCCTCTGCTTTTTTGGGGAGCCATGCTGCTCCCTTACTCTTGTCCCTGCTTTCTCCCCAACTCCTCTCTGCAGGAGAGTGGTGACTTTCCTGGAGGTGAGGGTGGGGTCAGGGGAACCAAGAACACCCATCCCTGGCCCTGCTGGGTCTTTACTCCTGGATCCTGCTTCTACACAGGAAAACACACTCGGTCTATGTCCCGGGGCCACGCATGCAACCCTCACCCCACACATGAACTGTGCAAAGCCCCATCCATACGTCAAAGCCCATATCATTTGCTAATTGATTCATTAATTCATTGATGTATTTATTGATTCAGTGATCACCCAACATTCCCGGAGCATTCTCTGCAGATGGCCTGTGCAGGGCTTGGATCTGACTGATCTCTGGGTCACCCACCCATCATGGAGCCTGGTACACAGCTGGCACTTGATGAATGCCAACTGTAGACTAAAGGAGGAATGTATTCTGGTGCCAGCTGGGTGCAGTGTTGCATTCAAGCTTCCTTGTGCCCACCAGAGTGTGTCCATGCCTCCCACAACTGCCTGACCCAGGGGTCTGCTCCCTGGAGGCCAGTACCCTCTCCTAGGCCAAGGCCACCCCTTCCCTCTGAGGCCTAAATCAGCTCGGACCTAACATCTGCCAGTTGGTGACCTTGGGTGGATACTTACCCTCTTTGAGACTCAGTTTCCTCATCTGTAAAATGAGGGTACAGATAAACTCTGTCTGTTTCAGAAAGGACTGAGCCAAGGAGCCCGCCTCATCAGACATCTGTGCGAGACTAGAGCAGCCAATGACTCATTTGCATAACAAGCCCTGCGGGCAATTAAATGCTTCCCAGCTGCTGGGAGGCTGCAGAGGCCAGGTCTTCAGGGCTCCTTCATCTCTTCGCATTGTTTGTTTGTGTCTGGGCTGCTGGGAACAGGAGAGGCGCGGCTATAATGGTGCTCTGAGTGCATTTGAGAGGAAGGAGAAGATGTCTGGCTGCATGCCTTTATCTAAAGTTGACCTTGACCATCTTCTTTTCAGTTGCTTTCTCCAGAGCCCTAGGCAGCCCCAAGCTACACCCTCTCCTGCAGAAGCTCTCCCAGCAGGCACTGGGTCCCCTCTTTCCTGTGTGGAGAGGGATATGGGGGCAGGAGAAGCCTTTAGCTCGTTCTCTTTTGTCTTTAGAAGAGGAGGGCACTGCCTGTGAACATTGTGAGAGACCAAAAATGACAGGGAAGGAGATGAAACTAAACTGAAGGAGACTAAAGAGAGATGACAATGACATGTAATGCGTGGTCCTCATTAAGTACTGATTTAAACAAACAGGTTAATTCTATCTAAAAGATATAATTTGGAATAACTGGGGAAATTGGAACGTGGATGAATATTAGATCATTGCTGTCTTAGCTGAGGCTGCCATGATGGAATAGCAGGGCTGGGACTTCAGCAGCAGACACCTAGTTCTCCGGGTCTGAGGCGGGACGTCTGAGATGAGGCCAGCTGCCAGCCGGGCTGGGTTCCAGCAAGGGCTGTCTTCCAGGCTTCCAAACCACCCAGTCCTCGCTAATGGAAAGAGAGAGAGAGCTCTGGTCTCGTTCTCTTCCTGTAAGGGCACTAATCCCATCATGGGACCCACCCTCACGCCCTGGTCTAAGCCTAATCACCTCCAAAGACGCCCCCTTCTGATACCATCACACTGGGCGGCAGGACTTCAACATATGAATTCAACACATTCAATCCATAACAATTACAGAGAATTGAGAAGAAAAGTGAAATCCTAAGCCTCCCAACCATCTGAGCAGACCCCTCTTGGCCAATGGGACCCTAGAGAAACCTTGGGAGATGAGTTCCCACCCACAGCAGGACAGGAGGTTGGACCTGCCTCGTCATATGCCTCCCTCCCTCATTAACTGCCACCGGGCTGCCTCCCTGAGGGCGGCAGAGAAACCAGCTCTTCCAAAAGACTCTGCCCTGCTTACAACCAATGCTTGACCTGCCCCCACCCCGCCCCGCCCCGCCCCGCCCCGCCCCGCACCCCTTACAGGTTTGACACAGCAACTCACCTGAGTTCCTTCCTGATAGGAGAGAGACCACGGATCACAGAGAGTTTCTGGTCAGTCTGCAGGGGATGCACGGTGAGGGTTTTTGTGTCCTTCGCTTCACCTTTTCACATCAGAGGGTAGAAAAGTCCACCCTCAGATCATGCTGCCATGTCTTGAGCATGGGTCCCATGGAGAGGTAGGAAGCTCAAGTGCACACGCATACATTTCTCCTCTCATAAATATTCATGACTCCTCCTGTAGTTCACTGAATATGCATATTTGGCCACCCTACTCACCATAACCCCTTGTCTAATTCTTCCCATTCTCGAAATGTCTGTTTCCTGCTTCTGACCTGAGGCTATGCTTCCCAGCCTGTCAGAATGGCTGCCCAGCAGGCTGCTACCATTTTTATGAGAAACAAAGCTCTCCTTTCCAAACTTAGGAGCCTAACCATTCTTCAGTTGACAGTATCAATGTTAAATTTGTCAGGTATGGGATTTTTCAGAAAACTGAAATAGAAATTTTCAGGTTAGTGGGGTTAGGTAGGAGAGTGTCCTGGGCTTTAGTGGATACTTACAGGAAACTCACTTTCAAAATGTATATGGACAGGTAGAAAGCCATGTAGCAACATGTTGACCATCCGTGAATTGGGGAGAAGAGTAGATAGCATTTATTCTATAGGTTTGAAATTTTTCAAAAGAACAAGTCAGATAGAAAGAAGTAGGGCTCTACCTGGAGTTAGATTATGAGTTGGTTAATTCTCCCATCACCCCCAGGGCCTATGTGTAACAGAGCCCATCACCCACTTTTCTCCCCGATCAGAGTATCTGGGGCTGTCCAAGGGTACAGGACCCTGCAGAGAGCAGGGCTCAGGCAGGGAAAGTGGGAAAGAGACACTGGAGGACCTGAACTGGAGGCCAGCATGGATTAAGCTGGGTTGATCCGGCTCAGGGACAGGCAGAAGTGGCCCCCTGCGACTCTCTCTCCCGCAGGCCAACCTACGGCTTATCCCAGCCCAGGCCAGCAGATCCCTGCAGACTCAGGGGCTGAGTGAAGGCATATTTATGCTCCTGGGATTCAGGGCTGTTTGTTAGGCAGAATTATCATGCCTGTAGGTAACTGGTACAGAGTCCCCTCTGCTACCCAGATCATAGACACTGCCACAGAGCCCCACTTGCCCACCCAGGGCAGGAACTTGGTGGGGGAGGTCTAGTGCCCTGCCCGGCCCCCAGCCCCTCAGCACCTGCCTCCTTCACACGGCTCCTCACTCACCATGCCTCCTGCTGATGTTTACTGAGCACCTGCTCTGTGCCGCACATGCCCAGTGCCAGCACTGTTCTCCACACAATCACACTCCACGCCTATTGGTCCTGGGAGGGCTGGTGTATCATCTCCTGAGTGACACAGCAGACGGACAGAGGTGTGGGGCATCTGTTTCTCTGTAGGAATGCCATTCTTTCTCCCAACAGCAATGATGATCAGGAGTGGACGAGGTCTCATAAGCCCTCCTGCCTCTCAGCCTCAAAGGGCACCCGGGACTAGCACAACACTGAAGGGCGGCTCACGCCACAGCACAGGCTCCCCTGTAGGGAACTGTCGAGGGTGTCTGTGCCTTCTGTATGCCTAGCCATGCACGCATCTCTCTTTGTAGAGATCTGAGCATTTGGAAAGATTAGAAATCACAAACTAAAATAGCTAGGGCAGGCATTTCTAGGGGGTGGGGTTACAGGTGACTTTTATTTGCTTTCTCATAGTTATGTGTGTTTCCAGTATTCTCTGCAATGAACATGGTATCTTCTAAATCAGAAACAAAACGATGGTTTTATAGAGAGCAGGGAGGGAGACTATGCATGGTGCTCCAGCCTGGGGGTGGTGGGGCTGTCTGGGGAGGACAGCACCAAGACATTCTGTCCTTGAGTCAGGCTTCTGGCCACGGCACCCCAAGTTTAGGGAGAAGAGGAGCTTTGGGGAAGAACCCCGAGGGTCGAGGCTTCAGTCCTGGCTCTCGCCTGCCCAGATTGGGAGCTGGGGCAGGGCCCATGGGTCCTCAGCCTTGGATCCCCCTCTGTAAGATGAGGGGCTCATCCCGCCCTGCACAGACCGCCAAGGGGTCCTGATCACCCACAGAGGTGTCAGGGAGTCCTGATCACCCACGGAGGTGCCAGGGGATGCTGATCACCCACAGAGGTGTGGCCCCCACACCTCATTTCAGGAGCAGCAGGAGCCAGCACCAGTCGCTATGGGCTTTGTGTCCAAGCACTGCTGCTAGCATGCAGGAGGGAAGCTGGTCTCACCCGTCCACCAGCCTGGCTTGGGTTGCACAGACAGCCCGGCACTTATTGCTAAGAGACAGCAGGTCAGCGCTTCCCAGGGTTGTGCTGTGGTGTTGGAGGGAGTTAATGAGATAAATAAAATAAACACCAAAATAGAAATGTGTGCCCAGTCGGGAACCAGAGAGAAGTGGGTTCTGTCGGTGCTGAGCGCTCGCTGCTGGATCTGGCAGGCTGCGAGGCTCCCGTGCGTCTGCAGGCTTGCATTTGAATCATGCATGATTGTAGGTAGGCTGGGCTGCTCCTCAGGCACTGGATCGGGGGAGAGACCAAATACCCCGTGTTTTATTCTGTTCCTCCACAATGTGCTTACTTGCTCCCTCTGCCAGAGAGGAAGGGACCTCAGTGAGTATTTGGCCTCACCTCCTGTGAGTTTCACCATCTGTAGATGGGGAAACTGAGGCCCAGGGAGCTGGTGAGATTCTTCCCTGAACGGTGGACAGGGTCAAGTGAACAGCCGGTGCTGGAGTCAGGTGGAGCTGGTTTGAATCCCAATCCAGCCACTTCTCAGCGATGTGATCTTGACCTAGCCCAGATGATAAATCACACAATGGCTCTGAAGCCTGGATTTGAAGTTAGAATCAATGAAACGCCACCAACGCCCAACGCCCAACGCCCAGCCCTGGGGGTGCAAGGTGGGTGCACACAATTCTTTACCACCTTTTCTAGGTCACAGAGCCTCAGGGCCCTGACCCTCCCCCCTGGCAGGCCCTCCTGCCTGGCCCCTCACTCACCTTCCTCCTTCAGGAGTCCTTAGTGGTCTCTGAAAGGGACATTTTCCAAAGGGGCTCCTGCACTCTCAAAGCAGCTCATTGCCAAACATGAGTGCCCATTCACTGAGTGCCCTCCCGTTCGAGGGGTGCTCAGACCCCAGCGCCTGGACCCTTTCCCACCTCCACTCCCGTCCACCGGCCTCCCAGGAGTTCCCCCACAGACCAGTCACGTGCCGCTTTCTCAAGACCTTTGCACCTGCACTTCTGCTGCCCCCAGCATCTCCATGATGCCCTTGCTCTCGGCCTTCAACTGTTGCCCTGGCAGGGCCATCTCCCAGTGTTCCAGCGCCCACACTTCCCAGCCCAACCCCTGCCTGGGAACTCACATTGCCCACTGTGTCCCCGCTCTCAGGGTGTCCACTGTCCCATGGGGCAGGCTGCCTCGCCTGTTTTGTTCACTGCTGTCTCTCAAGTGTCTAGAACAACATCAGCGCATTGTAAGTGCTCGATAAACAGTCTCCCTTTTGGAAAAAATATGGACACGGACGAAGGCAAATATAAGGAGTGGAGCATGGTGTGTGAGCTGAGCCCGGGCAGCTGCCCTGCATCTGCAAACACCAAGAGGGACTCGGAAGCAGAGGATGATCATCAGCCATGGGGACCTGAAAACACCCATGTTCTAGCAAAATTAAAACAACATGGGACAGAGTTTTAGAATCAAAGGACAACAAGTATCACCCCAGGCACTTATTGCAGGAGTGAGGCAGCTGGGTGCCTGGGTTCAAAGCCCAGCTCGCCATGTCCTGTCTGCAGGACCCAGGCAAGTTGTTTGGAGTGTTTGTGCCTTTGCTTCCTCATCTGTGATGGGCGTGATAATCCTCTCCTTTTCAGGGCTGCCATGGGGGCAGAGCCAGGTATGTGTGAAAGGCCCAGGCCACCATCATTGCTCGCCCTTGAGACAGGGAGCCCCTGAAGGCTGGGAGCCCATCTGAGTCCTCTGTCCATGCACATGGCTCTAGGGAGCTGGGCTGGACCCTTCGCCTTCCCTAAAGCAGCACAGCCTCAGCCGGAGTTCATGGTGAGGCTGTCCCTTCCAAAGCCAGCTCCTGATTCTCCCCCCGACATGCCTCAGCTCCTCCTCCCCAGTGCCTGGGTCTTGGGACTCAAGGAAAGAGAGGTGGGAAGTCTGGGGCCACCAGGCCTGCCCCCATCACAGCTGCTGCTCTGCAAGGACTTCCAGGAGAGCAGCAGCCCCGCAGCAGGTCAGTCCTGCTGGATCCGTCTCCTCTGGGAGGTGCAGCAGAGGTAGAAGGGCAGCAGCTGGGGTCCCCTTCCTGAGAGGCCCACAGCTCTCCCAGGCAGGCTCCTTCTGAGTGTCTTCCTTTGACCCTCTCCAGCTGAGAGGCAGTTGGTCACCAAGCAGGTGCAAGGCCAGGAGAGGCCACCGGGCAGGGCTATGACCAGAGGGTAACGTCTATCCAAGTCATCTGCCAAGTTGGGGCAAGGTTTTTCTCAAGTGGAAGAGGGATGAAGGATCAGTGCGCACTCCCCTGCTGCTCCCAGCCCCCCTTGCAGAATGGATGGCTATGTGCCTGTGGGGGTGCCTTCCTGGATGAGTATAAAAATAGACTGGAGAAGGAGCTTCAGGGGTGCAGGGTGCAGAGCTGTAGGCATGCAGGGTGCAGGGTGCAGGGCTACCACTGTATACTAGGCACAGGATAAATACTGGGGCTCCATCTTGAGGGATACATTCACCTGGCGCCTGGTGCAGGGTGCAGAGCTGTAGGTATGCAGGGTGCAGAGTGCAGGGCTACCACGCAGGGGTGCAGGGTGCAGAGCTGTATGCATGCAGGGTGCAGGGTTATGGCGCAGGGGTGCAGGGTGCCGGGGTTCAGGGTGCAGAGCTGAAGTAGTGCTGGGTGCAAGGGTGCCAAGATGCAGGGGTGCAGGATGCAGAGCTGCAGGGGTGCAGAGATGCAGGAGTGCAGGGGTGCAGGGACTGCAAACTGACAGCCCCATGTCCCTCCTACTCTTCACCTCTGTCCTCTTGGTTTGCTGAGCATCTTGGGAGACAGATCTTGGTGCCGTCTGCTTGGGCTAGTGATGTCATTTCCCTGAGACTCAGCTTCTTGCTGTAAAAGCGGTGATTGCAGAGTGTGGCTCCGGGGCTGTCAGCATTGTGTGTGGTTGTAATTAGGTATTGATTCAGTAATTTGGGGAATTAATTAATTAAATCGGCGTGGCCTCAGTGTAGCAAAAATTAGAGGATGGAGGGTGGAGAGAGACTCAACAGCTGTCTGCTTTTCATGGGACAGCTCAGGGGTGGCAGAGAGCCCCCAGCCTCAGGCACTGCACAATTCCCATGCCTCTGCATCAGTGCTGTGCTCCTGTGTGACAGGCCAGCCCTCGGTGTGTCTGCACCACCATCTCCCTGACTCTCTCAGCCCCCTGGTTCCCTCACTCCCACCCAGTACAGTGTTTCCTCCACCCCATGCCTGTGCATATGCTGTTCTGCCTGCTGTTCCAGTCCTACAGCTCCTTCCTGAACAGTGCCACCTCCAGGAAGCCCTCCTGGCTGCTGCCTCTTTTCACTGTTTTCCTCCATTACAGCCTTTTCTGAAGGTACCTTCTTGTTTGCATTGTATGGCTCCCTCCACCTGCTGACCCAGGAGAGGCTCAGTTGCAGGTGAATTTCCACAACAGGACTAGGAAGGCTCCATCCCCCACAGCTTCACATCTGCACCTGCCTCAACAGAGACCAGTGCTAGAGCAAGAGAGGCTCGGGGAGCCCAGAGAGAGCCCTGCGATGCTAGACTGGGGGTCTGGACTGCCCCAGCTGTGCAGCCAGTGGCCAGCAGTTAACACACAGCCAGTACCAGGTGAGTGAAGGGAGCAGTTTGCAGCCACCTGCACTGTGTGTGCTCCAGCACTGTCTGGGCCCGAGGCATTCCTGGGGCTGCTTAGGGGATGCATCCACCTGGCGCCTGCTGTATACTAAGCACAGGCTAAACACTGGGGCTCAGTCTTGAGGGATACATTCACCTGGCGCCTGCTGTATACCAGGCACAGCTAAGCACTGGGGCTCAGACTTGAGAAATACATCCACCTGGGTGCCTGCTGTATGCTATGCACGAGCTAAGCACTGGGGTTCAGTGTTGAGGGATACATTTACCTGGCACCTGCTGTATACTAGGCACGGGCTGAGCACTGGGGGTCACTGTTGAGGGATAGATCCACCCAGCGCCTGCTGTATACTAGACATGGGCTAGCCACTGGAGCTCAGGCTTCAGAGATACATCCACCCGGTACCTGCTGTACATTAGGCATGGGCTTGAGGGATGTACACTAGAGCCCTAGGCAGGTGCACTAGGGCTGAGGCTTGAGGGATACATCCACCTGGCACCTGCTGTATACTAGACATGAGCTAAGCACTGGGGCTCAGTCTTTAGGGATACATCCAGACGGTGCCTGCTGTATACTAGGCACAGGCTAAGCACTGGGGCTCAGTGTTGAGAGATACATCCACCTGGCGCCTGCTGTATACTAGGGATGGGCTAAGTACTAGGGCTTAGTCTTGAGGGATACATTTACCTGGCACCTGCTATATACCAGGCACAGTCTAAACACTGCGGCTCAGGCTTGAGTGATATATTTACCTGGCTTCTAGGCACGGGCTAAGCACTGGGGCTCAGTTTTTAGGGACACATTTACCTGGCGCCTGCTGTATACTAGGCACGGTCTAAGTACTGGGGCTCAGGCTTGAGGAATACATTTACCTGGTGCCTGCTGTATACTTGGCATGTGCTAAGTACTGGGGCTCAGTCTTGACGGATACATCCTCCTGGCGCCTGCTGTATACTAGGCACAGGCTAAGCACTGGGGCTCAGTCTTGAGGAATACATTTACCTGGTGCCTGCTGTATACTGGCCACAGGCTAAACACTGGGGCTCAGTCTTGAGGAATACATTTACCTGGTGCCTGCTGTATACTGGCCACAGGCTAAACACTGGGGCTCAGTGTAGAGGGATGCATCCACCTGGCACCTGCTGTATACTAGGCATATGCTAAGCATCGGGGCTCCGTCTTCTGAGCTGACAAGGCTGAGCGCCTGGTATGTGCTGAGCACTGGGCCGCTGCGTTTACCCACTGGGGTGAGCGGGTGAAGCAGCTGGAGCCCCTCTGTGTGGCAGTGGCCGGTTCCTAGCACCATCACCCATGTTCAGCTAGAGGTCTAAGAGCAAGCTGGTAATGCCCTTTCTTGCGCTATTATTCAATATGCCTCATCCCCAATTTCACACACAAACACCTTGGGGTGGAGTTGGCCCTGGCTTCTAGAAAGAGCTCCTGGCGAAAGCACGAGGTCAGCTCCCCTTCCCCCCATAGCTCCCCGCACCCCCAGAGCGTGGAGGCTGGGTCCTGCCTGATTCTCCGGGTTGCATGCTCCTCCCTGGCATTGCTGAGTGCCCAGCACTGTGCTCCAGGGACCTGCCTGGGGAGGGGAAGCCCTTCTCATTCATTCACCCCACAGGGCGTGACTGTGCGCTGGCCACACAGACAGATAGCGCCAGCTGGCCTCGGGACGCCCACAGGTCCCTGGAGCCAGTGACTGAGGACTGTGGTCCATCAGCAGGCATAGTCAGGCTGTGTCTTCAAACTAAATCCAGACGCTGACCGGTTCCGTCACCTGCACCGCCGCCTCCCTGGCTCACACCCGCGTCCTCTCCACTCTGGGATGCTGCCAGTCTCCTGCGGCAGTTTTAAAAGGTGGCTGTGCATGTCTTGCAGCTCCTCCTTGACAGGTGTGGTCGAATCCCCTTCCCCTTGAATCTGAGCCGGCCTTGAAGCCTGGCTTGGAACCAGTCGCCAGTCGCATGTAGCTGGAGAGCAGCTGTGTGACGTTCAGGGCTAGGTCCGAAGACGCCTGGCAGCTGCTGTGTTGGTCTTTGGGAACATGGAGCGCCCAGGCTCCTTCCTGCAATGCTGCCCCCAGACCTCGAGCTGTGAGAAGCTCCAGCCCCAGGCAGAGGCCCATGGTGGGTGCTCCCGTTCTCGGCCCCACGAACTTCCCATCTGATGAGCAGGAGAGCTGCCCGCCACGTGACTGTGCCACTGTGGACATCAAGCTCAGACGAGACTTCAGATGACCACAACCCCACTGGACACCTGGCTGGAACCGCGGGAGGGACCCCAAGCAAGAACCGGCCCCTCGAGCCTTTCCCGAACTCTTGACCCACAAAACAGCGACCCACTAAAAAAGATGGGTGATTCTCAACCACTGTGCGTTGAGGAGTCACAGCAGACCAGCCTCCCTGTGTCCAACCCGGAGCCCCTGCCGGCTATTTAACCCTGAAACCGGGGGGCAGCCACTGTTTAATCCTGAAGCTGGGGGGCAGCCACTGTGTAACCCCAAAGCCAGCAGGGCGGCCACTGTGCTTCGAGGAGTCGCAACAGACCAGCCTTCCTGTGTCCACGCTGGAGACCCTGCCGGCTGTTTAACCTCGAAGCCAGGGGAGTCCTGTGAATCCTGTACAACGTCCGTGGGATTGCACCTCCTCCGTTGAAGACCCAACACTGGACTTGTCTCACGCAGAATAAAGCCGAAATCCCCACCATAGCCTGGGGTCAACAGGGGCTGCCACCCCACCCCGAAGGGCTCAGGTCCCTCCCTCTGCTGTGTGGGGGTGGAGGGGAGAGGTGGAGGCTGTGCTCACGGGGAGCCCAATCAGAAGGACTCCGCATCTTGAGGCTAGAAGCGGGCGACGGCGAGGGAGGCCCCAGCATGGTGCCTGGGCCTTGGATTTGGGACCCGGGGTTGGGGTGACCCATTTGCCGAGTGCCCCTTGAGGTGACAGCATCATCGAGGGAGGTTTCTTTTGGGACAAGAAGGTGAGGGGGTCGAGGATCCTGGGGACGTAGCCAGTGATGGAGGACGGACCCCAGAGGCCTCAAGAAGGCTTTGGAGAGCAGGGGATGAGACAGGTGGGGACCCAGAGAGTCCTGGGACCAAAAAGGGGTGAAGAGGGGCGGAGCATGGGTTCCAACAGTGATGAAGGCCTCAGGGAGAGGAGTCCAGGGAGCTCGGTGTGGACGTGGCAGGTGGCAGGGCCAGCTGTGTGGTGGGAGGAGCAGGCTTCCCTCTGACCTTGTTGGAGTTTGTTATGAGCGTGCACACTCTCACACACTCACACATGCACACTCTCTTACACACACACTTACACTCACACCCACACTTACACTCATACACATGCACTCACTTTTACACACGCAAACTCTTACATACACAGTCTTACACACATTTACACACATACATCCTTATGCACTTACATATACACACACAGCCTTACACTTTCACATACAATCTTACAGTTACACTCACACACACATACACATTTTTACACACATACACATTCTTACATTCACACACAAATACACACTCTTACACTCATGCTAAGTCTTACACACACTCTTACATGCTTACACTCACATGCTTACACACATACTATTACAGTCACACATACACTTACATTCACATGTGCACACTCTTATGCACACTCATACTGACGCACACACATCCTTACACTCACAGTCACAAATACACACTCTTTCACATCTACGCTCTTACTCTGTCACACTCTTACACACACATTCTTAACACTCACATGCATGCAGTCACTAAACCCAGAAAGACTGCTGGTCAGTTGCCCCAGGGCTCCGGTGGCTGCTGAGTTGGGGCTCCGACCTCAGGCCCCTGCCACTATGCCACACATTCTCCTGCGGGTCAGAGGCCCTTGTCTGATCCACAGTGGATGGAGTTTCCTCTGGACAGCTGCCCACCCAGCGTCCCTCCTCTTTCTGCCCCCACTGCTGCCCGTGCACCCCTCAGTGTCAAAGCAGACACAGAGCTGGCTCAAGAAATCCTGGCTATTCCCGACCCCGACAGCTCCAGTGACCACCACTCACTCATGGCTTCCTTTTCAAGGGCTCGGAGCTAATGCGCATTGCGGGGCTGGGCCATCGCCTCCTCCCCCAGTGTTGCTCCCATTTCCCAGAGGAGGAGGCGGGTTGGGCGGAGCTGCTGCCTGCCTGGGTCCGCCCACTCACCCCACCTGCCTCGGCCAGTGCACCTCTCTGGCCCTCCGATGGTTGATTGCTGGGCCATTGTTCCGAGGGGGAAACATCTTCGCGTTTCATTTCCTCTCCATTGTAGGAGGACGCAGGCCCTTCACAGCCGCAGGAGCAGGCCCGCCCCCAGGCTGTGCTGCTGGATATTAAAGCTGCCACCGTCTGGGCTGGAAAAGTGCCGATGAGAACACTTCCTTTAATGAGTCCAGCTTCGGAGAACAGCCCAGACTGTGGCTCCCCGTGGAACCCAAGACCATGGGAGGTTGCAAAAGGTGGGGGTGGGGAGGGAGAGATGGGGGTGGAAGCTGGCACAGCCTCCCCCTGTCCCCACACCCCACCCCGCTTGGGTGGCCTGGGAACTGCGGCCCACCTTGGCCCACCCTGCAGGGCTGGCAGGGTCTGCTCCCCTGTCCTCCACCAATGCCAGAGTCCCAGGCACAGCCAGCACTCTTGTCGGGCATCTAGGTCCCAGCAGGCCCCACCCCTCTTTCTCGAAGCAGGGCCAGATTTAGTTGGGTGTTCTCCATCCCCTGCCAGTGACTTCAGGAAGGGACCATCTGAGAGCAGGAGAGGCCACTGGGCAGGGCTATGACCAGAGGGTAACGTCTATCCAAGTCATCTGCCAAGTTGGGCCAAGCTTTTTCTCAAGTGGAGGAGAGACGAAGGGGCAGCACACACCCCTCTGCTGCTCCCAGCCCTCCTCGCAGACTGGATGGCTATGTGCCTGTGGGGGTGCCTTCCTGGGCGAGTATAAAAATAGACTGGAGCAGGAGCTTCAGGGGTGCAGGGTGTAGAGCTGTAGGCATGCAGGTCCATCCACAGGGTGGCAAATGGGAGGGTCTCCTCTTCTCTAAGGCTGAATCACACTCTATTGTGAATATACGCCCCGGTTTACCATCTGTCCATCGATGGACACTTACCATGGTGAGTAGTGCTGCAGTGAACCTGGGAGGGCAGACATCTTTACGAGGTGGCGATTTGATTTTGGGAGTATACACCCAGACGTGGGATTGCTGGGCCCCAGGGTGGTCCCCTTTTTAATTTCTTTAGGTCCCCTGCTCTGTTTGCCGTAGCGGCCGCAGCATTCCACATTCCCAGCTGCAATGTCCAAGGCTCCCATTTTCTGCAGGCCCTCGCCGCCCACATCTCCTGTCTTTTTCATGGTAGCTGTCCTAACAGGCGGCCAGCTGATCTTTCTTAAATGCAACTATCTCTAGGGGGTCCACACCTCACAGCCTTGCCACAACCCCCGGAAAGCTCGCACTGTCAGAGTTACACCAGGATGGCAGGGCCCCGGTGGGCAGGGTTTGGGGATGAAGCTGGAGGGTCGCAGGCAGCTGTGACTAAGCGGAGGCCGCCTCTGTGTGGGTCAGAAAGGGGACACAGGACCCCAGAGTCCTCGTGTGTCAGGGTCCCCAGGGGTCCCTCTGCCTGGCATGCAGGCTTCCTGGTTTTGCACTTGAGATGGGAGAGAATGGGAACCATTCCCGCCCTGGGGGGTCACAGCTCCGCGTGGAGCCGGAAGCCTCTCATCTGCAAGCTCCAACATGAGTAACGAGGCCAGGCACGTTGGAGATCAATCTTCATTCCTGTGATTAATCCACCGGCTTGGACGAAGCTGATTCTGCTCTGCCAAGAGGGTCAGCCCTGTCTCCCGCCCGCGCTGACACCTGCCCTGCAGGCCACTCAGTGAGCAGCCTGCACTTGGCTCTGACTGCAAGGGATGCCCCCCGGGAGGCCAAGGCCATGGGCATCCGCGGCCCTGGGCTGGGTGACAGGGGTATGACAGAGCCCCCGGGAGCGGCCTTAACAAGGAGAGCTGCCCGATCCCACACCTCCTTGCTGTGCGACCTTGGCAAGTCACTCAATCCCTCTGGTCCTTACGGCTTCTCCTGAAAACCAAAAAGCATAAGCCCTGCTGGCCTCCCAGGAAGCAGGTGACACGTGTGCCCAAAGGTCACAGGTCACTCCCCTCCCACCTCCCTGACCCCACTTCTGACCAGAGTCAGCCCTTACCCCTCCCCGGGGAGCACTGGTCCAAAGCCCCTCATTCTCCAGGTCTGTTTCCTGGTCTCTAAAATGGGAGTACACCCAAGTGCTGTTTGTTTCCTTGTTTGTAGGATGGGAACAGCCTGGGTTTTACAGCAGCCGTCTCCGGGAGCCCGAGCTGGAGCAGGAAGAGGCCCGGCCGGGACTCTGCAAGGCGTGGGGTGCAGGTGGTTCTCCTTTCCTGGGGTCCCCGCTCTAGGGTTGATATGGCCTCCCTGAGCTCCAGGGAGATCACAGCTGAGTGCTGAGCCCACCTTCCGGCTGTGGCGGCGGGGCCACCCAGGCCCTGTGGAGGGGCCTGCACTCCGTCTCTGCCTCCCACCTCCCTGCCTGGGCCCAGGTAGCCACGGTCCAGGGGCAGGCCAGATGAGTGTCTGGGGTTCCAGCCTCCCTGCTGCCGGGCAGTGCTGCGCTGTGCCGGCCGTGCCAGCGTGGGGAGGGGGCCGTCATGGCTCTCAGCTCCTGCAGCCCATGGCCCAGAGGCTACCCTCACCAGGGCAGGCTCCAGGCCCTGAAGACACCCCTCTCCCTCCAGGGCAGCCTGTGCCAGCTCTGAAAGCGCCCCCGCCCCCCACCCACTGCCTCGGGGAGGTCGTCACAAGGCTTCCTGTGCAGGTACTCACCGGGGCGGCAGGAGCACAGGGCTCCATCTGCCCACAGGAGAAAGGAGGGAGCAACTTCGCCTGCCCTTCCCTGGGGGAACACGGCTGGAGCTGTGGCTGTGATGACTGGAGCTGTGGCTGTGGCTGTGACAGCTGGGTGGCAGGTCCAGGCGTCCCACCCAGGGTACTGTCCTCTGCATCCAGTCCAGGCAACACAGAATAAGCATCATGCTCCAGAGGAGGTAGCCTGCCTGTCCTTCAAATCCCTCTCCTGAGGCCCATCCTGCCCTTATGCTTGTCTTATCCCCAACCAGACAGGCTGCCCGTGCCACTCCGATGCCCAGCACCCACCAGCATAGCCACCTGGAGTTGTTTCCCCAAGCTGCAGGCCACTGTGTTAAGGGCCAGTCAGAGCTCATTTGGACAGGAAGGTTTTCTACACATTACAGCTCCCAAGCTGAAAGAAAGTTGTGAAAGCTGGACAGGTGGACATGGGTGGGAGAGGTGACACGGGTGGGACAGGTGGACACAGGTGGGAGAGGTGACACGGGTGGGACAGGTGGACACGGGTGGGACAGGTGGACACGGGTGGGACAGATGGACACGGGTGGGAGAGGTGACCCGGGTAGACGTGGGCAGGAGGGGCAATCTGGGTGGACGCTGGTGGGAGGGGTGTAATCTGGGTGGTCACGGGTGGGACGGGTGACCCGGGTGGACGAAGGTGGGAGGTGTGGTCCGGGTGGACACGGGTGGCAGGTGTGATCCGGGTGGTCGCAGGTGGGAGGGGTGAGCTGGGTGGACGAGGGTGGGAGGTGTGATCTGGGTGGACAAGGGTGGCAGGTGTGCCTCAGGTGGAGAAAGCAGCGTGATGCCTGCAGCCCAAATGGAAGTCACAGCCACCCAGGCAGGCAAGAGCTATGCCAGGCTGAGAGATGGAGATTTTGTCAGGAGGGCCAGGAGCATCTTGGGCTGACCCAGAGGTGGGGGTGACGCAGGCCCAGTAGGGGTTGAAGGCGGGGCTGGTGAGCTGGACAGGCAAGGGGAAGGCTGAATCCTGGCTAGAATATTACAACTCAGGTGATAATTATGCCCACTGTGGAGTCCAGATGGGCCCCCGGAGCTCTGGGATCAAGGCCTCATCTTCCCCGGTGAGGAGGAGGGTAGCCCCGAGGGGAGTGGGCAGCTCCATGGGGAGCCCAGGGCTGGGCCTGACTTCTCAGAGCCTTCCTGGCAGGCTGCAAAGGACCTTCAGTCATCCCCCTTCCAGCCTGGCTTGAATTCCCTGAGATGGGGACTCACTGCTAAGCCACCTCCATCACCACGGACGTGGACACAGGAGGGTAAGGCAGTGGTCCAGCGTGGTGGCCCCCATGTGAGGGACAGCAGGGATGGGAAGAAAAACGGCAGGAGAGTGGGGAGGCAGAACACAGAATGGGCTGCGGGAACGGGAGGCCAGCAAGGCTGGGGCCGCTCTGTCTGCTCAGATAGACTCATTCCAACGGATGCCGGCCAGATTCGTGTCCTGGGGCCGCCAAAACCAAGTCCCACAAACTGAAGCTTCAAACAACAGACACTGCTTCTCCCCAAGTTGTGGAGGCCAGAAGCCCGAGATCCAGGTGCCAGCAGGACTGTGGTGGCTCTGCAGTCCCCAGGGAGGCTCCTTCCTGCCTCTTCCAGCCTCTGCAGGCTACAGCAGGACTCTGGTCTCTGCCCCCACTGGCCCCGCACACTCCCTGCCTGTCCATGCCTCTTCCCCCCTTCTAAGGACACCAGTCATGTGGGTTCAGGGCCCACCCTACTCAAACAGGGCCTCATTTAACTGAACCAATTACACCTGCAGTTCCCTGTTTCCGGAGAAGGGCAAATTCTGGGGTTCCAGGAGAGACATGAAATGAGGGGGACATTATCCACCCAGTATACTGGCTGAAGGCCTCAGGGCCTCCTGGGCTGGTCTCAGGGTGGGAGGGAGACTTGGTCCCTGTGGAGGTGAGCAGTCCAGGGCCTTCAGAGCCAGCCTCCACAAACGTGTGGATGAATCAGTGAGGGAGAGGGCTGTGCTGTGGCCCTTGTCCTCGGGGAGTAAGCCTGTCTGTGGTGATGGCCATAGCACCAGGATGCAAGGTAGCAGGTGAGAGGGGCAGGGACACAGGCGGTGCCGCCCATCCTGCCCGGGGAAGTCTGGAAGCCTCTTCGGGCTGACCTGCCAGCCAGGCCTTGGAGGCGAGGAGGCACTGCTGTGAGGACTCTGCAGCCCTTGGCTGGGACATGTCCCCCACTGTGGGCAGCTGCTGCTGCAGACACACTGGCTGTTAAGGAGCAGAGTCCAAGCCTCCTGCAATACGTTCGGGAACTTTCTGCCTTGGAAAACATCGAATCTCTAATATTGTCCCTTTCCTCTAGAAAAGGCACTGGGTACAGAGATGACAAGGCGCTGGCCCTGCCTTCCAGGGGCCCCCAGCATCATGGGGAAGACACCCAGTGACTGGCCAACTCATCTCTGCCTTTCCGCTGTCGGCTGCACAAGTGTGCACCTGCTGTGGCCCCTGGGAAGTCTTCTGTGCTAAAGTGGAAAGGCTTCCAGTGCCTTCACAAAGTAAATGCTGCTGAACGACAGCTGCCTATCTCAGTCCACTTGTGTCGCTACAAAGGATACCCGAGGCTGGGTGATTTATAAAGAACAGAAGCTTACTTGCTCACGGTTCTGCACGCTGCCTGGGAAGCACGGCCCTGGCATCTGCTTGGCTTCTGGGGAGGCCTCAGGAAGCTTCCACTCACGGTGGAGGGGGAGGGGCTGCGTGTGTGGAGCTCACAGGGCGGGAGAGGAAGTCAGAGAAGGAGGTGGGTGCGGGCTATTTTCAGTAGCTGCTTTGTCGGAAACTCAGACAGTAGAATTCACTCCCCAACCCCCGCCCCAGGGCATGAATCTACTCACAGGGATCCACTCCATGAGGAAAACACCTTCCATTAGGCCCCACCTCCAACACTCTGGGATCAAATTGCAACCTGAGGTTTGGAGGCCCAACCATGCAGCTGCCAGCACTGCTCCTGGATATCACCAAGGAATACGGGTCAGTCTCAGTCCTAGAGATAGCTGCTACCCTCAGGGACTCAGCCCTAGCAGTACCAAGGACAGCGGCCTAACCACCAGATGTGCCTCCTGATAAGGTCATTGGAGCATTCGCAGACAGTCTTCAAGCATCCACTGTGTGCCAGGCTCGCGCACCGAGGCCATGCCAGCGGGTGTCATCATGCCAGCTCTTCCCAGGCCTGGGCAGCTGAGACCTGTGCATGCCAGGCCAAAGTCTCCAGCCCCAGATGTGAACCTGGAATGCCCCGGCCCACCTCCTCCTTCTTGGGGTCCCCAGATTCGCTTCCCGAGGACCTCGAAGGGTTCACATTCTCACCATAAGCAGGCGCTCACACCGGGGGCAAGCAGAGGGACAGCAGCCCCCTAGAGGCAGGGCCCAAGGGTCCCATGCACTTCACCCCTGCTGCAGGACCTGGCCTGGGCCTGTGACTTGGGAATGCCACATCATAGAGGTTCTCTGGAAACAAGGAATGCAGACCCCATGACCACGTACCCCCACTCCCCAGATGACCCACTGCAGCAGACCAAACATGGGCATCCATCTCTGAGTGCCCCGCAGTGCAAGCAAATGACGTGTCTGGGTTTGTGTCTCCCCAGAGCTGACTGGAGATAGGGATCTGAGGGTTAATGTGTCCTTGGGAGTCGAAGAGAGCAGTGTCAAGGGCAGTGGGGAGGGAGGAGAGGCAGCCACTAAGCAGGAGAGACCTGCAGCTTCTCAGATGGCCTCCCTGTGGTGGCTGGGTCCTAGTGGGTCCACCTGACATCTTGCCTTTAATTTCCTACAGCTGCCGACAAAGCGCAATAAAGCCGGTGACCTCAGATACAGAGTTTATCCTCTCACCATCCCGGAGGCCAGAAATGCCAGACCAAGGTGCCGGTGGGCCGTGCTCCCTCAGGAGGCCTTGGCGAGGCTCCCTCTTGGGGCCCCAGGTGTTCCTGGGCTTGTGGCTACATTGCTCCCATCCCTGCCTCAGTTGTCACATTCTCCCCAGGTGCCTGTGTCTTCTAACAAGGACATCAGCCATTGGATGAAGCCACCTTAAATCCAGGATGACTTCATCGTAACTTACTGACATCAGCAAAGACCCTATTTCCAAATACGGTCACATTCACAGCTGCAGCTGGTTAGGACTTGAACATGTATTTTGGGGGGACACAATTCCACCCACAGCAATCCCCCTTGGTCCCCACTCAGCCCAGGTGAGAGCCAACCGGCACCTGCACAGCTGAAGCCATGGTCCCCACCCCACCTTTGGTCCCCACATCACGTGGAAAGCTCACGTGCAGGGGCTCTGCTGTCCATGAACTCTCCTCACCTAGTCCTCGCCACAACTCCAGGCCCCAACGCAAAAGCATGGCAGGTCTGCCTGGCCCAGAAGCCCCCTGTCCCCAACATTGTTCTGCCAGCCCCAGGGAGGGCTTCCTGATGTGCCACCAGGGTCCTTCGGCCTGGCAGGCTGAAGCCGGGGCCGGCTGTCACTGCCGCTGTCCTGGATAGCCTCGTGGGCCTCCCCTGTGGTAAGCCAGGGGCTGTCTCGTTGCCCAGTAAGCCCTGGCTGCCCTCCCCTCCACAGGCTGGGCAGGCAACAGAAAAGCAGACTTCAGGAGCAAAAGGCGGAGGCCCCAGACCCCAGCTCTCCCAGAGCAGAATGGAGCAGAAGGGACGGGCCGGTCCTTTATCCCCTGGAGCCAGGCTTCCTGCCTCAGAAATGCTTGGGGCTGCCCTCACACCACGCTGGGCAGCTTCAGGAGACACCGTGTGATCACCTGGTGCTGGGGAACTCGCAGGCATCAGCCCCTCCACTCCTCCCCATTGGGGAAAGGGAGGAGATGGGGCCCAAGGCAAGGGACCCAGGACAGGGCTTTGCAGGAGCACCCAAGCTTCATGGGGCGATTTCATCAGTCACATAGGAATGCCAGCTGCGACGCCCACACACTGGAGACCCAGCAAACGAAGCAGGCCCGGACACTGGCATGGAATTCTGACACATCAGGGTACAACCACCAAATTGGAAAGGTCATAAAATATTAAAGCTGTTGATGGAGAGAAAATATTGAAGATTTCATCAGCAGTTTCTTGCCCTATTTCAATGATATTAACTTTTTAATTAAAATTGACGCTCAAGACTTTCCAACAGAGGGAAGTTTCACTTCTTAACCTAGAGGGAGCCGCATGGGACTCCTAACCTGGTGAGCTTTCTGGAGAGGCAGAGCGGGTGGCAGCAGGACTAAGGGGGCGAGGCAGAGATGGCGGGGACAGTGGGATGCTGCGGGGGCACCCCCGGCGAGGGTGGGGGTGGGGAGGGACAGGTGCTGTGGGGAGGGTCCTCCTTGCCCTCTGGTGACACGAACACTCTTCTGGGTGCCATCTATGCAGAGACAGGAGGAGACAGAGACACAGACACAGCAGGAGACAGAGAGACACAGAGACAGGAGGAGACAGAGACATAGAGAGACAGGAGACAGAGAGACACAGAGACAGGAGGAGACAGAGACACGCAGAGACTGGGAGACACAGTGAGCTCCAGGGACTGACAGACACACATACTGACACACGGGGAGATAGAGACAAAGAGACAGAGATAAAGACAGAGGTGCTCAGAGAGAAAGAGACAGAGAGGGAGGGGACAAGGGCCAGAGACAGGACGCACTTGGTCATGGAGGCACTCCCTGGCGGAGCCTGCCTGGTCCACACCGGTCCAGGGCCGCGCCGCAGAGGAAAGGAGGTGAGGCTGGGACACCCCGGGGGTCCCTGGAAGGAGGTTTAGGGTGGGAGACAGACCGGCCTCAACCGCAGGGAGGTCACTGTCCCGGGGTGGGAGTTAGGGCTGTATGCAGTAGACTGGAGGGCGATCGCGGGCTCCACCGGGAGGGAGCAGCTGTGCGCCTTGACGTAAAATCCCCACCCTGGCTCCAATGGCCCGCACCTGCCCTGGGGTGCGCCGGGGTGGGCTCCGCGGGGACATCACGAGGGTGAGCAACGGGGAGGAGCCTCGAGGAGCCCATCCCTTCGGCAGGTGGTGGGGGCCCGGATCTGGGTCTACGCCGCCCCACCTCCCTCCTGGCCACACCGCTGCGGAGAAGGTGCCGCACCTGCGCGACCGCTGCCTGGCCGGTCTAGAGCCCACCGCGGTGGAGCGTCAGCCCTCCTGAGTGGCGGTTCCTGTGGGCGGGACGCCTGGGTTGCCATGGAGACCGAGAGCCCAGCCCCGCGGAGCCCCGGGTGTGCACCGGGACAGGAAGCCGAAAGCAGAGCGGGAGACTCGACTTGCACTTTAATAGGCTCTCCCAGGAGCCGTTGTCCAGAGGGAGCGGGGTTCGCGGGGCTGGCGGGGACGTGGCGGGGCGGTGGAGGGGTGAGGGGGAGGGGAAGGACGGCGGCGGGGGCGGGGGAGGTGCACGGTGGGGCCGCGGGGACGGGGCGGGGGCGTCGCAGGGCGAGTGCGCGCCCCCACTGCCATCCAGGCCGTCGCGGCGCGGCTCGAACACTCACAGAGGAAGCACCTACTGTGCGCCAACCCTGCGCCCGGCAGCGTGCGGGAGACAGAGGGGAACCCAGTACTTCCCTGCCGTGGGGGCTCTCGGTGGGCTCGAGGTCATGTCCTGGTGAGGAATTACGGTCCCTTTTACTGATGAGGAAACGGAGGCGCAGACGGCA
Source organism: Homo sapiens (assembly GCF_000001405.40). Classification (NCBI taxonomy): domain Eukaryota; kingdom Metazoa; phylum Chordata; class Mammalia; order Primates; family Hominidae; genus Homo; species Homo sapiens. Next base: position 3,872,174 of record NC_000004.12, read on the forward strand.
CTGGGTCCAAGTTGCCCAGGCCTCCGAGGTGCGCGCAGCTCCTAGCCGGGCCTTCTGTTTGGAGACGCGGAGCGCGGGCTGCGAGCCCGGGTGAAATGGCCTTAACGCACGGTACAAGGCAGTTTGTCCTGGGGCTGGAGCGTCTGGGGGCCCTGCCGGCTGCACGTGGGAGAAGGGCTGGCCGCCTCCTGCCTCATTTCCTCCTCTCTAATGGAGAAGGAGGCCGCTGACTCGCAGAGTGGCGCTGCAGGGTTGGGGGAGCCCTACCCTAGGACATCTCCAAGCACCCTGCACTGCTGTCACCAACCCTGTCACCTGCCCTCCCATTCCTGTGTTTTGAAAACCTGAGCTCAGCGGGCTTGCCCCGTGGCCCCTCTGCGCAGGGGTGGGCAGAGAGACAGAGGGAGGATGGGTGGATGGGTGGATGGGTGAGAGGAGAACTGCAGGGAGGGCCTGCCCGGCACACTTGTCTGCAGTCTCTGGGGAGTGCCGTGCCACCCTGTCCAGCTCCAGTCCCAGCCCAGCGCCCTCCCCTCCTGAGCCACAGCCAGAGCCTGTCCTGGTGAGCTTGGGTGTTCCCAGGATACCCCACTATACCTACTGCGTGCCCGCCCTGTCCTGTAGACACAGAGATGGGCCATACACAGCCTGAGGCCTGGGGTAGCTGGCTCTTGGATGGTGGTGGGACCAGGGTGGTGAGAAGAGCAGGGGTCGGGGGAAGAGGGGCACCCTGAAGGATGCTGTGCGCATAGTAAAAATCGGATGCATGCTCATCACGAGGTTCCCACTGGAGGCATGAGATGATTGGAGGAGGGGACGCAGCGGAGGCATGAGATGATTGGAGGAGGGGACGCAGCGGAGGCATGAGATGATTGGATGAGAGGTCGTAGCGGAGGCATGAGATGATTGGAGGAGAGGACACAGCGGAGGCATGAGATGATTGGAGGAGGGGACGCAGCAGAGGCATGAGATGATTGGAGGAGGAGACGCTTCTTCCTAATTTGCACAGTGACCCTAAAGGCTGTGACAGCTGTCGAAGAGGCCATAGCCCAACCGAGGGCTATCAGAGAGGACTTCCTGGAAGAGGCAACACAAACGCTGAATCAAAGGGCAGGTAGGGCGTTGCTAGGCAGCAGATGGGGAAGACCATCTGAGTTCCTGTTTCTCCACTGCCCTGCTGCTTCCCCAGGGCTTGGGGGCCCTACTGAGGGGAGTAGGGAGGGCCTGTGCCCTCTCTGGGGAATGTGCTGGAACATTCCCCATAGTCTAGGCAGATGGGGCAGCAGAATCCAAAAGCCACCCCAGAGGAGGGTCACTCTCGGACAGTCAGGGCGCTTCCCTCAGAAGGCCCCTCCCCACCAAGCCATGCCCTGCCCTCTTGTGTGAAGAGGGGAGGCCACTCCCCTGTATGGCTGGAGTCTCTGTCCCTGCGCGCACTCCCCGCCCTTCCCCAGCCCTGGGCTTCTCTGTGTTCTGAGCCAGCCAGGCAGGGGCGGAGCCAACCACCTCCACCCCAGATCCTGCTACCTCGCAGCAGATGCATTTGGTTTAAATATTTCACTGGAGGCCAGGTCAGCGTCTTCATGTATGAAGACATGCCAGGGAAGGAGGAAGGGCAGACTCCATGGGACCCGTCATGGTGAGCCCCTGAGGTGCCTTCTGGAACCTGGCCAGGGCAGGATCAGCTCTGGGGATGGTCAGGGTGGGGCCGGGCAGTGGGGCAGGGGCAGGGAGGAGCTGATCAGGGAAAGGGGAGAGAGGGAGGGTTGGGCGGGAGACAGGATGGAAAAGCGGACGGAAATGCAGTCTGGGGAGATGAAACCCTGAGAAGCCAAGAAGAAGATGCGGGACCTAGCGTCTGGCTGGGCGGCCCAAGGATGGAAGGGGTGAATTGCAGGCCCAAACCCGCTGCCCAGATCTGATCCGGTTCCTCCTGAAGATGCTGCCCAAGGCACAGAAAGAACTTTTGTGGTGCCAGCCTCGGGCCACCAGCCTTGGGAGGCCAGCCTCAGGACACCAGCCTTCATGATGCCAGCCCCAGGACGCCAGCCTCAGGACCACAGCGTTCATAACGCCAGGCTCGGGACGCCAGCCTTGGGAAGCCAGCCACGGGATGCCAGCCTTTATGACACCAGCCTCCAGCCACCATCCTCCGACGCCTCGGCGCTCAGAGCTCTGTACCTGGGGTGGGGGAAGCACTCACCTCTCAGAGACTCCGTGTCTTTGCCTGTGAATGAGAACATCCCACCCGACCATTAGTGCTATCATTAGAATTACTTTTTAAAATAATGTTTATTTTTTAAGTTTTATATTTATAGAAAAATTGAGAAAATAGTACAGGTTTTCCATATATCTTCCACTGTTTCCCCATCACTAACATCTGGCAGCAGTGTGGTCATTTGTTACAATCAGTGAACCAGTATCGACACGTTGTTGTTACTAACCAGAGTCCCAAATCCCTATTGCCTCGGTTCTTACCCAATGCCCTGTCCCAGGATCCCACCCATGGCCCCGCATGACACTTGCTCGCATCTCCGTAGGCTCTGCCTGGCTGGGGCCGTTTCTCAGACGTTCCTGGTGTCCAATGACCTTGACAGTTTTGAGGAGGACTGCTCAGGGATTTTGTAGACTGTCCCTCAATAGGGACTGGTGTGATGTGTTTCCTGTGATTAGATTGGGGTTATGATGGGTTCTTGGTGGGGAAAACCAGAGAGGTGCCGTGCCATCCCCATCACCTTGTACCAAGGGCACACTTAGGACTGTGGACTGTGGACCTTGACCCTGGTCACCTGGCTGAGGGGTGTTGGTCAGGTTTCTCCACTGTGAAGTTTCTTTCTCCCCATTTCCACACTGTCCTCTGTGGCAGGAAGTCACTGTGCAGCCGAGGCTTAAGGCATGGGGAGCTATGCCACAGCTCTCAGAGGGCGGAGCATCTACCTATATTATGTGGCATCCTTCTGCATGGAGGTTTGTCCCCTCGCCCCCCACCCCCATTTATTTATTTATTTGGCCATTTGTTTCTGCCAGTGTGGGCTTGTGGACATCCGTCGTGCGCTTTTCCTGATAATCCAGTGGTGCTTCCTTCCGTTGCTCAGTAGCCCCAGCTTCAGCCCTTGGGAGCTCTCTGTGCTGGCTCCTGTCCCTTTGACAGGCCCCATCAGTGTGATTTGGGTGTTTCAGTTTCATTTGAGCACCTCCTTGCTCTTTGGGGTGAAACGGTGCCCCAGGCCCCTCTTGTATTTCCCTTTGCTCCAGTTCTAGAATCAGCCATTTCTCCAAGCAGCCGTGGTTCCTTTTTTTTTTTTTTTTAAATGGTTTTAGAACCCAAGATCTGGGCACACAAGAAGTCATTTTTAAGGTGATTCTGTAGCCTTAGCACAGGACTGGGCACTGCGGGAGTCATCACCCCTTTGCTGCCCTACTCCTTGCTTGCTAAGACCAAGCAGCTCCTCTTCTGCCAGCCTCTGCCATATCTGGCCACAGTAGAAGCAGCTGCTTGTCCCCCTGCCCTGCCCATGCTGGTCCCCAGGGTCTCTGCAAGGAGAGGCTTAGCATTTGCATAGAATGGAGGGTAGGAATAGAGTGGAGAGAGCCGTGAACCCAGAGTATGGTGAGAAAAGGCACCGCCCAGAATGGCCATGATGTGAAGACAGAGACCTCTATGTGTGGGCTCCGTTCTGATGGTCTTGCTATTGGAGTGGACTTCGCTTTGCAGTGTGCAGCCACAGTGAGTGGAAGCATGCCGGTGCCTCTGCTGCTGGAACCCGGCTGCCGGAGGATGGAAAGGACAGCTCTGCCACAGAGACACAACAGATCCCACTAGATAGGGTGGGAGACAAAGAGACTCAAGCCAGCTGCAACCCTGAACCAGCTTCTCTGCCCTATGCAGACCCTGGAAAGTCCTCTGAATTCCAGGGCAATAAAACAAAACAAACAAAAAACTCTTTACTCCTAAGTAAGAGCTCATGTGACCCCAGAGCTCTCAGAACCCTTCAGGGTGACCACAGCACATGAAACGCACTGCAGAACTCTTGGAACCCTGCGGGGTAACTCTTGGAATCCTGCGGGGTCACCACAGCACGTGACGTGCACTGCAGGGCTCTCAGAACCCTTTGGGATGACCACAGCCTGTGAAGTGCATTGCAGAGCTCTGAGAACCTTTCAGGGTGGCCACAGCACGTGACGGGCTCTGCAGAGCTCTGGGAACCCTGCGGGGTGACCACAGCACGTGACGGGCTCTGCAGAGCTCTGGGAACCCTGCGGGGTGACCACAGCACGTGACGGGCTCTGCAGAGCTCTGGGAACCCTGCGGGGTGACCACAGCACGTGACGGGCTCTGCAGAGCTCTGGGAACCCTGCGGGGTGACCACAGCACGTGACGGGCTCTGCAGAGCTCTGGGAACCCTGCGGGGTGACCACAGCATGTGAAGCGCACTGCAGAGCTCTCCAAACCCGTCAGGGTGACAAAAGCACGTGAAGTGCACTGCAGAGCTCCGGCCAGACAAGGGTGTGAGAGCAGGCATCCCAGGGCTGCACCTTAGAACTAACAGAGATGACCAGATCTACTCTCTACAGACTGTGTGACCTTGAGCATCTGTAAAATGGGGAACAGCAGTGCTTGCCTCACAGGTACCACCAGAGAGCTATTGACTCACTCTCTGGCTGTCTTCCTACCTTTACTCAATGTCCTTCTTCACCCACCTTTCTTTCTGCCTTCAGGTGCCTCATCCTCAAGCAGGGGTGAATGGTGTGATGGTTAATTTTATATGTCAACTTGATTGGGCCATGGGATGCCCAGATCGCTGGTGAAACATGATTTCTGGGTTGTCTGTGGAAGAGGTTAGCATAGTGACTGAGTGAGCACACTGCACTCCCCAGTGTGGGCGGGCACCGTTCCTGTCTGTTGAGGGCCTGCATAGAACAAAAGAGCAAGGCAGAGGAAGGTTGAGTTCGCTCTTACTCTGCCTGAATGTTTGAGCTGGGTGGAAGAACCTGCTCCCGATGCTGCTGGTTCACAGGCCTTTAAACTCAGATGGGATACTACACCATTGGCTCTCAGCTCTTATGCCTTTGAACTACACCACTGGCTTTCCTTGGTCCCCAGTTTGCAGAATGCAGATTGTGGGATTTGTCCTCCATAATTGCATGAGCCACTTCCTTATAATAAATCTTATTTTATATAGGCATATGTAATCTCCAAAGAACTCTGACTAATACAGATGACCAAGGATTGCTGCACAGTCAAGGAATGTCTGTACCATGAGGAACAGAGACCAGAACAGATAAACACAGGGAGCAAAAGAGAATCTCAGAGAGAGAATATGTTGCTTCCATAGAACAAGAACAGTGTGCTCTACAAAAGGAATGGGCAGAGAATACACATGAGCTGTTGCAAATGTATATCCATCCATATCTATTATATGTATTAATATCTATTCTATCTGAAGTTGAGGAGGACTTCAGAAGGAAAACAAATTTAACAGAAATAAAATGTGTGGGGCTATCTTAGAACATAGAACAAAAAAAATCCCCAAAGTAACAGAAAATAGAAAAGATAAACATGTTAAAAATGGAGACTCCACAGAGACCATACAGTGAGCAGGAGTGCCTGAAAGAGAAAAAGGAAGACCAAAGTGAAAACAATTTCTACCTGATTATTTCAAGAAAATTTCTCAGAACTAAAGAATATAACTTGCCAGATTGAAGGTCCTACCAAGGTCCCAGCACTGATATTGTGAAATTTCAAAACAGTAGGAACAAAGAAAAGAGCTGAGCACTTCAGGGACAAAGGAAAGGTTCACACTTGGAGCAGAGACTCCGAGGTCTTCAGACTCCTGGAGGGCAGCACTGGAGGCTGTGAGTCAGTGAGCAAGGCCTTGGATGGGCCAAGGTAAAAATGATTTTCAGCCCTGAATTTGATACCCAGCCAAACTATCAATCAGGTTTGAGGGATGAATCAAGATATTGTCAGAATAAGTGGAATTTACAAGTTCCATTCCATGCTTCTTTCCTTAAGAGACTTTTAGAGCAGGGGTGTCCAATTTTTTGGCTTCTCTGGGCCACACTGGAAAAGAATTATCTTGGGCCACACATAAAATACACTAACACTAACAATAGCTGGTGAGCTTAAAAAAAAAAAAAGAAAGAAAGAAAGAAAAAAGAAATTGCAAAAAAAACCCCTCATGTTTTAAGAAAGTTTACAAATTTGTGTTGGGCTGCATTCAAATCTGTCCTGGGCCACATGCAGTCCATGGGCCACAGTTGGACAAGCTTGCTCTAGAAGGTGTAAGTCAATGAGGGACGGACCTCAGTGAGGGGGCTCACAATTTGAGAGCTAGTGGCTCTCACCCAGGAACCAGTTCATGGGGAGTGTGGGGACATACACGGTGCCCAGGCCTGGAGAGCCCGTTGCAGCCTGAGTGTGGTGTGACATAGGGGACCGGGGAGCAGCTCAAAAGGAAAATGCATGGGACAGACGTTTGAGAGCTATGCTTGGGCATTGGAAAAAAGCACTGCTGGATGAGTGTCAAGTCTGTAAAGCATTTGGGGGCAGAAAAATGGGGATAGGGAGAGGACCACAAAACAGGTCAGACACTCTTCCCCTAAGGCTGCAGCTTGGGGAAATGCACAAAGTGAAGATTCCTGAGTAACCAGTGCCCACACTAGGGAACCAGCACTTCAGGAGCCCCCTCGGGCCCCGCCTATTCCCACAGGTGATGCCAGTTCTGACTCACAGCACAGATTACTTTTGTCTGTTCTTCTACTTTGTGTAAATGGAATCAGGTCTCAGAACTTTCAACATACTGAAGTATTGGCATGATACCAACAAAAATATGAATATTTTGGTACTTAAAAGCAGCCCTGTATCCTGGAAATATACATCTGGAATACAGGGATGCAGAAAACCCTTATTACACTCACGAATAGGTCCCCCATAGAGGAAGAAAATTAAACTATAAGGTCATGCTTAAGTCACAGGGAGAACAAGTTATCTAAGAATGGAAACAGAGTTCACACCCCGGCTCAGAAACATATGGCATCCACTGACCTGTGATGAAGGCTCCCAGGGAAAATGCCGGGCCAGCTGAGGGGGCAGGAGAAGCCGGGGGTGGGAGTACATAGAACACGATCCTGACACTTAAAACAGTGAGGAAGACTCTATTCAAGACTATCGCAGCAGCCGTCAGGATGACCACAACAGGGAGAGATTGAGCTCAACGCCGAAGACCACGAGGACAAGCGGGAGTCTCTAGCCAAGGAGGAGGGGGTTCATAGCCCCTGCCACAAGGACTAGTGGGGGCTGATAGCCAAGGGCCTCGGGGGATGGCAAAAGACTGAGATGAGAAGTTAAGGGCAGGAGATTCTTGCTGAAGGCGGCCGAGGAGTCAGAACTCACAGGTGGGGGATGAGGAACCGGATCATTCACGGAGGGGAGAGATAGCAGAGGTCAGAGGTTCTCCCTAAACCAGCAGAGATGAATCCAAAGCCCCGGGTGGAGGCCCGGTGGCAATGAGGTATCAGAGGAGCCAGGAAAGTCTGGCCAGGAGGAGTCTGCTAGGGCTCAGCACTGAAGCGCCACGGAAGGAGTCTATAGAGGCTGCAGCTGTGTTCCGGTTCGGAAGCCGAGGAGGAGCGCGTGAGAGCCACAGCCCCGGCGCGAGAACCACAGCCCCGGCGCGAGAGCCACAGCCCCGGCGTGGGAACCACAGTCCCGGCGCGAGAGCCGCAGCCCCAGCGTGGGAACCACAGCCCCGACGCGAGCAGCTCAGCAGGGCCCACTTGTTTCCTTATTAATTTTTACTTTCAGCCACATGCAATTAACAGTGTATTGTTAATTTGCCAACAATAACAACAGGCTCAAATCAGCCATGACCACCCGCCGGCGGGAGGGGCCTCCCTGCGTGGAGTTGGCCTCTACCCCAAGATCTGCATCCCACACTCAGGCCTGCTGCCCTCTGGCCTCTGCCCAGGCTGTGCCCTGGACCCAGACGCTGCTCCCTCAGCCCAGTCCTTTTGGGTGTCTCTGACCTTCCTTCAAGATGCACCCAAGCAAGGCGACCCCTGTGCAGGAAGGGCCCAGCCCTTTGACTGGGCAGGCTGCGCTCTGTTCACTAGGTACCCATGTTGGGTAGGGACCTGTGGCCACAATCCTGGTGTCTCCCACCCCTGTCCAGAACAGGTGCGGACTAAGCGTCTGCTGCGCTGCCAGGGCGCTGTCAGGATGGCGCCCAGAGGACGGGCTGCTGCCCTGGGGCTGCCTGAGGAGGGTCCGCAGAAGTTCCCTCTCGAGCGGGAGGAGGGGATTTGCATATTCACTTAGAAGGATGAAGCGCTGCGGGGAACCTTCCCACCCCCAAGGAGCTGTTCTGCCCAGATGCTGAGCTGGGAGCCGTCCCTCCCCCGGCCACACGCCTGCAGGTGACCCCCCTGCCCCGCCCCGCCACCAGGCCTGGGCACCCCAACCTCCACCCCTGCCAGAGGCGCCTGCACCGGGTTCCTCCTGCAGATCTGCAAACTCACGCCCGCCCAGCTCAGGCTCTGCAGCCCAGTTCTCATCGTTTCACGGGCTGAGGCCGGCTCCCGCGCAGGAAGGCGGGGTTTGCTGCCACCTGCTGTCCATTCGCCATAAGAGGTGGGACGCACGTTCACCTGAGAGCTTGGGGAGGAGAGAGGAAGGAAGGAGAAATTGAGGGAGGAGAGGGGAAGAAGGGAGGAAAGAGGGGAGGGGAGGCAAGAAGAGGTGAGAAGAGGACAGGAGGAGGAAAGAGATGGGTGACGGGGAGACGGGAAGGAAGAGGGAGGGCCTTCCTGGAAGAAAGAGCTGGATAGGCCTTGGACAGACCTGGGCTTAGATTCTGGCTGTGTGACCTTGGGTGGTTAATCAACGTCTCTGGGCCTTATTTCCTTTATCCACAAAGAGGCGATGACAAAGCCTCCGCCTCCATGAGAGCAGCCATGAAGTGTCATGATCCCTGCTGAGGAAACCGAGGCTCCCAGAGGCGGACGGTGGAGAGGTGGGGCCGCACCGCTGGCTGCCTGAGTCCTGGAGCCCCGGACACCCTTCAGTGCAGCGAGGGTCTGCCGCCATGCCCCAGGGTCTCCTTGGAGGCTAGAAGTTGTCTGTTTCTCACCCCTGGTGTTACATTGAACCAAAGATGGCACCACAGCCCACGGGCGTAACTTTTTATATTTTTAAGTTGGATACATGGAGCTACTTGGCGTTTGCTTCCATCACATCGTTGAGGAAAGAGGTGGTTGCTTATGGTACCCCTGTTTTTACTGCAACCTGCAATGGATGAGAACCTCCCTGTTGCAGAGAGCAAAACACTGAACTAAATTGTGCTGTAACACAGCCCTGTGTTGGGGGATTGGGAGTGATCATGCAAACGCTTGCAAATTTGCACAGTGACAGAGACAATCGTTTGGGCAGCTGTTCACTATATGAAAAGGCAATTGACCAAAAGTCAGTTACTGAGCTATCTCAATATGTTCATTTTATTTTAACTTTTGGCAGCAGGCTGCAATTAAAGGAGAGAAAGAAAACAAAGTGATAAGTGTAAGATAATGTACACACATGTGTAAAAGAAAATGACAAGACAGGATGACTATTTGTCTCTTGGTTAGCTCCTTGGGCTCTATGTCTCCTTCCTCAGAGAACCTCGTTTTCCTTTGTCCAAATTTGTTAGGGTGGATAATCCACGCGCCTGCTCCCCCATGATGGAAGCCAAAGACGTCCCTGGAGCCGCCTCCCGCTGCACCCTTTCCTGCACTGCCCACATGGACACAACTCAGCTGATTAGACTTCCTCTCAGAACTTTAGTCTTGAGCAAAGGAATTAAAGGGTGAAGTGACTGAAGGTATGCCCTTCCAAAGTGGTACGTGAGCTAATGGCTAAAGTTTGCCAAGCCCATCTAAGCACTTTTTTTCGTAATTTTTATGTATTTATTTTTTTGAGACAGAGTCTTGCTCTGTTGCCCAGGCTGGAGTGCAGTGGCATGATCTTGGTTCACTGCAACCTCTGTCTCCCGGCTTTAAAGGAGTCTCCTGCCTCGGCCTCCCCAGTAGCTGGGATTACAGGCATACGCCACCATGCCTGGCTAATTTTTTTTTTTTTTGTATTTTTAGTAGAGACAGGGTTTCACCATGTTGGTCAGGCTGGTCTCGAACTCCTGACCTTGTGATTCACCTGCCTCAGCCTCCCAAAGGGCTGGGATTACACGCGTGAGCCACCGCGCCCAGCTTCAAAAAGTTTTAAGCAGAGCTCAGAGGTCTTAACCACAGGCACATGGAAGGAGCATTTTTGAAACACTTTCCAGCTTCCTCAATAGGAATGGAAGCCAAACTCCGAATTGATGACTCCTTTGAGGAAGTTGAGAGCTGTAAGGCAAGCCAGGAACAGGGGCAAGGGAGAGATGTGTCCCGAATGATCCTGTGCCGATTGTTTCTGGAATCCTCGATGTGATCTCAGCTGCTCTTTCTATACATGACACAGTGATTGCGGCACCCACTGGTCTAGCTGTGGTCTACAAGGAACCCCCAAAGGGAAGGGCACAGTGAGAAGGGGCATCGGCCTGAGTGACAAGGATTTGAGAGGGCAGGTTGGATGCAGGGAGACGACTGGCCCAATGCCATGTGTCTGGACTTAGACTGCCTGGTTCAAATTGGACTTCACCCTTTTTGACTTCATGATCTGGTACAAGCTACATGAAACTCCGTTGCGCCTTTTCTAGTCTGTAAAATCATCATGAAATGTGCACTAATAACGTGGAGACTATGCAGATGAAATGAAACCAGCTGTATAGAGCACAGAGCTCAGAGCCTGGCCTTTAGGAAGCCCTCAGTAAGGGTTCACGATGCCATGGTGTCTGTCGTCATCCTCTTTATCCTCATCATCACCTTCATAATCCCTTTGTTGTTCTTAGGGAATAGTTTAGAGGGACTGATTCCCTGCTATCATGGGTGAGGAGGTGTCTATCAAAAGGACAACCAGTGGGGGAGGAAAGCAAAATTTTGAATAAGATTTCTGAGACCCCCAGCACAACCAAGAACAGAAACTCCACAGTCTGCTGAGCACAGAGGTTGCATATTGGTCTCCTCACATCTGCCCACTGCACTCTCCTGTTTGTCCTGAGGATGAGGAAACAAACAAGGCTCCCGACCGTCCCTCAGCACTCACTTGAAGGGGTGGCCTTCCCCTCCACCCCTGTGTGTATTTCTAGTCGGGTGGATGAGAGACTGAGAAAAGAAATAAGACACAGAGACAAAGTATGGAGAAACAACAGTGGGCTTAGGGGACCGGCACTCAGCATACCAAGGATCTGCACCGGCACCGGCCTTGAGTTCCCTCAGTTTTTATTGATTATTATTTTTATTATTTCAGCAAAAAAGAATGTAGTAGGAGGGCAGGGTGATAATAAGGAGAAGGTCAGCAACGAACATGTGAGCAATAGAATCTATGTCATAATGAAGTTCAAGGGAAGGTACTATGACTGGACGTGTACGTAAGCCAGATTGATGTTTCTCTCCACCCAAACATCTCAGTGGAGTAAAGAATAACAAGGCAGCATTGCTGCAAACATGTCTCACCTCCCACCATAGGGCGGTTTTTCCCCCATCTCAGAATTGAACAAATGTACAATCGGGTTTTATACCGAGACATTCAGTTCCCAGGGGCAGGCAGGAGACAGTGGCCTTCCTCTCTCTCAACTGCAAGAGGCTTTCCTCTTTGACTAATCCACCTCAGCACAGAACATTTACGGGGGTCGGGCTGGGGGATGGTCAGGTCTTTCTCATCCCATGAGACCATATTTCAGACTATCACATGGGGAGAAACCTTGGACAATACGCCGCTTTCAAGGGCAGGGCTCCCTGTGGCTTTCCACAGTGTATTGTGCCCCTGGTTTATTGACACTAGAGAATGGCGATGACTTTTACCAAGTATACTGCTTGGAAACATCTTGTTAACAAGGCACATCCTGCACAGCCCTAGATCCCTTAAACCTTGATTTCATACAACACATGTTTTTGTGAGCTTCAGGTTGGGTCAAAGTGGCTGGGGTAAAGCTACACATTAACAACATCTCAGCAAAGCAATTGTTGAAAGTACAGGTCTTTCTCAAAATGGAGTCTCTTCTGTCTTTCCTTTCTACATAGACACAGTAACAGTCTGATCTCTCTTTTGCTTACACTCACTGAACTGCCCTTCCCCTCTGCTGGGCCATGACCACGGAGAACAGGTCCACTGTCCTCCCTGTGTGGTGCACCATGGATGCTCAGACTCCGCCCTCGAGGCCGGCAAGAAGACAGGGTGAGACATGAGGCTCCTGATATAGGTGACGGGAGTGGAGCCCACAGGACTGGAACCTCACACTGCAGGGCTGGAGGCACAGACTATTTACTATTCTGTGGCCTGGGGGGCTCAAGGCACAGAGCTCCTTATTAGCCAAAGTCACCCAAGTTCCCCAACCTCTAAGGATTTCCTCATAATAATGCAAGAAGAAGAAGAGAAAAGTGAGTGTCCATAGAAGCTTTGGGGCTCTTCCTCTAATCAGGAGAAAGCTGGTGTGTATTCTTCGCTTCTTTCTTTTCTTTGTAAACATCCAACTGCTTTAATTTTCATCTTTTATTATGGGAAAATATACCACGTATAAATATTAAAAATTATAAATATATTAGTTCATATAGAATGGCCACTATAAACATTTACAGTTTCCACTCTTTTTCAGTTTACAGTTTCATGACATTAAGTACGTTCACATTGTTTAGCAACCATCACCGCCATCGTCTCTGGAACAGTTTTATCTTTCAAAATGGAAATTGCACCCTTTCACCAAGCTCTCCACTCCTCTCTCTCGCCCACCCCTGGGGGCCACCTTTCTAGTTTGCAACTCTATGAGTTTAACTACTCTAGACACTTGATAGATAAGTGGAATCATACCATGTTTAATTTTTTTGTTTTGGAGACAGAGTCTTTCTCTGTCACCCAGGCTGGAGTGCAGTGGCATGATCTAGGCTCACTGCAACCTCTGCATCGTGGGTTCAAGCGATTCTTGTGTCTCAGTCTCCCGAGTAGCTAGGATTACAGGAGTGCGTCACCACGCCCAGATAATTTTTGTATTTTTAATAGAGACCATATTGGCCAGGCTGGTCTCGAACTCCAGACCTGAAGTGATCCACCTGGCTCAGCCTCCCAAAGTGCTGGGGTTACAGGGGTGAGCCACTGAGCCTGGGCGTGTTTATCCTTTTGTATTTATTTATTTCACTGACGATGTTTTCAAGGTTCATCCATGTTGCGGCCTGCATCAGAAGTGCCTCTCTGTTTTTTTTGTTTGTTTGTTTGTTCGTTTGACTTTGTTTTGTTTTGTATTTCCATGGAGTCTCACTCTGTCGCACAGGCTGGAGTGCAGTGGCACAAACTGGGCTCACTGCAACCTCCACCTCCCGGGTTCCAGCCATTCTTGTGCCTCAGCCTCCTGAGTAGTAGGGGCTATAGGCACAAGCCACCACGCTCGTGTCATTTTTTGCATTTTCAGTAGAGAGAGGGTTTCACCAAGATGGCCAGGCTGGTCTTAAATTCCTGACCTCAGGTGATCCGCCCACCTCGGTCTTCCAAGACGCTGCGATTACAGGCGTCAGTCACCGCACTGGCCAGTAGTGCCTGCCTTTTGAAGGCTGAATAGTCTTCCATTGTATGAAGGAACTGCAGTGTGCTTTTTCATTCATCTGTCCACGAACCCTTGGGTTGCTTCCACATTTCAGCTGTTGTGAATAATGCTGCTATGAATATGGGTGTACACAAATCTGTCTTCCACTCCTAGCTTCTAATGCTTTTTGGTAGGAACCCACAAATGCAACTGCGGGAACATCTGATCATTCTGTTTCTAATTTTTCCAGTACACGCCATACTATTTTCCCCGTTCCTTCATGGTTTTACATTCCCTCCGATCATATTCGAGCATTGCTACTTCCCTCTGGTCTCACCAATGCCTGTTTGTTTATAATATGCATCCTAATATGTGGTATCACATTCTTGGTTTGATTTGTGCTTCCCTATGATGACTGATTTTGAATATCATTTTAGATGCTTATTGGCCATTGCTATATCTTCTTCAGGAAGACGTCTACTCAAGTCTTCTGACCATTGTTGATGGGATGCTTTGGGTGTCTTGGTGTTTAGTTCTAGCTGTTCTTTATATATGATGGATATCAGCCTCTTTTCAGATATATGCTCTGCAAATATTTTTCCTAATCCATGGGTTATCTTTTCACTCAGTTCACAGTGTTTTTTTGCTGCACAAAAGTGTCTGTCATTTAGATGTAATCCAAGGAATCTAATTTTCTTTTGTTGCCTATGCTTTTGGTGTCATATCCCAGAGAACATTGCCCAATCTGATGTCACGAAAGTGTGGCCAATGTTTTCTTTTAGGCGTATGATACTTTTAGCGCTTGGGGTGAGGTCTTTGATCCAGTTTGTGTGAATTTTTGCACCTGGTGTGACATAGGGTCCACCTTCATTCTTCTGCATGTGGAAATCAAGTTTCTCCAACACCATTTCTTGAAAAGGCTGCTTTTCCACCAATGAGCTTTCTTAGCACTCATGTGAAAAATCATTGGAACATATAGGTGAGAAGTTATTTCTGGGCTCAAAAACAAACAAACAACAACAGACAACAGATAAGGATACAGCATGGGCCGGGCGCAGTCACTCACACCTGTAATCCCAGCACTTTGGGAGGCCGAGGTGGGCGCATCACCTGAGGTCAGGAGTTGAAGACCAGCCTGACCGACAGGGAGAAACCCCCGTCTCTACTAGAAATACAACATTAGCTGGGTGTGCTGGCGCATGCCTGTAATCCCAGCTACTCAGGAGGTGGAGGCAGGACAATCGCTTGAACCCAGGAGGCAGAGGTTGCGGTGAGCCAAGATTTCACCATGACACTCCAGCCTGGGCAACAAGAGTGAAACTCCATCTCAAAACAAAAAACAAAAAACAAAAAACCAGCATGATTTCAAGAGCAGAAAGAGAAGAGCTTAAAAACCAGCATAATGAGAAAGTTAGGAAGCTTCTTACCAAAGCATCTGGAAATATGCAAGCAATTCTTGTGAACTAAAATTTTCATACTGTAGTATCAAACACTAGAACTCACTTATTCCATCTTTCTCTATTTTGGGACCCAATTATCCACTTGTCTTCATTCCCTATCCCACCCCTTGTCTTCCTAGCGTCTGCTAACCACCTTTATACTTTCCACCTTCCTGAGATTCCTTTTGTGTGTAGGTGTGTGATGGAGTCTCTTTCTGTTGCCCAGGTTGGAGTACGCAGGCACAATCCGGGCTCACTGCAAGCTCTGCCTCCCGAGTTCAAGCCCTTCTTGGGCCTCAGCCCTCCAAGTAGCTGAAACTACAGGCACGCGTCACCACGCCCGGCTCATTGTTTGTGTTTTCCGTAGAGACGGGGTTTCACCATGTTGGCCAGGCGGGTCTCGAACTCCTGGACTCAAGTGATCCGTGCGACTCGGCCTCCCGGAGTGCTGGGATTACAGGTCTGAGCCACCACACCTGGCCAAGGTTTCCTTTTTTCTTCCTACATAGAAGTGAGGACATGAAATATTTGTCATTCTGTGCCTGGCTTATTTCATTTAATATACAGACCTGCAATCTCATCCATTTTGTCTGCAGCAGAGAGGAGTTTCTTCCTTTTTAGGCTGAACAATACTTCACTGGGTGTGTATACCCCAGTTTCTTCATTGAAACAAATTTCTGAAGAGCAAATATTTTTAAAATGTCTCGGAATGTGAAACTTCAGGGATACTGTGCCCATTTTGTTCTTTTCTATTTCCCATCTTATGTATATGCAAGTGTATAACAAAGCAGCAATCAATGTGTGTATAAATCTATAACTTCAACAAATGTAAAATGTAAATGCTTAGTGGTGGCTGGGCGCGGTCGCTCATGCCTGTAATCCCAGCACTTTGGGAGGCGAAAGCGGGCGGATCACCTGAGGTCGGGAGTTCAAGACCAGCCTGACCAAAATGGAGAAACACCGTCTCTATTAACAATACAAAAAAAAAAAAAAAAATTAGCCAGGCATGGTAGCGCATGCCTGTAATCCCAGCTACTTGGAAGGCTGAGACAGCAGAATTGCTTGAATACGGGAAGCAGAGGTTGCAGTGAGCCGAGACCGTGCCATTGAACTCCAGCCTGGGCAACAAGAGTGAAACTCTTGACTCAAAAAAAAGGAAAAGAAAGAAATAGAAAATGCGAAATGGTAAGAAAAAACAGCATAAGAAACATTTGTATGGTGTTGATGGACAATGCATTTGAAGATAATATTTGAAGAAATCATATTACAATTAATTTCTGTTCTTACTCATTGGAGCTTGATGCCTCTAAAAACTTCATCATTGGAACCACCTGTGGTGCTTTAAAAGAAAAAAAAAAAATCCATATACTCACACAGGTGCAAGGAAATCAGAATCTCAGGTATTGAGACCCAGGCCTCATCATTTGTAAGCTCCCCAGGTGATTGGACTCAAAGCCAAGATTGAGGAATGGCGACATGGATCTCTACACATAACCTGCCTAAATAGATTCTCTAGAAGCAGTTTATAAAGAAATTCCACATGAACTGTGGAAGAGGATATGAATTTGATGTACAGTATGTCCTCACTTAACATCTTTGAAAGTCTCTTGGAAACTTCACCTTGAAGCAAAATTATGTATAGTGAAACCACTTATTTTTCATCAACAGTGTAACTACACAACTTTGAACAACCAATGGTGTTGGAGGACCTCCTGTACATTGTTTCCATAAAGTCAGTTTTCAGGGAATTCCAAAATGAAGTGAGGACTTCGTGTATATAAAAAGATGGTTGTGATTCCAGCTGGATAACAGGGTTATTGCTCAGAAACTAAAAGAGGTTGCCTAGGTATAGAGGATTCTGTCATGAGGTTTCTGCTAAACAAAGGATCCCAGAATCCTCACCCATTCCAGTGAAAGGCATAACGAAGAAAGCAATATTCACAAAGGAAATGCGGAAAGGAATAAAAGCCATCAAGCCACAAAAATAATGTGACTAAGGGGCAGGATTTGCAGATGGAGAGATTTAATGCGGTTGCCCTTTCTCACCCACACAAGAAAAAGAATGGAACAGATCATGAGATTTGACTGTTCTGGGGCGCAGCCTCCGCAGGGCACTTTGTATGTCCCTGTTTCTCAGGCTGTAGATAAAAAGGTTCAGCATGGGGGTGACCACAGCGTACATCACTGATGCCACCACACCATTCCTGGGGGGTGGTGACACAGCTGAAGTCAGGTACATGCCAATGCCTGTTCCATAAAATCAGCAAACAACTGCCAGGTGAGAGCCACAGGTGGCGAAGGCTTTATACTTCCCATCTGACGATGAAATCCTGAGAATGTAGGGGATGATTTTATAGTAAGACCAAAGGATCCCTGAAATGGGAAGAAAACCAAACATAGTACTATCGAAATATATGAATATGCTATTGATGACGCTGTCAGAACAGGCAAGTTTGAGAAGTTGAGAGGGGTCACAGACAAAATTAGAGACTTCCACATTCTTGATGATGGTGAATTGTAACACAATCCAGCTATGCAGCTGGGAATCCAACAGGCTAAGGAAAAAGGACACCAAAACGAAGAAGACACAGAGGTGAGGATTCACGATGACTGGGTAGTGCAGAGGGTGACAGATGGCTACAAAGCAGTCATAGGCCATCACAGTCAGGAACATGTCTTCTATACATGCAAAAAGGACCAAGAAAGACATCTGCGTCAGGCAGCCCGCATGAGAGATGACTCTGCTATGCGACTGCATTCCACAATCATCTTGGGAACCGTGGCCGAGGTGAAACCGATGTCAGCCCAGCACAGGTTGGAGAGGAAGAAGTACATGGGGGTGTGGAGGGGGGAGTCAGAGCGGACAGCCAGGATGCTGAGCAGGTTCCTCAGCACCGTGACCAGGTACATGGACAGGGACAGGGACAGCAAAGCGAGGACCGGCTGCAGTTCTGGATCCTCTGAGAGTCCCAGGAGGAGGAATTCTCAGACACCTGTGAGATTCTGTGGCTCTGTGTGTCTTGAACACCTTGAGAAGGAAAGAGTATTGGAAAAATAAAAGATAAAAACCAGCCCTTAATGCTGGATGCAAGCAATTCACAAGGAACATCTTCACACTTGCGGACCATACACCGCCAGCAATGTTTCTCAGTTGTGACAATTCCAAAAATCTCAGAATTATTACGTGATTTACTTTTTTGCTATACAAGGCTTTCTGTACATACTACTTTAGAGAAAATCCACTGAAGAATATTAGAAGACCAAAACGTCATATATAACAAATCCGTGATCTCAGTAAAATATGGCCTACTCTTTTCAGAAAAAATACAATGCAATGACAATGTCTTTCTCTCTTTAAGAAAAAGACCTCAGTCTAATTGAAAGGAATTAAGAAGCCGTGAAATACACTCTACTTTATTCTGACACCGTGCTACAACTTCCATTGATGTAGAATATGTAAAAGGACAACACAAGAGCTAGGACCCCATTATCTGAAAACGACATCGAACCTTATAGTTCTCAATCGGAAGACCTTTTCACATGCCTGTTACTTTTCGTATTTATTATCATCCTTCGGTTTTCTGACATCATTTCTTCATAAAAGTACATGCACGCTCAAAGATGGGAGCTGGGTTTCCAAATGAATTGAATCTATAACTCTTGGCCCAGCACCATGGCTCACACCTGTAATCCCAGCATTTTGGGCGGCCGAGGTTGATGGATCACCTGAGGTTAGGAGTTCCAGACCAGCCTGGCCAATGTGGTGAAACTCCGTCTCCAGTGAAAATAAAAAAACATTAGCCGGGTGTGGTGCGGGCAACCCTAGCTACTCGGGAGGCTGAAGCAGGAGAATCCCTTAGAACGTGGAAGGCAGAGATTGGACACCCTGTGATAGGATTTTTGATATCCTAGGGAGATATTGCTCCTGACAGCAGAGTGGGCGTACACCCTGTGATATTATTTGTAATATCCTAGGAAGATATTGCTCCTAATATCACGGTGGCTGTACACCCTGTGATCTTAATTGTAATATCCTACAGAGATATTACTCCTAATAATACAGTGGGTGTACACCCTGTGATATTATTCATAATATATTACAGAGATACGACTCCTGATATCACAGTGAGTGTACACCATGTTGGTACACCCTGTGATCTTATTTGTAACAACTTAGAAAAATATTACAGCTAATATCAAAGTGGGTGTACACCCTGCGATGTTATTTGTTATCTACTAGGTAGATATTACTCCTAATATCACAGTAAGTATACACCATGTGTGTACAGACTGTGAAATTATTCGTAATACCCTAGGAAGATATTACTCCTCATATCACAGTGGGGGTACACCGTGAGTGATATTTTTTTCTAATATCCAGCGGGGGAGAGGATGATATTGCTTCCAATATCACAGAAGGTGTACACCCCCCTGAGATTTTGTTCCTAATATCCAGGGAAGGAGAGGATGACATTATTCGCAATATCACTGGGGGTGTACCACCTCCCGCCGGGATATTGTTCTTAATATCCGGATGTAGAGAGAATGATGTTACTCCCAATGTCACAGGGGGTGTACACCACCCCTGTTTGTAAACATTCCCTGTGATATTGTTCCAAATGGCCTGTGAAAGAGTAAACATGACTCCCATTATCGCGGGGGGTGTTCAGCCCTGATGATATTGTTTTCTAACATCCAGGGAAGGAGAGTATGCTATTACTCCCAATATCGCAGGGGTTGTACACCCTTTTGTGTTTTTGTGCCCAATATCCAGGAAAATAGAGGATGATGTTACTCCCAATGTCGAAGTAATTGTACAGCACCCCTGTGATATTCTCCTAATATCCAGAAAGGAAAAGAATGATATTACTCCCAACAGTGTAGCAAACGTATACCCGCGCTGTGGTATCTTTCCCAGTATCCAGGTGGGGAGAGGATCATATTACTTCCAATGTCACAAGGTGTGTACACCCCCTCTGTGATCTCGTTGCTAACATCCAGGTTTGGGGAGGACGACATTACTCCCAATATCGCAGGTGGAGTACACCCCCCCATGACCTTGTTAGTCATTTCCTGGGTGGAGAGGATGATCTTACTCCCAAAATCGCAGGCGGTGAACACACCCCTGTGAAAATCTTCCTATTTTCAGAGGGAGAGAGGATGGTATTACTCCCAGTATCGCAGGGGGTTTCCACAGCCCTGTGATACTCTTCCTAATAACCACAGGGAGAGAGGATGATATGACTCCCAATATCGCAGGGGGTGTACACAACCCTGTGATATTGTTCCTAATATCCAGAGCGAAAGAGGATGATATGACTCTTAATATCGCAGAGGGTGTACACCCCTCCTGTAATATTGTTCTGTATACCCTGGGAGGGAGAGGATAAGGTTACGTTGAATATCACAGGGAATGTACACCCTCCCCCTCTGATACACTTTCTCATGTCCAGGGGAAGAGAGGAAAATTTCACTCCCAATATCACAGAGGCAGTACACCCCACCTGTGATGTTGTTCCCAATATGCAAGGGGGGAGAGGATGATACTACTCTCAATATCGCAGGGCTGTTCACATCCCCAGGGACATTTTTTCCCAGTATCTAGGGGAGAGACAATTATATGACAGCAAAGGTCGCAGGGTCTGTACATCCCTTCCTGATATTGTTCCTAATATCCAGGGGGAAAGAGGATGTTATGAAACATGAAAGGGGGTGTACATCCCCCACCCCTACGATATTGTTCTTAATAATCGTGAGGGGAGAGGATAATATTACTCCAAATATCGCAGGGATTGTTCACCCTTTTGTGTTTTTGTGCCCAATATCCAGGAAAATAGAGGATGATGTTATTCCCAATGTCGAAGTAATTGTACAGCACCCCTGTGATATTCTCCCTAATATCCAGAAAGGAAAAGAATGATATTACTCTCAAAAGCGTAGGAAATGTATACCCGCGCTGTGGTATCTTTCCCAGTATCCAGGTGGGGAGAGGATCATATTACTTCCCATGTCGCAGGGTGTGTACACCCCCTCTGTGATCTCGTTGCTAACATCCAGGTTTGGGGACGAAGACCCAGACCTCCACCCACCCAGAGTAGGTGCGCCCAAGAACTAGTACATGCTTGTTACCTCCACACTTTGGCATCTCTGTGAAGTCCACCTGGAGACCTTCAAAGGGGGCTGCTCCATAAGCTCGTATGCCGGGCGGAATGGCTGGACCTTGCCTCGCATCATGCTGTCGGCAGGTAACACACCGCTGCCTCACCGTTTTG